>NC_000021.9:32095030-32404984 GCF_000001405.40 Homo sapiens | reverse complement strand
ACTGAAAATACAAAATTAGCTGGGTGTGGTGGCAGGCACCTGTAGTCCTAGCTACTTGGGCTGAGGAAGGAGAATCGCTTGGACCCAGGAAGCAGAGGTTGCAGTGAGCCAAGATCACGCCACTGCACTCCAGCCTGGATGACAGAACAAAACTCCATCTCCAAAAAAAAAAAAAAAAAAAAAAAAAAGAGAATGAAAGAAACTGGTCACTGGAGCCAAAAAGGGTGGGGACCGCTGCTCTAGTGGGATACTGGAATGGCTTTTCCACCAGAACTTTTTTCTTCTTCCTGTGAACTGGCTGGGACACTCTCCTCAACCCTGGTTTTTGAATACCCTCTTCCCTCCCCACCTCTGGCCCACTCTGTTGGCCTCCTTAGGCCAGGCTCACTCCCTCATCCTTTTCCTCTGCTCAGCAGCATCCCTGTCCCTGAGCCCTCTGTGACACACCTGAGTTTTGGAGGCCTGGCTTTCTTCTGAAATGCCAGCCAAATCTGATTTGAGCTTTTCAAGTCCTCAAGGACCTGATATCACACACACACACACACACACACACACACATCCAAAAAGAAAAAATCATTTTTCTTTTAAAAATATTTTATAGTGGTAAAATATAGATATTTTTATATATGCATATATAAATATACATAAGTATATATGTATATATAAATACACAAATTTATATATAAATATTTTTATTGTGGTAAAATATACATAACATAAAATTTATCATTTTAACCTTTTTTTTTTTTTTGAGACAGAGTTTCACTTTGTAGCCCAGGCTGGAGTGCAGTGGCATGATCTGGGCTCACTGCACCCTCCACCTCCTGGGTTCAAGTGATTTTCCTGCCTCATCCTCCTGGGTAGCTGGGACTACAGGTGCTGCCACCATGCCTAGCTGATTTTTGTATTCTTAGTAGAGACAGGGTTTTACCATGTTGGCCAGGCTCGTCTCGAACTACTGACCTCAAGAGATCTGCCCGCCTCAGCCTCCCAAAGTGCTGGGATTACAGGTGTGAGGCACTGTGCCTGGCCCATTTTAACCATTTCTAAGTGTACAGTTCAGTGATATTAAGTACATTCACATTCTTGTGCAGCCATCACCACCCCGTATCCACAGAACTCTTTTTATTTTGCTAAACTGAAACTCTGTACCCATTAAACACCAACTCCCCATCCCCACCTCTCCCCAGCCCTGGCAGCCACCATTCTACTTCTGTCTTTATGGATTTGACTTCTCTGGGTACCTCCTATCAGCAGAATCATACAGGATTAATTGGCTTATTTCACTTAGCATAATGACCTCAGGGTGCATCCCTGTTGTTGTAGCATGTGTCAGAATATCCTTCCTTCCTGAGGTTGAATGATATCTTGTTGTATGTAGGTACCACATTAGCTTTTCTAGTGACTTTGTCTCTCCTAGAAGGAAGAAAAGAGAGGGGTAGTCACGGATATGCCCAGTCTGTTTCCCCTTGATCGGCAGCAGTTTTAAAAAAACAAGCAAAACAAAAACCTCAGCAAAAGTCTCAGAAGGGTGAGGGAGAGGTGGGGGAGGCTGAGGACTGTTGCACAGGCAGCTGGCTGGGGAAGGAGAAGGCTGGAGCTTCAGGCAGTTGTGGGTCCTGCACACCCAACCCCCGAATGCCACTAGGACTGTCAATGGCGCCCTCTGTAGGTGGGAATCTTAATTTATGTTTTAGGAGTGATGAGTGTGGTCCATGAATTTCAAAAATGTATTTTTATTATGGTGAAATATACGTAACATGAACTTTACCATATTAGCCATCTTAACTGTAAAGTTCAGTAACATTAAGTACGTTCACATTGTTGTGCAGTCATCATCAACTTCCATCTCCAGATCTCTTCATCTTCCAATATTGAGTCACTGCATCCATTTAAACACTAACTCTCCATTCCCCTCTCTCCTAGCCCCTGACAACCACCATTTCACTTTCTTGTTTGTTTTTTCTTTTTTTTTTAAGACAGAGTTTTGTTCTTGTTGCCCAGGCTGGAGTGCAATGGCGTGATCTCGGCTCACCACAACCTCCGCCTCCGAGGTTCAAGCGATTCTCCTGCTTCAGCCTCCCGAGCAGCTGGGATTACACGCATGAGCCACCATGCCCGGCTTATTTTGTATTTTTAGTAGAGACGGGGTTTTTCCACGTTGGTCAGGCTGGTCTCAAACACCCGACCTGAGGTGATCTACCCGCCTCAGCCTCCCAAAGTGCTGGGATTACAGGCATGAGCCACCGTGCCCGGCCTTCACTTTCTGTCTCTATGAATTTGACTACCGTGGGTACCTCATATAAGTGGAATTATACAGTATTTGTCCTTTTGTGCCTAGCTTATTTCACTTAGCATAATGTTTTCAAGGTTGTGAGAATTTTATCCCTTTTTAAGACTGAAAAATACTCCATGGTACGTATATACCACATTTTGTGTATCCATTCATCCATTGATGGACACGGATGGCTTCCACCTTTTGGCTATTGTGAGTAATGCTGCTATGAACATGGGTGTACAAAAAATTTACAAGTTTTAAATTTTCATTCTCAAGGGAAAGCTTAAGGCTGCCAAAAAAAAAAAAAAAAAAAAAAAAAAGAATCAAAGTCCGCAAAGGGAATTTAGAATTAATAAAAGTGAGCTCTGATCAAAGGTATAGACCAGAAGTTCTCAATCTTTCTCAGTTCATGGCACCTTTAGTGTCTCAATAATTTTTCAAGTGCTCCAGGACAAAACCCAAACCTAAACTGTTAAGTTTATTAAATAGCTATGTCCAAACAACATAAGTATTTGTGTTCTAATAATAAAGAAGCAGTTTACATATATACGTAAATACATATGATGGAAATAAAAATGTTTTCTTTTATTCTTTCTTTTTTCTTTTTTAAACAGAGTCTCCCTCTGTCTCCCAGGCTAGAGTGCAATGGTGTGATCCCTGCAACCCCCGCCTCCTGGGTTCAAGCGATTCTCCTGCCTCAGCATCCCGAGTAGCTGGGACTACAGGCGCTTGCCACCACTCCCAGCTAACTTTCGTATTTTTAGTAGAGATGGGCTTTCACCATGTTGGCCAGGCTGACTGTCCTCACCTCAGATTATCCGCCCGCCTTGGCCTCCCAAAGTGCTGGGATTAGAGGCATGAGCCACCATGGCCAGTCCTCCTTTATTCTTAAATAAGCACAGATAATTTCGAATGGGGTGTGTGTGCCCGTTGGACATGTCACTATTTCTTCAACCTTGAAATCAGATTGGATACCACACTATCATTTCTTGACCCGTGTTGATTTCAGCTTGGTGCTTGCTCTTTTTTTTTTTTTTTTTTTTTTTTTTTAGAGAGAGGTTCTTCCTCTGTTCCCCAGACCAGAGTACAGTGTCTCGATAAGCTCACTACAACCTCGAACTCATGGGCTCAAGTGATCCTCCTGCCTCTGCCTCCAAAGTAGCTAGGACTACAGGCAGGCACCGCCACACTTGGCTGATGCTTTTCATCATGGTAAGCCCCGGAAACCCAGCGTTGCAAAGCTGTGAACTCATCTCTTCATCTCTTCTTCCAAAGTAGCACAATCTTTTTTTTTTTTTTTGAGATGGCGTCTCACTCTGTTGCCAGGCTGGAGTGCAATGGCACGATCTCAGCTCACTGCAACCTCTGCCTCCCAGGTTCAAGCAATTCTCCCTGCCTCGGCCTCCTGAGTAGCTGGGATTACAGGTGCCTGCCACCACGCCTGGCTAATTTTTGTGTTTTTTTGGTAGAGATGGGGTTTCACAATGTTGGCCAGGCTGGTCTTGAATTCCTGACCTCAGGTGATCTGCTAGCCTCAGCCTCCCAAAGTGCTGCGATTATAGGCGTGTGCCACTGCACCCAGCTGGAAACTAGCACAATCTAATGTTGAATCTATGAACTACCTTGAGCCAGTAGTTTGCCTGGTAATGAACAGATGTCAAGAATTGATGGATTTCCCTCAACTTTTGAAAACATTCCAAGGCAATGTGGTGCTTTGGGCACTTTGGTGCCCAGTTTGGGAATGGCAAATCCAGACAATTCAAATGCTACGGAGACTTTACCTTGTCCAACCAGGCTCTGCATGAGCCACTCCAACTGGCCTCACTTTTACCATGATCGCCCTCCCTCCATTTCAGACACACTGGCCTTTTTGCTGTCCCACCTCAGTGCTTTTGCATTGGCTATAGCTTCTGCTTAGAGGGCTCTTTCTTACCTATCGGTTGCCTTGGCTTTTCTCCGTGTGTTAGGCTGTTCTTGCATTGCTCTAAAAGAATACCAGAGGGTGGGTTATTTATAAGAAAAGAAGTTTAATTGGCTCCTGGTTCTACAGGCTGTACAGGAAGCATAGTGCCAGTATCTGCTTCTAGGGAGGCTGCAGGGAGCTTTTACTCATGGCCAAAGGCAAAGAGGGACAAGACATCTCACCTGGTGGAAGCAGGAACAAGAGCTGGGGTGTGGGAGGTGCCACACACTTTTAAATGACCAGATTTCACGAGCAATCACTCACTATCTCAAAGACTGCACCAAGCCATGAGGGATCTACCCTGATGACCCAAACACCCACCATCAGGCCCCACCTCCAGCATTGGGGATTACAATTCAATATGAGATCTGGGTGGCACAAATATTCAAGCTCGATCACTCCCTAACTCATTCAGGGGTCTGCCATTCCCTGCCCATCCCAGTCACTCTTACCCACTTTATTCATCTTCATCTTCAGAGTATTCTTGGTGATCTGCCTGCCATTCTTTCCATCTTCCTGCAACTTAAGGGGCAATCTGCCTAAAATAAACCTCTCTGAAAATACGATTATGTTTGCAATTAGCAGTCCAGGGTGACTTCAATAGTGACAAAGGAAAATTACAGTATAGATGTCATTTAAATGTTAACACATTTAAATAGTAATGAACAGTAAAGACCAAAGAATGTAAATAAAATGAGGCTAATGCAGAAAATTTTCACAATTTAAACTAGCAAGCCAGGAGTACTCTGAGAGGAGATGTTAAATGAAGAGATAATGACAGTATCATGACACTGGCAGTCAGCTACCCCTGGAGATCTGTGGTTCCAAATTGCTCCCCAACAGGGGAAGAAATGTCCCAACCTCCCAATGAGAACTGCAAAGTCAAATTGCAAAGGGGCATGAATTCCAGGGTGGGAGGAATTTGTGACCATATTTTGTAATCTACCACACCACCCTTCTCCCACTGATTTTGGTGTTGTCTTGATCACATATCACATTTCTATAATGGTCTCCAGGTTCATCTATGTTGTCAAAAATATCAAGATTTCCTTCTTTTTTTTAAGGCTGAATAATATTTCATTGTATACTAAATACCGCATTTTTTTTTAACCCATTGATTTGTCGATAGGCATTTAGGTTGCTTCTGTAAATTGGCGATTATGAATAATGCTGCAATGAACAGGGAGTGCAAATATCCCTTCAATAACCTTATTTCAATTATTCTGGGTGTCTGCTGAGTGAAAGAAGCCAGTTACAGAAGGACAGGACTCATAAGCAGTACCTAAAATAGTCAAACTCATAGAAGCAGAGAATAGAATGGTGGTTACCAGGAGCCAGGAGGTAATTCATCAAATCATATACAGTAAATATGTGCCATTAGACTGCATATCAGTTATACCTTAATAAAGCTGTTTCAAAATTAAAAATAAAAAGTTCCTATCTATGCATAGGTCTTTGTTTTAACTACACTTTTCTCTTTCTTTTTTTCTTTCTTTCTTTTCTTCTTTCCTTCCTTCCTTCTTTCTTTTTTTTGAGACAGGGTCTCACTTTGTTGCCCAGGCTGGAGTGCAGTGGCACGATCTTGGCTCACTGCAACCTCCACCTCCTGGGTTCAAGTGATCCTCCTGTCTCAGTCTCCCCAGTAGTTGGGGTTACAGGCATGTACCACCACGCCCAGGTACTTTTTGTACTTTTAGTAGAGACGAGGTTTCACCATGTTGGCTGAGCTGGTCTCGAACTCCTGACCTCAAGTGATCCATCCACCTCAGCCTCCCAAAGTGCTGGGATTACAGGTGTGAGCCACTGTGCCTGGCCTTGACTACACTTTTTATTTTGAAATGATTCTAGATTTGCAGAACATTTGAAAAAAATTCCATACACTCTCAGCCAGTTTCATCTGATGTTTTACATTTCTCACGGTTGTAGGGTACATTTGCTAACTAAGCAACCAGCATTGGGACGTTACTATTAACTAAACGCCAGACTTTATTTTATTTGCGCTGTACTAGTTTTTCCCCTTCTGGCCTTTTTCTGCTCCAGGGTCCAGTCCAGGGTACCACAGTGCATTTTATCATTGTGTCTCCCATCACATCTGGTCTGTGGTCGTGTTTCAGTTCTTCATTGCTTTTCATGACCTCGACAGTTTTAAAGGGTACTGCTCATGTACTTTTTAGACTGTCCCTCAATTTAGGTTTCTCTGATGTTTTCCACACAATTGGGCTGGGATTTTGGGTTTCGGGAAGGATATACAGAGGCAAAGCATCTTCATCACATCACTTCAGGGGTACATCACAGTAACATGATTTATACATGACATTAACTTTGATCCCTTGGATAAGGTAGTGTTTGCCATGCTTCTCTATTATAGAGTTATCATTTTTCCCTCGTCATATTCCAGTATTTAAAAGTAGGTCACTAAACCTACACTAGGGAAGTGGGGAGGAGTATTTGAATTAAGCTCCACCTCTGGAAGCAGGAAGTATCTACATGTATTATTTGGATTACTTTTGTAAGGAAGATTTATCTCTTCTCCCCCATTTATTTACTTAGCAATCAATTTATTTTTATTTTATTATTATTATTTCTTTTAGAGATGAGGTCTTGCTAAACTGTTGCCCAGGATGGACCCAAACTCCTGGGCTCCAGTGATCTTCCTGTCTCAGCCTCCCAAGGTGCTAGGATTACAGGCATGAGCCATCATGCCTGGTGATCATCATTTTTTATATCAGTATAGACTTACATATATTTACTTTTTACCCTAGGTTATAATCCAATGCTATATTATTCATTTTGTCACCGAAACTGTTCCATTGGGAGTTCTTTCAAGTTGGTTCCTGTGACTCTTTGACATAGCTCCATTCTTTTGTTTTTGAAGCATTTCTTACTTTCTGGTACTACAAGATACTCCACACTCACCTTATGTGTTCCCTGTCCCAGCCCTAGAATCAGCCATTTCTCTAAGGAGTCCTGGTTCTTTTTATTTTTATATTTTTATTGTGTGTTTTTTTTTCTTTTTTCTTTTCTCTTTTTTTTTTTTTTTTTTTTGAGATGGAGTCTCACTCTGTCACCCAGGCTGGAGTGCAGCGGCACAAACTTGGCTCACTGCAACCTCCGCCTCCCTGGTTCAAGCAATTCTCCTGCCTCAGTGTCCTGAGTAGCGGGGATTACGGGTGCATGACACCACACCCAGCTAATTTTTGTATTTTTGATAGAGATGGGGGTTTTGCCATGTTGGCCAAGCTGGTCTCGAACTTCTGACCTCAGGTGATCCACCTACCTTGGCCTCCCAAGATATTGGGATTGCAGGCATAAACCACCACACCCACCCTGGTTCCTTTTATTTGATAATGGTATTAGAAACCAAGATCTGGGCACTGAGTGTGCTCATTGCTTCTGGGGTGTGACTGCTTCTAGGCCCTACCAGTGAACAGAGCTAGGAAATATATGCTTGTGTACAAACCCAGGTAGAATATGTATTTATACTTATTTCTGTACCAATCCATCTCTACCTGTGTTAAACTAAACATGAGATCATGCTGGTGTTTCCAACTCTAATCCAGTATCACAGGGTCCGTTCTAGCCTTACCCTTTTGCTTATATGTAACTTCCTTTTCCAACAGTGTGAAGCCTGGCTCCCACCATCCTTTATCCATTTACTTATTTTTCAATTCCAGGATATGTAAAAAGAAGTTTCAGATTTGTTAACCTGTACCTCCATTACATAGATCTGTTTGGAGTCTGTATTCCATTCCACCAGGCTATTTGTCTGTTTTTTGTTTGTTTGTTTTGTTTTGTTTTTTGTTTGTTTGTTTTTTGAGACGGAGTTTCGCTCTCGTCGCCCAGGCTGGAGTGCAATGGCACGATGTCAGCTCACTGCAACCTCTGCCTCCCAGGTTCAAGTGATTCTCCTATCTCAGCCTCCCGAGTAGCTGGGATTGCAGACATGCACCACCACGCCCAGCTAATTTTTTTTTTTTAGTAGAGACAGGGTCTCACCATGTTGGCCAGGATGGTCTCAATCTCTTGACCTTGTGATCTGCCCGCCTTGGCCTCCCAAAGTGCTGGGATTACAGGTGTGAGCCACTGCGCCCAGCCTATTTGTCTGTTCTTTTGCCACTGCCATTCTAATTTGACCATTGCAACTTTGAGATACGTCTTCATGCATAAGGTAAGATCCCCTTTAGTCTTGTCAAGCTGACTTAGCTATTCCTGGATTGTTCTTTTTCCATAAGAATATATTATGGTTTTCTGAATTTAATTTTTATTGGAATGGTAATAGTTTACAGCTTAATTTAGGAAAAATTAGCAGTTTTACAATGTGAAGACATTCTTCCGTGAACATAGTATGTATCTTTATTTAACCAAATATTATTTTACAATGTTGTCCTTAAAGATGCTGTGCAGTCTTTTTAGTTTAATTCTGAGAATTTGTAGGGTTTTTTTCTTTCTAAATGGTGCTTTGTTTTCTACCACATATTTATTTATTTTTGTTTTATATTTATTTTATTTTTTGAGACAGGGTCTCCCTCTGTTGCCCTGGCTGGAGTGCAGTGGAGCAATCTGGCTCACTGCAGGCTCGGTCTTCTGGGCTCAAGCAATCCTCACACCTTGGCATCCTGACTAGCTGGGACTACAGATATGCACCACCACACCAGCTACTTAAATTTTTTTTTTTTTTTTGTAGAGACGAGGTCCTACTATGTTGCTCCCGAGCTCAAGTGCTCCTCCCACCTTAGTCTCCCAAAGCGCTAGGATTACAGGCATGAGCCACCACACCCAGCTTCTCCTACATATTTAAATTAGCTATTGCTAATGTAGAGGTAATGCTACCAATTTTGGTAACTGATTTTATGTCTGACAACCTTGCTAAATTCTTATTTAGCTTGCATTTCTATTGAATTTTCCAATTAGATTACAGTTTCATTTCTTATTTCTTTGTCTTGCCTTATTTCACTAGCCACGACCTCTCGTAATAGATAGTAGCATGGTGGACATCCCTGTTTTTCCTATTGTTCCCAGTCATAATTCAAGTTCATATAGTTTTCCCATTGTGCATGATAATTGCTGCAGGTTTTTGGTATATAGTCTTTACCAAGTTAAGGAAAGTCCTTCTATCCCTAGTTTTATGTGAATTTTAAAAATCATAAATAGGTATCTTTTCAAATGTCTTTTTCCATCTATTGAAATAATAACGGATTTTTCTCCTTTAATCCATTATTGTGGTGAGTTATATAAGCAAGATATTCTTTCCTTGTATTTCTTGTGTTTTTTTCAAGTGCTGTTTTGTATTCAGTTAACTAATATTCTATTTACACACATTTATATCCATACTTGAAATAAGTTCATCATTTTCATACTTTGTGTTATCCTTAGCTTGTTCTGTATTTAAGGTTATATGAGCCTCGTAAAAGATGTTGGGATACTTTATTTTTTATTTTGTGGAACTAACGGCACAAGGTGAGAATTATCTGTTTCTGAAAAGATTGTTAGAACTTAACTGAAAAATCATCTTCATGTTGGGAAAGTGCTATGGTTTGAACGTTTGTGTCCCCCTCAAATTCATTATGTTGAAACCCCATCCCAAGTGTGATATTTGGTTGTGGGAGGCCTTTTGTGAGGTGACTAGCTCATGAGGGTGGAGCCCTCAGATGTAATTAGTGAGTGTCTTTATAAAGTAGGCCCAATCAAGAAAGGTCGGGAGACAGAGAGTGAGGTATGTACAGGAAAAGTCCACATCTGAGCCACTTGAGCTCTGGGCAAAGAGTTTCAAAGAGAGGGAACAAGTACAAAAGCTCTCGGGCTTTTTTCCTCAGCTTAGAATGTCCTAGGAGCAGTACCACATAGTCTGCAACAAACCAGAATGCTCCTGGAGGCAAATAATACAAAGCTTTGATATGGAAAGACAAGTCACTATCCAGAGGTTGGTGAGCCTCATATCTGAACAAAGGGTTAACCCAGCATCAATGATTCATGGCATTAACTTAGTCTAAAACATCCAAATGCACTTCTGAGCCACACTTGCCATCCATACATCTCTGGCTAAGGCTGTAAATGGGCACTGCCAACTTCTGTTTCTTTGTTTTTAATTTGGGACTAGGATACACTGGGTGAGTCCTGGCTCCACCAGTTACTAGCTGGATAATCCTGGGAAGTTCCTCATGCTCTTTAATTGTTTGTAAAGCAAACCAGCACAGAGGGATGGTAATTTGCCCAAGGTCACACAGGCAGAAACTGAACTCAGGGCTTTTGACTGTTTCCTAACTCTTTCTGATAACTTTTTGGTTGGGACCACCATGGCAGAAAACAAAGTTGGTGGTTAGCGATTAACCAAAGAAGAGGACCAGTGTGGATAATCAGTCAGAATTAAGTCTGTATTCACTAATGAGTGTTGCCTTTTACAGATGACTTTTTGAGCATATTCCCCTCTCTTAACATTGCTGCATTAGCTCATATCTGCTAGGGGTGACACCCTCTCTCTGACCTGCCTACAACATAGACATCTCCACAGGCACAATCATCTTGTCGGGACAGAGGCTCAGCGTCAACACACGTGCTTTTTCTACTAGAAACTCTGAGACCCCAACAGGCCACAAAAGCCCACATCCTCAGATGTTCAAAACACATCTGCTTACAGAATATGAAACACAATTTTCTTAGACTAGAGGACAACCTGATGGAGAATTTCAGTAATCACCAAGTTACTTATCTAATGCGCTGGTTCATGATTTATTTGGACACATACCTAAGTATCGATGAAGTCGTATTAAAATATGTACCAGCCTGTTTTTACTTATTTTTACTTTCATTTTATTTCAGAGCATTTAATGCGGTTTACAAATCAATCACATCTTCCAAAAACACACTGTGTTGTTTTTCTCCTCAAAGCAGTTTTTCATACATTGCATCATTTTCTGTTCATAACAGTCCCAAGGACTGGATAGGGTCGGCTTTGCTGTCTCCATTTTAATGACAGGAACTTAGATGTGGAGGCCTTACGCTGTCCAGGAAGGGGTTTTACAGACGTTACTTCGTTTGGTCTTCTCCTCCCACCCTGCACGGCGCAAAGAGCCCATCAGTTTGCGGAAGTCTGGGGTGGAGGACAGTCTGGAGTGACAGGCTGCTACCAGACCAGTCGATCTGGTTCGGGCTGTGACATAAGCTAGGGGTCGAAGTCAGGGGCACCCGCACAGGCGGACCTGCCTGGCACCTAGCCAAGGCGAATCCACCTTCCCGGCCAGCCACCAGGGCCTTGAATTGGCAAAGTATCGAATCCTGTTGTGTGTGAAGCAAGCTCTTCATGCGACACCTTCAGGGCGACCTCGGGTCAAGAACTACTCATTGTGCTGCTTGGACGCGCCGGGGCCCGAGTCTTCGTGGATCGGCCAGGCCAGGAGTGAAAGGTCTGGGAGTTCTTCCGGCCAAGAGCACCCGAAGAGCCACTGGGATCAGAAATGCGCCCCGGTGGACCCCAAACCCTGCAGCCGGGGGCGGGGGGTGTCGTGGAGTGTCCGCTCGCCCCATGCCGTGACCGGGACAACCGGTACAGCAAACTCACATGGAGCCCCAAGACTCTGGATCCCCAAGACTCTGGATCCCTATCGCCCCGCCCCTTCTGCAGGCCACGCCCCTTCCGCCGGTCCCAGCCTCGCGCGGGTCGGCCCCTTCCGCCGGCCTTTCCCCGAGCCCCGCCTCTTCCGCCAGCCCCGCCTCTTCCGCCAGCCCCGCCTCTTCCTGCGCCATGTGGGCCTGAAGCGCGTGTCTGCTGTCTGTGCCAGTGCTCCTGCCGGGTCCCCTCAGGTGTGTCGTTTCCGTCGCGCTTCCGCCCTCTCGGCCATGGGGGTCCCCAAGAGGAAGGCCTCGGGCGGCCAGGACGGCGCGGCTTCCTCCGCGGGTGCAGCCAAGCGCGCCCGCAAAGAAGAGCTCACGGGCGTGCGGTTCAAGGCTCAGCTGAAGGACCCGCAGGGCCCCGGGCCAGGTGAGTCCGGGGCGGCAGGCGCAGGGTCGGGAGCACAGGCTGGCGAGGCGGCCTCCGTGTGCCGGGCACAGCCTCTCCTTTCTGCAGCTTTCGGGTCACATAGGCTCAGTGGCAAGCCTCTGGTTTGCAGAAAACTGAGGTTCAGGACTGCTGTGTACTTCCTTGCTCTGGACTGTCGGCGACAGCGAGAGGGCCCCGACTTGCTTGATTGGGACCGTTTCATGTTACAACACATTTATTTCCCTTGCCCAGGCAGCATCCCTCAGCGAGCTCTAAAACCTCTTTATTGCAGTTGTCAGGGAAGTAAATGAAGTGTCCTTCTCTATTGAGTCCTTACTGAGTCGGCTCAGGACGGTTCATGAGACAGTTTGCTACTCCTTGGGCCGTCAGCACCGTTTTCAATAGCTTCCATCCCCCAACACTCATACTGACTTGATGACTTGTAACAAGCTACTAGAAGCCACCACAGCTACTTGTCAGTTGACCAGGAATGGGCCAGTGACTGAGATGTAGCCGACTCTATAATTTAATTACACTTTTTGTAAAGTGTGACCACCCTTCGCGACTACTTGTAATCGTTTGGAAAGTAACATGGTTTGGGAAAAACGCAATTGAACGTGTTGCCATGTGGAAGCATTGCTCTAAAATAAAACAGTGGCAGTTTTTCTCCCAGGTTAAATAAACGATTAAATTAATGGCCAAAATATCTTCAACTTCCAATTTTTGTCCTCATTTTTTTTTTTAAACGACAGGGTCTTGCTCTGTTGCCCAGGCTGAAGTGCAGTGGCACTATCATAGCTCACTGCAGCCTTGAACTTCTGGGCTTAAGCTGTCCTCCCACCTCAGCCTCCCAAGTAGCTGAGATTGTAGGTGCACAACACCATGCCCAGCTATGTTTTTTTTTTTTTTTTTACTTTTTGTAGAGATGGAATCTCACTATGTTGTCCAGGCTGCCCTCGAACTCCCAGTCTCAAGCAATCTTCCCACCTTGTCTTCTCAAAGGGCTGGGAGTATAGGTATGAGCCACCACACCTGGCCTGTTTTTAAACTTTGATACCTATACCTGTACTTGCTAGTCACAGCTAGGAAGATGATACTTAGTTAGCATAGAGTTATTTATTTCCGAATTCATTAAGTATTACTAGAGGCTATTATTTGCTACGGTAGAGATAAAGTGATGAATAAAAATGTCAAAAAGCCTCTGCCATTGTGGGGTTTACAAACAGTCGAGTGGGGCAGGCAGATATTGGTCAGTAAAATCACATACATACAGTTTCAAGCACGAGTTTTCCAAAGGAGAGGTACATGGTGCCTGAGGGTGTTTAACAGACCTTGGATCTAATCTGGGAGCTCAAAGAAGGCTCCCCTGAGGAAGTGGCTTTTCTTTTCTTTTTTTTTTAATCATACTTTAAGTTTTAGGGTACATGTGCACAACGTGCCCCTTTGTTACATATGTATACATGTGCCATGTTGGTGTCCTGCACCCATTAACTCGTCATTTAACCTTAGGTATATCTCCTAATGCTGTCCCTCCCCCCTCCCCCCGACCCGACAACAGGCCCCGGTGTGTGATGTTCCCCTTCCTGTGTCCATGTGTTCTCATTGTTCAGTTCCCACCTATGAGTGAGAACATGCGGTGTTTGGTTTTTTGTCCTTGCGATAGTTTGCTGAGAATGATGGTTTCCAGCTTCATCCATGTCCCTACAAAGGACATGAACTCATCGTTTTTTATGGCTGCATAGTATTCCATGGTGTATATGTGCCACATTGTCTTAATCCAGTCTATCATTGTTGGACATTTGGGTTGGTTCCAAGTCTTTGCTATTGTGAATAGTGCCACAGTAAACGTACGTGTGCATGTGTCTTGATAGCAGTATGATTTATAATCCTTTGGGTATATACCCAGTAATGGGATGACTGGGTCAAATGGTATTTCTAGTTCTAGATCCCTGAGGAATCGCCACACTGACTTCCACAATGGTTGAACTAGTTTACAGTCCCACCAACAGTGTAAAAGTGTTCCCATTTCTCCACATCCTCTCCAGCACCTGTTGTTTCCTGACTTTTTAATGATCGCCATTCTAATTGGTGTGAGATGGTATCTCATTGTGGTTTTGATTTGCATTTCTCTGATGGATCTAATTAAACTAAAGAGCTTGTGCACAGCAAAAGAAACTACCATCAGAGTGAACAGGCGACCTACAGAATGGGAGAAAATTTTTGCAATCTACTCATCTGACAAAGGGCTAATATCCAGAATCTACAATGAACTCAAACAAATTTACAAGAAAAAAAAAAACCCCATCAAAAAGTGGGCAAAGGATATGAACAGACACTTCTCAAAAGAAGACATTTATGCAGCCAAAAGACACATGAAAAAATGCTCATCATCACTGGCCATCAGAGGAAGTGGCTTTTCAAAAGGATTGTAGGATGGGACAGGGACAGGAACCTTACTGGCAGAAGAAAGAGCACGTTTAATTGTTAAAAAGATGTAGTATCTATATTTCATGGTCTTGCACAGAGAGCCTCATGACATTCAGGTGCTACATCATTTGAACACATGTCAGAAGGAGACCCAGGTTGACAGGGCATGGGTGTAGGTGAGTAGTTGAAAGATGGGGCAAAGCTGAGTCAATGGGTGAAAGTGTGGATCCCTTGTTTGAGGCTGTGTTGAACTTGTGTTTGAATCTGGTCTGTATCTTGGATTCTCTCCTCCTCTCTTCCTCTTTATACGCTCTCATAACCTATGATAGGATTGCTGGAAGATCAGGGAAGTGAAGTTGATGGCTGTTAGGAGACTTTGTTTTCACCAGGCATGTGAGGGAAGGGTTCTGATGATGCTCCCTTCGTGTAGTGGAGGAACAAGAGCTGCCAGGTTAGATTGGTAAGGACTGAGGATATTCCAGAGTGGATCAGTGTCAGCCTGTGGGAAGATCCCCCATCAAGAAGGGTTTGGCTCTAAGCCAGTTCCTTTGAAAGTGTTTGCCCACGACTCCACTGGTGATAGAGAAAAGGCCATACTGTAAGAGAGTACACTAATGGTTAAACTCTTGATCTCCTTCTCCCCACATTGCTTCTGGTTTCCCCACTGCATAAGTGGTAATTCTGATTAGCTGGATGTTCCTGCCAGAACCCTCCGTCTGCATCAGTCTGTCCCCTGGCCTTGGTGGTTGATTCTCCTCCTGAGAATTTCTGGAATCTGTCTGCTCCCCCTCTTTCCTTCATCATCATTCTAGTCCAGGCATCATCAGTCCCTGCTGGGACCGTGGCTGGAGTTGCCCAGAGTTGGTCTCTCTTGCTGTTGCTTCCCTGCAGCCCGTGCTGTGTGCAGCAGTCAAATGATCCTTCAGAGCTCCAAATCTGATTATGTCACTCCTCTCATGACACCCTTCAGTGGTATCCCACTGCCCTTAGGATAAAATCCAAAGTCATTTCCATTGCTTCATCTAGCCCTGCCTGCTTCTTTGACTTCATCTCAGGCTGCCCTCCCCCACTCACTCAGTCACCCCTCCCCACTCACCTGGCTCCAGTGTACCCTCCAGCCTTGGGGCCTGGAATGTGGTCTCACCCTCTGCCCCCTCAATACTTACGTTTACTATTATTAATAATAGGTTCAGCATTACTTCTTCAAAGGAAACCTTCCCAACCCTCTAATCTAGATCATGTTCCCTAGGTACAGTCCTCATTATACTCTTGATGTTTGCTTCATAGCACTTACTACAGGTGCTATACGTGTCTATGTAAGTGATTGCGGTAGGTGCTTAATAAATACTCACATTGGTCTCTATCATTAGATTGTAAGGACCATGTGGGTAGAGGCCATTTCTAATTTGCTCATCAGCACGTCTCGGGCACCCCCTGTAGGTGCACCTGGTAGGTGCCCAGTAAATGGTGTATGGAAAGATGAACCTGTAAAGACGGCAAACATAACAGGCCAGCAGTTTCCACCCTGTAATACTCTGGAATGCTCAGAGTTACATGCTAGAGTTTGACGAATAATTCCTTAAAAAAGAGTGAGTAGTTGCACTGCTCTTTCTGTATTAACAGCCCTTGCTATCACTTGCATTCTGTGTTTTCTTGAGGGACAGAGTAGGTATGCATAACTCCAGGGTGCCTGTGCCGACTGAGCTCCTGTAACTCACAGTCACCTTGGTCAGAACACCCATGGCCTGCTCATAATCACCACCAGACCACGCTGCAGACGGCAGCAATGGAGTCTGGCCCCGAAGCTCAGAGCAGCGCCTGGCATAGCAGATGCACTTGCTCAGTGACTGTTAAAGGAATGGCGGTGGTTGCTGCGGAAAATGTTGCAGCATAAAAGGGGATCTGAAAACACCTGTGAGGCTGGCAGAGGCCGAATGTGACTGGATTTTCACTGCTGCTGCTGAGGACACCCGGGGGGCTGCTTATGTTTTGAGGGTTTACCTTGACCTAAGTGTGATGCTGGATGCTTTATGTGTAAATTAGCCTTTTTACGCTTCATACAAACCCTGTCAGGTAGGTTCTGTTCTTGTTCCGTTATACAGGTGAGGTACCCAGAGCTCAGAGTTCAGTGCCTTACTGAGTACCATGCAGCTAGTAAGTGACTGAGCGGGGATTTGTGCCCAGGAGTCTGGCTCCAATTTTGTTCTTTTCTGGTATGTTTTTGGTGTAATGGCGTGCTCATGCGTCCCCGGCAGATGTGGCTTAGCAGCGTCAGGACTTGAATCTGAGACACGCAGAATTGCTGTCCAAGAGGAAGCATGTGTTGGTCCTCTCTGCTCAGCTAGTGGAGCTCACCTGCAGTACCAAGCCCTGTTCTGGGCCTCATGCTTCAAGGGAACATAGAGAGTGACCTGAACACAGAAGGATCTCGAAACTCTCATTTCTGGAGAGAGGTTAAAGGAAGTGTTTGGTGTTCAGAGGTGCTGACTAGGGTGATGGCAGCTGGTGTGGGAAAGAAGGATTAGATCCATTGCCTGTGGCCCCAAGGCAGAGAAGGAAGGACCCCTTAGGGATGCCCAGACACTCCCTAAAGCAGACCACGCTATTCTGATGTGTCTATGAAGACTGTAGTGTATTTCTTAAAGTTTGTGGCATTTTACATTTTACTGTATTGGTCATTACTAAGTGGGTTTTAATAGAAATATTTAGTCCCTTCCTCTGCTTTTTTTTTTTTTTTTTTTGAATAAGGTGAAGTCTTCACTCCCCAGAAGAGATGAAGGCCTCAGTAAGATGTGTTACCTTTAGCTTACGCTCTCATGCGGCTTCCAACCCACTGCCATGCCCTGCCTTCCTAGTTTTGAGAAGTATGGCCCAAAGAGTGGAACCAGAGAGAGGCAGGGTTTTTTTTGTTTTGTTTTGTTTTTGAGACGGAGTCTCACTCTGTTGCCAGGCTAGAGTGCAGTGGCACGATCTCGACTCACTGCAACTTCCACCTCCCGGATTCAAGTGATTCTCCGAGAGGCAGGTTCAAGTGATTCTCTGAAAGGCAGTTTTATAGAACAGGTTCTGGCAGGAGAATTCTGTGGGCAGCGGCACACAGGTGGCTCCCAGTTGGTAGGGTGGGGTTGTGGTGGGGGTTCAGATTCAGGTGTCAGTGGTAGGGGAGGGGAGGTTGTATTAATTGCAGGAAGGGTAGTAGAATCCTCAGGCTGTTGAGAGGGGAGATTTTTGAGTGGGGAACTTCTGGGGTGGCCTTATGGGGAAACACTCTAGTGGGGTGCCCTCCTTTGGGTTTTGAAAGAGCACTGATGTCAACTGATGCTTGGCATACTGACTGTGGGCCAGGTGCAGCACGGACACTCTGTGTGCCAGTGCACTCAGAGCAACAGGCATCAGCTCCATTGCATGAGCAGGAATCATCCAGTTCGTGGAGGGAGAATATGGGCTCTGGAGCCCGACTGCCTGGATTGGAGTCCTGGCTCTACCTCTCCTAAGCTGTGTACCTTTGGACAAGGGCCTCAGTTTTCTCATCTGTGAAATACTAGTACCTAGGGAAAAAAATACTCATACCTAGGGTGGAGGGTTGCAGTGAGAATTAGCTGATGTCATGTAAGTAAAGCTCTTGGTAATGTTTCGTTACCATGCTCTATATGGTTTTTCTTGTTATACCCATTCTACAGTTGAGGGAACAAAAGCTCTATGGGGATCCAGACGAGTCATTGCCAGACTCAGTAGTCAAACCTGGGAGTCACATTGGCACTCAGTTTGTCTCATTCCTTATTGCCTTCATGGTTTCTAAGTGTGTTCATAATGTCCTTGTGGATTAATCTACTAGGGCAGCCATAACAAAATACCATAGACTGGGTGGCTTAAACAAGAGGAATTTATTTCCTCACAGTTCTGAAGGCCACGTCCGCGATCAAGGCATTGGCATAGTCACATCCTGGTAAGGGCACGTCCTGGCTTGCAGACAACTGCCCTCTTGCTGTGTCCTCACATGGCCTTTCCTCTATCCACATGCAGAGAGGGAGCTCTCTGATGTCTCCTTCTCCTCTAAGGACACCAGTCCTGTTAGATCAGGACCTCACCCTCATGAACTCACTTAACCTGAGTTATCTCCTAAAAGACTATATCTCCAAATACTGTCTTTTTAGGGCTTAGGGTTTCTTTCTTTCTTTTTTTTTTTTTTTCCTGAGACAGAGTCTTGCTCTGTCACCTAGGCTGGGGTGCAATGGCGCGATCTCGGCTCACTGTAACCTCTGCCTCCTGAGTTCACACAATTCTGCCTCAGCCTCCCAAGTAGCTGGGACTACAGATATGTGCCACCACACCTGGCTAATTTTTGTATTTTTAGTAGAGAGGGGGTTTCACCATGTTGGCCAGGCTGGTCTTGAACTCCTGACCTCAGGTGATCTGCCTGCCTTAGCCTCCCAAAGTGCTGGGATTACAGGCGTGAGCCACCGCGCCCGGCCGGGTTTAGGGTTTCAACATGAATTTTGGAGAGAAACAGTTAAGTTGATAGCATTCATAGTAGCTTCTGTGCAGTGTAGGTGGATCGGGGAAGGTCACAGAATAGGGAAAGCAGGTTGCAGTGGTGGCTGTGATTGTTTCTAAGAAGACTGACCTTGTTAATGTTTGAACATAACTTTTTTTTCAGGCTTGGAAGCGTTTGTGTCTGCTGCCAAGAAGCTACCACGAGAAGATGTGTATGATGTTGTGGAAGGGTATATAAAGATTTCTGTTGAGTGTGTCGAAATTTTCCAGCTCCTAAGTGGAGAGAAACGACCTGAAAGTGAAGTAAGTTGTTCCTTACATGGCTTGATGAAGAGAAGAAAAGTTAATGCTGCTGTTAAGTTTGATGAGGAAAAATGTGATAGAAATTTCCATTACCAACTTTCTATAGAAAATGATGCTTTGTCCCTGTGCTGTAGGAATGTATTCATTTTTTGCCTCCATGACCTTGAAAGCATTTTAGTGGAAAATTCTCACTTATTATTAACATTTGATGAATGACATCAGAAGGAAGGATCATAGATTCCTAATCAAAATATACTTGGTTTCGGTATGGTTTATTTAAACAAAAGGGAAACACATAAACATGTGGTGTCACAGACTCACAACACATAATGAATTGATGATTGTTTTCTGATTCCAAAGAGATTGAACATTGGGATATTGATGCGCCTGTTGAAATCTCAGGGTTATTGCTATAAGGATGTAGATCTGAATATCTCTAAAGGAATGAGACCCAGTCATTAAGAGAATTTTCTTCTCATTTGATTTTCTGTGATTGTAAACAAGCTGTTCTTTCTTTCTTTCTTTCTTTCTTTCTTTTCTTTTCTTTTCTTTTCTTTCATTTTTGAGACGGAGTCTCACTCTGTTGCCCAGGCTGGAGTGCAGTGGCGCAGTCTCGGCTCACTGCAAGCTCCGCATCCTGGGTTCATGCCATTCTCCTGCCTCAGCCTCCCAAGTAGCTGGGACTACAGGCGCCCGCCACCACGCCTGGCTAATTTTTTGTATTTTTAGTAGAGACGGGGTTTCACCGTGTTAGCTAGGATGGTTTCAATCTCCTGACCTCGTGATCTGCCCACCTCAGCCTCCCAAAGTGCTGGGATTACAGGCGTGAGCCACCACGCCTGGCCCTAACAAGCTGTTCTTTATTTTGCTGGACTATGGGAGTGGGGCTACATGCAGGGCATGGGTCCTGCAGATCAGCCTGCCAAGCTGTCGCGTTTGACTCAGGATCTGGGTGGGCGTCATCCTGCATGTTGAAGGCTTTAAGCCTACAAGTAACTATGGCTAAGACAAAAGGAGCATATATGTACAGGAGGAAAGGAAATGAGACGATTTCTAAGCGTTTCAATTCTGTCTTTGCAGACGATGTTAATATTTCAAGTTTTCGAGGCCATATTATTGCGGACAGCAAGTGATCTTTCACATTTCCATGTTGTGGGAACCAACATTGTGAAAAAGCTGATGAACAACCACATGAAGCTCATCTGTGAGTCCCTGTATGCCTCAGGTTACAGGTAGGCAGTCTGCCTTGGTGTGACAAAGGATGGGCCTTTGGGTTTGGTCTGCATTCAGCTCTCCGCAGGTGCATTTGGTCAGTACCTTTATGGCTAGAGGAGAGCTGAGCTATTTCCGAGGCCACAGTGACCGAGTCTCTGCCCCCTTCCTTTGTGGACCAGCCCTGGCTGTCCCTGACTCCTCTCTTACTTACCCCTTGTCCCTCTTGTCCTGCCTGCTACTGTCCTTGCTGCTATTATCTGTTGAGTGACTCCCTCTACTGGAATCCTATAGGTGCATGTGGCAGGGCCTTGCCTGTGTTATAAAATGCCACCTTCCCAGCACCTAGAACAGGGCCTTGCATGTAGCAGGTGCTCAGAAAACCATGGAATCTGGATAACCGCAGAACGGAAAGACAGCCAAGAGCTCGCATTCAGAGATGCCTTTGTGAAGAAGTCGTCCTCTGTATTCTGCAGTCACAGGGACTGAGGTGTGGTCTATTGATCACACAGTGGCTCACTCCAGAGAGAAATGTCCATCTTCTTCAAATCTTGTGTTTATATTGTTAATCCTACTTAGTTTTAATTTTTAGCGTTATTTTGAATCTTTATGCTTTTTTTTTTCTTTTTCCTTAAAAAAAGAGCATGTCTTTTTCCTTCTTTTTTTCTGGTTTGGGGATAGCAAATAACACAAGCAGCTTGCAGCTGGCTTTGTGGTGAGGCGGCTCTGTGCTTCTGCTGTTGTTGACGTGTCCGATTTCCTCTGGTTCCCTGTGCAGGTTGGCTCGCGCCTGCCTGAGCCTGATGACCGCCATGGTGACCCAGGGTCCGGAAGCTGCCAGGGACGTCTGCAGCCATTTTGATTTGAATAAAAAGACCCTGTACACCCTGGTGACCAAGAGGGATTCAAAGGTGAGGGGACCACAGTGTCTCGTGCCTTCCATGGGTCTCCTTCCCTTGGAGGACTGTAGTGGTTTTTCCTCCATTCTCTGCCCCTGATCCCCACACAGATGAAATGAGAGGTGTCTATGTAGAAAGGTGTGTGTCAGCAGCCACAGGATCTGTCTGTGAGGACAGGACTCGCTTCAGGCTGGCGATAGGGCCAGAACCTGGCAGAGCCTGAACAATGGGGATATCTGAGGAGGCTCCTGGGGGCTGAGTGGCACAGGGCCTTCCTGGTTGTGAGGATGACTTAGCTGTGGGCATCTCCTCTCCTGGTAAATGAAATACCCTCCATGTGCCCATGGCCCTGAAGCTTGTAGTGTGTGCCAGTCCTCTGTTCCTGTTCTGCCCACCTCGGAGAAAGCCCTTGAAGCTCTAAGCCAGTGACGTCCTCAGAGAGGACTTTTATGGCTTTTTAATAAGTGACTTTTGCCTCCCAGTTACAATCTTGTGATGGGTAAGGGTTGGATTGTGCCCAGGAAAAATGGGAGTGTGGATGGTTGGTTTTCAGGAAACCTGTGAAACAAAAATTCCCTGGTGGCTTTTGAAATTTCACTTGGGTTTGGAAAGGTTCTTGGGGAGCAGGCACACTTGGAGGACTCCTGAGCTTGAGAGAGGGCATCCTCCCATCGCGTGTGCTGGCTCCAGGTTGTCTGTCGTAGGGCCTCTTCTGGTTGCCATATCAGCTCCCCTGCTGGAATTCAGTGCTGTGAACAGCCCTGGCCAGAGTGTCACCCTCTTCCTGAACGTAAAGAATAAGGGGACAGGTATCAGTCCATCCCATCTGCTGCGGTGGAGAACCACATTAGAATAATTCACTTCTATAACAGTGTGCTGCCTTGTTCTGTCAGTATCCCTGGGAACTAAGAGTTTCTACATTGCCGGGAATTGGACTAAAGGGTTGATAATACCAAGTAGCTTTTATGGCTCTGTGAGATTGGCCTGGTGTTGAGGGTTTTACTGGAATTACAAATAAGGTATTCTCTAAGGAAAAAAATTCCAGGTCTTAATGTCTCTTAGATACTATGCTTTATCCATGTGTCAACAAATTCCATTCAATGAGTAATGGCTCCTGACATTTAAATACGTTTCTAATAAAAAGAATGTGTGTGCTATTTGCAGACGAGGGCAAATATCACGGTTCTTTGGTCTTACCTGGCAGTAAGCCTGGCAATAATTATCCATCAGATGCCCTCCCCACCCATCTCTTTTGATCTCAGCCCTCCCCGCCGTCTAAGTGAAATAGACTTTAGGAGCCCAGACAGCGTGGGAAAGGGCTTCCCGTCCTGAAGCCCGGCTGCAGGGCCACACACAAGCCGTTTCATCTCAGGGTCTCAGGGCACATTATTTTACCTCTCCAGGATCTGTAAAATGGGAGTTACAGTCAAGTTGAAAGTGTTTTTACTTTCATTGTGTAATCTGTAATAAGTATCTTAGATATCTTATATGTTATAGGAAATGGAGTTGAGACATTACATTTAATAAGGAACTGTTAGGAACATTTAAAAATAGAGCAGCGTGAGGAACCCCTGTACCAGCTGTCCAGCTTCAGCCACTGTCCCCACCCTCCACCTTTTCAGTTTCCTCTGGGGCAGTCGATTATAGCAAATCCCAGACGTGAATCATATTTCACTATAAATATTTCAGCATGTACTCTAACAGAAAAAGACCTTTTAAAGAACAGAAACCACAGTGCCATTATCACGCCTAACACATTAATAATTTCTCACTATCATCTATTACTCAGTTTGGTCTCAGGTTTTTTCCGTCTCAAAAATGTTTTTACACTTTGTGATTCAGATCGGGATCCAAACAAAGTCCACATTGCATTTGGTTGATATGTTTCTTAAATATCTTTGATCCCTTTTGCGTCTTTGAGTTTTTCTCCCTCATGCCATCCCCTGCTTTTTTTTTTTAAATGCTATTTAGTTGTTGAAGTGCTGGCAGGGATTTTTTTTTTTTTTTAATGAATATATGTTAACATTTTGGAGGAAATTATTAAAGCGTCATGAAGAAGGAGGGTTATAGATAATATTCATCCAGCCAAAGAAAGCATTGTTAAAATCCTGTGCCAAAGAGCAGTTTTACCAAGTGTATTTTGGTCTGTTTTAGACAGTGTTTTGCAGAACAAGCCCTGAAGAGTTCAGGACGTTTTCTTCCTGGAATAATAACCCTGTGAGGTCACAGGGTGGGAATGAAGAGCAGGCATGTGGTCCACTTGCAGTAGGAGTGGGACGCCTTTGATGGAGAGGACTGGAAACAGAGGATGGAGCCCCAGGGGGCCACGACAGTGGCAGAGCCTAGAGCCTAGAGTGGGCAGCTGCTGTGTCCTGGGGATCTTACCCAGTTCCTCCATCATGTCAGGACGTGAAATTTGGAGTTGTCTGGGATATAAAAGATGGAAGCCAGGAGGTGATAACTAAATCCCTTTTCATTTATAAATTCATTGCTGGAGGGACCCACAGGAGGTCTAGTTCTGCTGTGTACCAGCAGGATAGAAAGATGTAGAATGGCAGAAAACCTGGACCAGCATTCCAGGGCCCTGACTCCCAGTACTGTTACTTCAGTGGACACAAAATAAAAGCACAGGAACTTTCCACTAGCAGGGAAAAGACAGAACTTAATTTAATTTTGCCAGGCAAGTTTTAGCATTTTACCAGCATTCATCTGGAACACAAGGTGTGTGTAGATCAAGAAAATTAACTGCTTGAATTAGATGGTATGTTTATTTGAACAATGAGGCATAGAGATGGCTTGGGAGCAGCTTAAGCTTCCTGAGGACAGGGACAACATCTTGGTAAACTTTGCACCCTCTCTTGGCCTGAGATGATGGCATCTTGAATGGAATGAGTGTTTCATAAAAACTGAATTGGTGGGTTAAGGCACTGGAGTGTTGCTGACACTATGGAAGTGCTGCACATTCTCAGCACCAGTGATCATTGGATGCAAACTCCTTATTGTGATGAGACACACAGATAGGTCCTCAGAACAGAGAGGATAGTTTGAAGGTCTCAGTTTTGGAAGAAACTCACATTGGTGTAATAAGGTCTTGCTGAGATGCTGTGTGACATGGACGGGGATAAACTCAATAAATGTAATGAGTGTGCAAGGCCTTGATCCACATATTAGGGAGCATGGGTTGGATAGCCTTCCTTTTCTCCAGAAGAAACATAGACCCAACAAAATAAGATGGAATTAATTAAAGACTTGCACAGAGACCTAACTGATGCCAAGTATGGTCCTTGCACCCTGAGAAAAAGTGAAATGAAAATGGAAAATGCCACAGAATCTTGTGAAGAAGGAAGAACTTCTCTGTAGTTGAACATAAGTCGTATGTTTGTACAATTACTTCTTATCTCAGTTCTGGTACTTAATTAGCTGTGTGACCTCGAGTGAAATTTTTTTTTTTTTTTGAGATGGAGTCTCGCTCTGTCGCCCAGGTTGGAGTGCAGTGGCGTGATCTCTGCTCACTGCAACCTCTGCCTCCCGGGCTTAAGTCTCAGCCTCCCGAGTAGCTGGGATTATAGGCGCCTACCACCATACCCAGCTAATTTTTGTATTTTTAGTAGAGACAGGGTTTCACCATGTTGGCCGGGTTGGTTTCGAACTCCTAACCTCAAGTGATCCACCCTCCTTGGCCTCCCAATGTGCTGGGATTATAGGCATGAGCCACCGTGTCCGGCTGAATTTTTGAACCCTCAGTTTTCTCATCTGTAAAATGGGTGTGGTGTGGGCATCTCTCCCTCAGGCTGTTATGAGGAGTAAATGAGATCACGGATGTGCAGCATTTGATACAGTGCCTGGCACATAGTAAGTGCTCTGTAAACATTGTTCTCCTCCTCCTCCTCATCATCATCACTACTACTGCCACCACCTCTCCTGCTACTACTAAGTGGAACAGAACTATCTGGAAGGCAGAGATTACTCCTTAATTTTCCCAGGCATTTTGGGGCAGTGACTTGTTGTGATATTAACTTATTTCTTGGCAGTGAATGAAGGTATCTTTGGAGTAACTGTGAAGTAGAGAATAGTGCTGGGTGTAAGCAATGGAGGATCCAGGCACACCTGCTAGTTCTGGAACAGCTGATGAGAGACTGACATGACCACATGCCTTGAGTTCCTTAGATACAAAACGAGGAGTGATGTGACACAGCTTTGTCTTAATGATACTGGGAGGGGAAGCTGATCAGCGGCTTCCCTAGAGGCACTGGCTGCTGTCACGGTGTTGGGGCCCTCCCCAAACGTGCCCAGTGCCCTGGTTGGTGGCTGATGCATGTGGACAGTGCTGGCTACAACCCTGGGAAGGCCTAACAGGGTTAGTAACGTGACAGCATCTGTGCTTTGGTTTGTGGTATGAGCTAATAAGTTATTTATAATATCTCATAAAAACCAGACATCACCACATTGGTGTCTCACCAAAAGCAGTACCAGCCATTTCATCATCTCTGGATTTTCAAAAACATAGATTATTTTCATCAGCAAGCGAGAGGAGATGGATCTAGGCAGGCTGAGAGTCTTGCTCTACACCAAAGTGGCCAAGAAACGAAAATGTATGTGTTATAGTCAGGGAAGGGAACACTACTATTTTTTACCCATACTTTTGTATTGAGAATAGGGCTTGAAAGAGAAGGAAAGTAGAGAAGATTACCGGGGAAAGAGAACGGAAAAAATTTTTTACTTTCCATGGAGAATGAGCATTGGTTTCAGACTTGCATCCCCTGGTGACTGGGGACAAGGCTGGGGGGCTGGTGATGTTGAGACGGGAGGGGTGTGCTTGGCCACTGTGTTGCTGATTCCTTTGGCTGTATGTGGAATATGCATGTGACATGTAGGTCTCCTTTGTCCTCTAGGGAGTGTACGACGTTCGGCAGGCCTACGTTCAGTTTGCTCTCTCCTTTTTAATTGCGGGTGATGACAGCACTATAGTGCAGGTGTTGGAAGTGAAAGGTAGGTGTACTCCCTTGTCCGTTAGGAAAGCCCATTTGTTTTGAAAAACCTACTGCAAACCGTTTCTTCCAAGTTCAAAAAAAGTCTGCAGCCTTTGCAGTTGCTGTGTACACCAGATTGAAGGATGTGGGGCAGGGAGGTGGGTGAGCGGGTGCAAAGCCTTGGTCAGTACCATTTTGATATCACTGGTCAAGAGTGAACAGAGTTGTTCCTGTTATGCCGTCTGGAATGCTGAACAATGCCGTCACAGAGGATAAATGCAGACTTCAGAGAGGCAGAGTCGGGCAAACAAAGGAGGCTTTATGGCTATGGAACCTACTCAGACTCATAGCCTTGGCTACCTGGATTTCCTTGGGAGATGTCGTTTTAAAAAACAAAGTTAGTTTCTTTGGTGGCTTAGACCTGTGTTACGAGAACATCAGTAACAGGGCTTCAGAGAATTCCAACTTGACCACCTTTTGGTGGCTGTGTCCCTAGAGTGAGGCTTGGCATCATTTAATCTGCCAGGGCCCCTTGCATTTTATCAAGAGATTCACTAAGATGATAAATGGCAGCACTTAGCTCAGCACATGGCAGTTGCTCGGTAAGATTCCCTGGAATCCTGGCCTGTCTGGAGGTGAGGAGCAGTCCCATGTCCTGGCCGGAACTCTGGGAGTTATTGAGGAGGAGTAGCAGGGTGCTGTACTCAGGGTGTTTGGGTCTCCAGCCCTTCTTCTCCCTCCCAGGATGGGAGATCTGGACTGCCCCTGGAACGTGACTGCCGGGACGATTTAGGAGGAGAGTGCAGGTGGCGGTCACCCTGTATGTGGTCAGCCTGGTCTGTGTGGGGCGCTCTATTGCTGCTGTGGTGGAGCAGCATGAGAGTGGAGATGTGGTCTCTGCATAATGCAGCGGACAGATTTTTTTTTTTCCTACTTGTTACCAGGCACTAGGTTCAGGATATCTTGCTGCTGCCAGGGCCAGTAGTTTCTTCAAATTCCCGTGGGCCATTTCAGCTGTCTGGCCTTTTATTCAGTGACAGTTGGTACCATTTACACTGTTGAAGGGGGCTGGAACATACTACAGTTTAATGTTTCTGCTGGGAAGTTTGGCTGTACACATCAAAACTTTTAAGGTGCTTATGCATGGGTTTGGATTTATGATGGGCCCGTCCCCCTGGACCTCTCATAGTACCCCATGCCAGAGCAAACTGTAGCCCTGAACCATTGCCTGGCCTCTGTTCCCGTAGGCTGCTGGCACTGAAGTGGGTTGCACAATAGATAAAGAAAAAAGATAAAAAAACTTTTAAGATACTTGATCCTGCAATTCCATGTCTAGTCATTTATCCCAGTGAAATAATTAAAGATGTGAGTAGAGGTTTTGTTAGGGAATAATATTTATATTAGCTGGAAATGGGTCTTCTAACTATCCACCAGTAAGGGATTGGCTGAGCAAATTGGGGACTGGTCATAAGATGGAATGCAGCGATTAAAAATACTCTGGAGGCTGGCCGTCGTGGCTCACACCTGTAATCCCAGCATTTTGGGAGTTGGAGGCTGGAGGATTGCTTGAGCCCGGGAGTTCTTGAGACCATCCTGGACAACATAGTGAGATTCTGTCTCTACCAAAACAAACAAACAAACAAACAAACAAAACAAAAGTTAGCTGGGTGTGTTGGCGTGTACCTGTTGTCTCAGCTACTTGGGAAGCTGAGGTGGGAGAATTGCTTGAGCCTGGGATGTCAAGGCTGCAGTAAGTGGAGATTGCGCCACTGCACTCTAGCCTGGAGGACAGAGGGAGGCCCTGTCTCAAAAAGAAAAAAAACATGCTGCACTTAATGATTTCAAAGTTTTTTAGTGATATATGATTGGGTGTAAACTATAAAACTATAAAGTATGATCTCATTTTACTCAAATAGAGTAGCATGAATACATCAGAAGGGTAATAGTTAACTCAGATGATGTTAACAGTGTTAACTTCTCGGTACTGAAGCTTTGACTTATTCTTTTGGTTTGTCTGGTATTTTCTGATTTTTCCTTTTTCACAAATAATGAATTTGCTTTTGTAGAAATTCTGTGTGCCCAGTAAGCATGTGTGGAGCAAGGAAATTTGTAATTGTTTTGCTGCTTCTGCCCACTGTCACTACTGCATTAATAATGATAACAGTGTCAAGCTCTGGTGGCCATTTCCTTGGGGATTGAAAAGTAGGAAGAGAAAGCAAAAAGTAAACAAACTAAATCACCCAAAATTCTACTGCCAACTTAAAAAATCATGACCATCTCTTTAAACACATCTCAGCAAGTCTAAGCAAGAGAGAAATTGTATTAGTTTGTTATACCGTACATTCTCTTTCAAATAGTATTTAGTTAATTTTAATATGAGAAAAGAAAAGTAAAATGGAACTAAAGACCTACTGAACTTCTTAAAAAGTTCTGTCATTGGTTCGCTTGTAGGTGCTCTTGATTTCTTTTCTTTCTTCCTTTTTGTTTTGTTTTGTTTTGTTTTTTTGGAGACAGCGTCTTGCTCTGTTGCCTAGGCTGGAGTGCAGTGGTGCGATCATGGCTTACTGCAACCTCAAACTCCTGGGTACTGGTGATCCTGCCACCTCAGCCTCTTAGGTACCTAAGACTACAGTAAGACTACAGGTGCGCACCACCATACCCAGCTAATTTTTAAATTTTTTTTTGGAGACAGGGTCTTGCTATATTGCCCAGGCTGGTCTTGAACTCCTGGCCTCAAGGGATCCTCCCACCTTGGCCTCCTGTAGTGCTGGGCTTACAGGCATGAGCCACTCTGCCTGGCTTCTTGATTTCTTATGTCATGGAAGTGGTTATTTCTACCGGAAACTTGTATAGTTAAAAAAAAAAAACTTGAAAAAGTAAATGGCATTGTTTGCTGTACCACCTAAACAGTAATATTCTCTCGTCTATTCTCATTTTCAAAATATTTTTGAATTTAATGCTTTGAAACTTTTACTTTCAGAATTTATTCCTTGCATTTTTAGCTCAGGGATAAAGGAAGATAGGATCTCTACCATCAATATTTTATTATCCACACTGAAAACAAAGGTATGTGCTTGGTGATCCGCGTTTCTGTTGTCTGTTTTCCCTTGGGAATGGAGATATTCTCCGGTGTTTTACAGGACTGTAGAGCTACAACATCTTATCTTACATAGATTGTTGTATTGGTTGAGTGGAAAACTCTTCCCTAAGCAGAAACTTGTTCTTGTTGATGAGCATATCCTGGGACTAGAAGGTTAAAGAATAGCTGAAGCAGCCAGTGATGTCCAGACATGGCTGCTGTTTTATTACAGCAGCAGAAAAGCTGCTGGTCAACATTTCACAGCAACCCAAAGTAATCATTGTGAGCTGTAAATTATAAATAATACTTCATTCACATATCTAGCAAAATGTTGTTCTGTGTCATGTTCCATATTCTGCCTTTTGCAAGCATCTTATTGATATTTTAAAACTTGCTAAAAAGATCACTGCCTTTAATACAGAAACACTTTAAATCATCAGTAAGAAAAACTATGACCCTCCCAACATGACAAGTTGTCCAGAGTCCACATGAAAATGGCTAATAAGCATGAAAGGACTTTATTTTCGAAGTATTTTAAAGAGTGATTCTCAAATGGGGGCAATTTTGCCTTCTACGGGACATTTGTCAATCTCTGAAGACATTTTGCATTGTCACAACTGGGGAGGTACAACTGGTGCCTAGTGGGGAGACAGCAGGGATGCTGCCGAACATCCTGTAATGCCCAGGATGGCCCCCATAACAATTACCTGGCCCCAAGTGTCAGTAGAGCTGAGGTTGAGAAACCCTAATTTAAAGTAAAGCAAATAATGACATACAGATTTTTTTGCCTACTAAAATAGCATTGACTTTTAAAAACAATGGTGTTCAGTGCTAGCAAGGATGCTTTGAATCAGATACTTTCTTGAGGAGGAAGTGTTGTATCCCCTATGGAAGATAACAGTTCTGACAGGATGTGTCAGAGGTCTTAAATATGTTCATGGACCGTGACGTATGGTTGTTCTGAACTGGGGGAGTTGCATCAGAACCTCTAGGGGAATGTATCTGAAATATATATACCTGGGCCACACCCATAGGGATTCTGGGGTTAGGTTTGGGTGGAGCTGAGAATTTGTGCCACAATTCTACTTGCAGGAACCAGTGTCAAGTCCAAAGTCAGATGCAATGAAGACTATGTTCAAGGATGCTAATCACAGCTTTATGGAGAATAGCCAGAATTTAGAAACAACTAATTGTAAACACCAGGGGAATGGTTAGATAAGTTGTGGTCCACTCATAGGATAGAATGGTATTTAGCCCCCCAAAATGTTCTAAAGGGATGTTTAATGACGTGGAAAAGGCTTATGCTTCATAAGTAATCATATATAAATAAAATCTCAGGCAAAAAATAATGAATACATACACATGTATATTGTGTGGGTGTGGGTGGTGACTGAAAGGAAATATATCAAAATAGTAACGATATCCTAGGATGGTTGGGAATATTGGTGAATTTCCCTTTATGTTTTTCCTTTTTTTAAACCAAATTTTCTGCCACTAGCAAGCATTATTTTTATAATGATGAGAAAACAGTAAGCACCATTTAAAAAATAATTGAATTCCATGAACTTTTTCATAATTTGTTTTTTAATAATTTGTTTTATTATTGTTTCAGGTAGTTCACAATAAAAATATCACAAAAACCCAGAAGGTGCGTTTCTTTACGGGGCAGTTATTGAACCACATAGCATCGCTGTACAACTGGAATGGGATTACCGATGTGAACCCAGAAAATGTCAAGGTGCAGACACTTTTTGGTTTTCGTTGACCTCGTTGTTGGAATTTGATCCTCAGGGTTGGGAGAGGGAGAATTCTCAACACCGCACCAGACTTGAAGTCCCCTCATTTGATCTGTTTCTTTTGACTGTGGTTATATGGTTGTATTAACCCTCTGCTAACTGCAATAGGATTTTTTTCCCCTAATTTCTTAATCATGCTAATAATTTTTTTTTTTAATTAGAAAACTATGATTTCCTTGGGCTGAGCCATATCTTAGTTTTCCCTGCAGCACTTGCCTGTTAGACCTGCAGGGTCATCCCGGCCATCTTTTCCTCTTGCTTTACCTCTGCCTTCCCATCCTTCCATTCTTTCATGTCCAGTTGTTGGAGTTTCAAGGCTTGTTGTGTGTTTTTTGTTTGTTTGTTTGTTTTTAACCTCAGGATCCTGAATGTCTAGGAGCCTCACCTACTGACATATATAATTTATTTTGTGCTAGTTAACTCGTGCTAAATTGAAACAGCTGCTCTTAACATCGACCCAATGCCAGTGTATATTTTAATTTTCTTCAGGGTGTTACTGAACATGGACTTGGCCAGAGTAGTAAAGGCACAGACTTCCTGTTAACGTTATAATAATTCACCTCTCAAGAGCCTAATATTTCACCTCCTTTTATCTTGGAGACTTGCCCAGGTCCTCTTGTTTTGAACATGTTTTTGTATGCTCTAGACCAGCAAGCCTCAGAGGCTGCATAAAAACACTCCCAAATATGGAATTTTATTCAAATGAACAAGAGAAATTAGATCACTTTAAAGCTTTTAAAAATACAGGTTTAAACTTGCCCCTCTTCAGAGTATTCTTTTATCTTGATCGGTGTATCTTTTTGTTGTTGTTTTCATTTATTGTTTGGAATGACACCAAGTATTTAAAATGTTTTCTAAATTGTCATCGGCAGTTAATATTGTCCTTGTTTTTACTCTAGCTCTTACTAAAGTGTATGAGCTTGGGATTTTCATTGAATTTTTAAAAAATCTTCATAGGTTTCTGCCGAAGAAGCAGGGAAAACCATGGTGCGGGAGCTTGTTCATAACTTCCTGATGGATCTTTGCTGTTCACTCAAGCATGGAATTAATTTTTACGATGCATCTTTGGGTACCTTTGGCAGGTAAAGTATAACACTCTTGTGGACCCCAGGGTGTGTATGTTCCTCAGAAGTCACCACATATGTGAGTGTCTAGTGGAACTGTAGTAGGTTAGAACTAGAATTGTGGACATTATCTAACTCGTTTCAGGGTTGAACAGTTGTAGTCCCAGAGAACTTCTCCTTGTTGCATGTCCTCAGGGGCAGTTCTGAGGGTAGCTGTCTATTAGCACTTAGTTAGGTCATGGGATATTTCACCCAGGGAGGTGCTGCGGATGTTTACCTAAAGACAGTGTTCGTCAGCTGGAGCTCAGAAAAGGCGTCTGCCTTGCCAGAGAGGGTTGGCCCTGACATGGGCCTCACAGCAGTCCTGACGCAGGTACCATTGTTATGCCAGCTTTGCAGAGGAAGAAAGTAGTTCTAGAGAGGTCGAGACACTTACACTGGTTAAATGGCAGAGGTTGCACTGGAATCCAGGAAGTCCAGCTCCAAACTGATACTAAAACAGTCCTCCCTCTCCTTGACAGGCTGCCCATGAGTCACGGTTTCAAAATTGTTTTTTTTTTTAACATTTTGTTTCACATTTCACAATTGTGGTAACATTTCATCAGTAAGGAAACATATTAAGTTCAAATCTACTGGTTTTGATCATATTCTTTAAGACTTTCTTTTTGTAATCGTATAATACAGGTCTATGTGATTTTTTTTTTTAATAACAAAAATGGCTTACTACTGTTCATCCTATCTGCTTTTTTCCCACTTGACAATAAAAATATTGGCCATGTTTTCTTGTCATTGTAAATGTGTAAATGATTTATTGTTTAATCCTTGTTATTCTATCCTAGCATTATATCACAAGGATTTAGGCAGTTTGATTTACTTCTAATTTCAGCCAGTCAGGAAATCAGGTGATTCCTTCAGAATGGAATAACATGGTGGGAGTTTTTCTGTCTGCTTATGACTTTGGACGTGTTTTGATTCTGAGGTCACTGTGATTTAACTTGTCACATCATTTCTTTTTTCTTTCATCAGTAAGAATGAGCTCATTTTCCTGCCAAAACATAACAGCAGACTTTTATAGTCGAATAGAATATTACACCATGCTTAAAACACATGCATTGTTCCCCCTTTTTAAAGCATTTTTCCTCCATAACTAGGCCCATGAAATAGATGAGCATTTAATGAGCATATTGAATCAACTTGTGGGTGTGCGTCTCTTTGCAGCAAGCTGTGATTTATGTGAATTTTGAAGCCATGGGCAAAAGACAAGTGTTTGTGCATAAGGGAAAGGAAGGAGATTTGTTTGTGGATGGTGATAGAAAGCTTTGAGAACACTGAATTGCATCGTTCCCTGTTCCCCAGTAGACACGTGGCCCACTCATTCATTTCATTCAGGTTCCTGTGCAGACCTCACCACTTCAGGGAGGCCTTCCCGGACAGCCCTTTCTGAAATAGTCCCTCCACTGTCACTGTGCTTTTTGCCTGGCTTAGGCTTCTGACTGTTCATACATTTATTTGCTGATTTATTTATTTGCTTGTTCATTATCAGATTGGTGAGAAGTGGTGAGAACGGGCGCTGGTCTATTATGGGCCTCCAGTCCCTAGGACAGTGCCTGGCACATAGTAGGTGTTCACTGAAAGCTGGTGTTAGAGCATAGAGCAAGGATTGGCAAACTTTTCTACAAAGGGCCAGATTGTATTTTGGGCTTGGCAGCCTACACAGTCTGTTGTGACCACTCAGTTGTGCCAGCAAAGCATCCATAGATGTAAATAAGTAGGTTTACCTGTGTCCCAATCAAATTACAATGATAGGTGCTGGGCCCTACTTTGCCAGTCGCTGGTGTAGGTTAACAGAGCAGACAGCTGGGCTTCAATCCCAACTTAGCTCTGAGACCTTCACTGGGTTAGGCATCCTCTCTGCCTCCATTATCTTGTCTATAAAGTGGGAATAAAAGTAGTGCCTGTCGCAGAGACGTGGTGGTAACTGCTTAGAGCAGTGTCTGGCATGTGTTGTGCACTACATAAATATTAATGCTCTCCATTTTATTACGTTGTTGATTAAAATAAAGCATGTGTAGTATTTTTAGCACTCTTTGTAGATTTAATATCCTTTTCATTTGACAGTACAAACTATTTTGTTCATGACATTTTCATATTAGGAAAGGATATTTTCATGTCCTTTTTTAAAGGATAGTTTTTCTGATCAAAATTATACTTTCTAATTTGGTTTTTAAAAAACTTTTTTTACTATATGTAAAGCTCTCATATAGCATTGTAGTTTTACTCAATTTATAAGGGGGATGTGAGACACCGGGGACCCTAGAAACCATCACTGTGTCGTGCACATGAGACAGAGTCTGAGGATTTTCTGGATGTTTTGACTTCACAGGGTCAAGCAGATAGGAAAGGGCATATTTTCTAAAAAGACTTTGAAGCAGATGAAGCCTAGTGTCCTGGGGCTTTGGCTGTGTGGATCCTGGGATTTTACTCCCTTTATGCAAGTTTTAGTCTCTGCAGACTTTCCTGCTTCTTACTTTTTTTTTTTTTTTTTTTTTGAGATGGAGACTCGCTCTGTTGTTCAGGATGGAAGGCAGTGGCACAGTCGTAGGTTACTGCAGCCTTGAAGTCCTGGGCTCACCTGCTTTTATTATCTTTTCATACCTTTGAAGACTGTCCACTTTGAGATAACTTTTCAGTATTTTTCTACGGTAGATTTTTTCCACATCCTAGCTTCTTTCATCTGCTAAATGAAAATGAAGGAATTTGAAATAAGCTAGAAACAGGGAAGGCAGAAGGTCCATGCAAAGACCTCGTGCTGTCTTGTCAGATTTCTTGTCAAGAAATAATTTAATGGCGCTCTGGACCATGCAGCAACTCATGAGCAGTTCGTATAAAAAAAACTTTATTTCCAGATGTGGTGGTGTGCACCTCTAGTCCCAGCTACCCAGGAGGCTGAGGCAGGAGGGTCACTTGAACCCAGGAATTCGAGGCTGCAGTGAGCTATGGTCACGCCACTGCATTCTGGGTGACAGAGCAAGACCCTGTCTCTGAAGAAATAATAAAAAATTTTAAAAATTAAAACAAATCCCCCTTTCAAGAGAAAAATGTCTTATCTGCATTTTTTTACACTCACACTCACATATGTATTTACATAGTGCTGTTTTTTTCAGATGGAGTCTTACTCTGTCACCCAGGCTGGAAGTGCAGTGGTGCAATCTCAGCTCACTGCAACCTCCACCTCTCAGGTTCAAGCAATTCTTCTGCCTCAGCCTCCTGAGTAGCTAGGACTATAGGCAGGCACCACCATGCCTGGCTAATTTTTTTGTGTTTTTAATAGAGATAGGGTTTCACTATGTTGACCAAGCCAACATAGTTCAAGGCCAAGGTCTTGAACTCCTGACCTCAGGTGATCCTCCCACCTTGGCCTCCCAAAGTGCTGGGATTACAGTTGTGAGTACCACAGCCAGCCCTACATAGTGCTTTTTTTGTGTGTGGCTGGAGGAGGAACGTCAGTAAAATCTCAAAATGAAATTTGGGGCATGGATTCCTCCCTGCTGGTTTTGTCCTTTCTTTTCAGTAGCCTTGACTTCTAGGCAGACTGGTAGGTGGCTGAGGTAGAGCGAGAGAGAATGGTTTTCTTCCTTTTCTTTAGAAAGCAAATTGAACTCAAGGGAGGGAAGTAGGAAAGAAGAAAGATCGCAGGACAGAGACTTTTTCAGCCACTCAGAAGTAGAGGATGAGAGGGAAGCCCTCTGTGGAGAGCTGGAACCCCCAGGCCACGGAACCCCCACTTTACGTCCTGGGGGAAATTCCCTACGTTGTTATTGCTGTGTTCACTGAGGGCAATTCTGCAGAGCTGCACGTCACCATGAGCTCTCAGGGTGCTTTGACCATTTTCTGCTGACCTCTCCCCATGTGTCTTTCTCTAACAGAGGCGGAAACCTGACACTCTTGCACTTCTTGCTGGGTTTGAAAACTGCAGCTGATGATGATCTGGTGGCTGACCTTGTGGTAAACATCCTCAAAGTGTGCCCGGACTTACTGAACAAATACTTCAAGGAAGTAACGTTTTCCTTTATCCCACGAGCGAAGTCTACTTGGTTAAATAATATCAAACTACTAAACAAGGTAAAAAAACATGATATTTAAAAGTCTGTTAGCTAAGCTGGGCGTGGTGGCTCATGCCTGTAATCCCAGCACTTCGGGAGGCCGAGGCAGGCGGATTACCTGAGGTCAGGAGTTTGAGACCAGCCTGGCCAACGTGACGAAACCTGTCTCTTACTAAAAATACAAAAATTAACTGGGTGTGGTGGTGTGCGCCTGTAATCCCAGGTACTTGGGAGCCTGAGACAGGAGAATTACTTGAACCTGGGAGGCGGAGGTTGCAGTGAGCTGAGATCGCGCCACTGCACTCCAGCCTGGGTGACAGAGCGAGACTCCATCTCAAAAAAATAAGTCTGTTAGCTAGGTAGGGGGGCATAGGGAGTTAGGGGACAGGCAGACATTCTCATCTGGTAAACTATACAATATGAAGACCTTTCAGGGATAAAAAGGGATATTTTAGACCATGTAAATTTGGTGTCCTTATCTTCTATAGCGTTTTGCCTTTCACTGAGCTGAATTTGAGGTTTATTTAGAATCTTTTGAGCCAATTTATCCTGTTCATCAAGATTTTGCTTAGAGTGAAATCTTGTTGAGTCTCAGCACAGTTAGACTGGGATTGATGAGTTGCCCGATTATCTCTTCTCCATCTGGGCTCATAAAAAGTAAAATAAAATGAAATGTCTGACTTGTAGGATAGTTTTTAAAGGTTGCTGCTTCAATTAGAACAACTTGAAATAAGCTGTGGAACGTTGGTCTGCTGGTTTAAGTGGATGTGCGTTACCTTCCTTTTGATCATAATGTCAGCATCTGCCCATTTTACAAGTAGAGGTACCTACTGTTCTTTGGCAGTAATGCCTGACTTGTTTGAACTCTCTGTCACTGATTCATGGTTTGCCTAGTGGTAAAATACCTGGGATTGTTTCTTGTGCCTCTACCTGGGCCTGGCATTATCTATAAAACCAGCTTTTATTCTGCTTGAGTGCCTATGCGCACAGTCTCCACATTTACCCTTGGGATGAGGAGGATGTACTCCACCCCTTGTTTTGGTACAGACAGTCCTGGGGCCAGCACCCCTACTAGGAGCTGCATCTGATGAAACATCTGATTTGTAGGATAGGGGAGGGGTGAGTGTGTGGTTTTTGCAGGCCCAGTGTTGAGTCCTTACTTGGCTGCTTACTAGCTATGTGGCCTTAAGGAAATTACCTAACCTCACTGAGGTCCAATTTTGTCATCTGTGAATATATTTTTGTTTTAATGTAAAGTGTGCCTATCCCAAAGCGTTGTGAGGAAGCTTTGAGAAGATGGCTTCTTGACATCCCTTCCTGACATCATTTGTCAGGTGCCTGTCAAGTGCAGCAAGAACTGGTAAGTAGTACCATTCGTAGTTCTGGCAGTGATTTATTTGCCATCAGAGGTTTTAAGAGACTCTGCAGACCACAGGTCAAGTTCTGCTCTGAAGGTCCTTTCTCTGTTAACAGCCAGTCTCCTGACCTGATTTGTCTTTGACAAGTAGATTTGAGGGTTAATCTTCCACTCTGCCTTGTGGGGAGTCTCGGACCTTTACCGCTATAATTATTTGATTGAATGGCTTCACCTTTGGGTGCCTACAGCTAGTCTCAGGTTTGAAACTTACTTCTAGCACCACCTAAATCTCTTTTTTGCTTTTCCTAGATCTATGAGGCTCAGCCGGAGATTTCCCGGGCATTTCAGACCAGAGAGTTTATACCCTTGCCTCGGCTCCTGGCAATGGTGATGGTGACCACCGTGCCCCTGGTGTGCAATAAGAGCATGTTCACCCAAGCATTAAACGTAAGGCCATGTGGTTGCCCCACTTCTGGAACTGCCTCCAGCTAAACTCGCTGGCTACATGATGTGATTATTCTGAGAACTGGCCTGGATGTGTTTGATTGTGTTTTGTCAGGGGGCCTCGGAGGCTTCCAGGACAGAGGCTGTAGTTTGAAATAGCCCATAAGTGACAGGTCCACGCACCTGGGTAAGGACCTTGGAGCAAAGAGACTTTGCTTCTAGGGACAACGGACTTCATGTCCTTGGCCCTGCTCCATCACACAGCAGGGACCCCTGCATCCCTCCAAGCCTTTCTAGTCCTGCCTGAGGATGAAAGAATGTCTAAATCAGAAGAAAGAAAGTTTATCATTAAAATCTCATTAGTTTAGAATTTCCAGACATGGTAGGACTGAAATTTGCCTAGCAAATTCTTTCTTTTATGGTTTAGATGAATGGTGTTAAGATGCCTGGCAAACATATACTTTGAAGGCCAGCTGTTTTCAGGCATTTTTGGAGGACATGTTCATGGAAGAAATTGATACTTAAATTTTACATCATTATTTATCATAAAGGTCCCCATGTCCCATCAGAAGCCACATTCTGGGGGGTTCACATGTCTTTCACCGCAGCATCATGGGCCTAGGTGAATGGCTGTGGGTTGTTGGCACACGTGGGTCCTGGGCCCTGCCAGTGCCTCCTAACCCCAAGTTGCCTGAGGTACCTGGGGGAGGACAGGTATTCAGAAGGGTGTCTTCGTCCTTCCAGGCAGGCTGAGTTGTTGTGTGGCTTCAGTAGGAACAGGTTGGCTGTGAGGGGTTGCACAGGCCTCAGTTGGCCCTGTGGTAATGCGCACAGTCACTGTAAAGTGGGGTGGACTCCTGAGACCACATGGTGAGATTCACCATTTTTTGATACCCCTCCAGGGTTTGTGCTGAGCATGGGTGATGATGGGGTGAGGAGTAGAGAGGAGGCCTGTGTGGGAGTAGGCAGAAAGGTTTTGTGTTGTGTTTGTCAAATCATCGTATGCAAAATTAGCACCCAGCTAGCTTGCCCAACTGTTTTAATTAATGTGGGAGACATTTGCATTTCTCAGAGGGCTTGCAGGAAAACCAGATTGAAAGGATTAGTTTGATGAACCTCCTTTATTTTTTATTTATTTTTATTTTTTATTAAAATTTTTTTTTCTTTTTTGAGACAGGGTCTTGTTCTGTTGCCTAGGCTGGAGTACAGTGGTGTGATCATAGCTCATTGCAGCGTCAAACTCTTGGACCCAAGTGTTCCTCACACCTCAGCCCCCTGAGTAGCTGGGACTACAGGTGCGCACCACCACACCCAGCTAATTTTCTTATTTTTATTTTTTGTATAGACAGTGTCTTGCTATGTTGCGCAGGCTGGTTTCAAACTCCTGGCCTCATGCAGTTTTCCCACCTCAACCTCCCAAAGTGTTGGGATTACAAGTCTGAGCCGCCACACCCAGCCAGATGTGCCTCCTCTGTGGGCTGCATTTGCTCTCCCTTCCAAGCTTGCTCCTAGTAGTCTGGGAGAGAAAAGCCTGTCTCCTCCTCCTCTCACAGTGTTGTTTCAGGACAAAGGGTTGTGCCCCTAGAGGGGTGTACTAGCTCCTGCACGGAGTGGCTCCAAGGAAGGAGTCTCAGAGGACACAGCCTCCTCTCCCGCTGTTGGCTATTGCCATGCCCTGCAGGGCCAGGGCCAGGGCCACTGAGCCCAGCCTTGCCTTCCCTCCACAGGTGCCCTTTCCGAGAGCCAAGACTGTGTTTTTATGTAAGTGAGACCCAGTGATGTGAGTGCATCCAGGGACTGGAGTTGGATGATGTTTGTTTTTTTTTGTTTTATTTCTTATGGTTTTGTCTAAAAAACTTTTAAAGCATACATTTTAGAGTCAGGAGGAGAAGCTTTAGCCTATTTTAGAAACAGGAAATAAGAAAGCGTTTGGAAGCAGGGCCTCAGGCTGTTGGTTGAGCTTTGTGCTCCCAGCCCCTTGGGTGTGGTGTGCACGCTTGTGTGGGGCCTGCCTTTGAAGCGATTGTGGGGCTGGCCATTCTTGGCTTAGGATAGTTCCTGTAGTCCTGATTTAGTGTGCAGTGTACACAGAGTGAAGCCGCAGCTGACTGGAATGCTGGGGCTCTGGGGTGTCGTGGTTATTGAGCTGAAAGTAAACCAGAAAAGCTCTTTGTTTCTACCGCACTGTCAGTCTGCAGTGTCCCAGCCAGGGCTTTTCAGATCTCAGTGTCGGAGGGCTCTCCTGGGGATTATGTGAAATGCAGATTCTGCTTGAGTTGTGTGGGCCGGGGCCTGGGCTTCTACATTTCTCCTGAGCTCCGGGAGATGCCATCATATGATCCTCCTGGCCCCAGAACACACTGTGACTAGCAGGGGCAGGGACTGTTTTCCTACTGTTGGTAGTAGCACAGGTTCTTGAACCCTACTCAGTCTCTGCAGTGAGTGACTCTCCCAGGTGTCATTCTGACTGGAAGTCAAGAGCTCTGGATGTCACAGGCCTGTGATGTGGGTTGCTTGCTCATTGAGCTTGGAGGTGGATTTTCATACTAAAGTACCTGATGCATTTTTTTTTGGCCATTCCTCCACCTGATGCTAATGCTTTTAATAGTGGTAGAATCCTGGGCAACATAGCAAGACCCTGCCTCTACAAAAGGAAAAAAAAAAAGGCTAGGCACAGTGGTTCACACTCATAATCCCAGTGCTTTGGGAGGCTGAGGCAGGAGGATTGGCTTGAGGCCAGAAGGTTGAGGCCGGCCTGGGCAACATACTAAGTCTCATCTCTTAAAAAAAAAAAGAAAGCCAGAAGCAGTAGGTGCCTATAGTCCTGGCTACTTGGGAGGATGAGGCGGGAGGATTGCCTGAGCCCAGGAGCTTGAGGCTGCGGTGAGCTATGATCGCACCATTGCACTCCAGCCTGGGCGACAGAGTGAGACCCTGACTCAAAAAAAAAATAGTGGCAGAGTGGGTTCTGGTGAGATCTGTTGTTAATGGAGAACTTTCATGGTAGCTGAGTGGTTGTCTCAAGGCTTACCAAAGAGCAGATGATAAAAATGAAACTACTGCTGGATGCCACCATTAGTGGTCATTTCCTGGCAATTGCTGAAGTCAGACCCAGAGGATGTCAGGAGGGCGAGGTACCCAGGTCGCCTCTTCTCAGAGCGTAGAGACCAGCAGTTTCATGCAGCTTTCCCTGTGAGTGACCTGAGGAGGGGCAAATGCCAGCCAAGCCCATAGCTTAGCAAATCTGTGTATCCTAGAGACATGTGTGCATTTAACTCTTTTTCTTCCCAGTTGGACAGCACCTCAGTGAGGCACACAGCCTTATCCCTTATTTCTGTCATTTTGAAGAGGGCATTAAAAACTGTTGACCACTGCCTGAATAAAGAGGTGTGGCAGGAATCAGGCGTGTACACAGCTGTGATGATGGAAGAATTCGTGCAGCTCTTCAGAGAAGCCCTGAGCAAGGTAGGCTCTGATCTGGGTTTGGGCTTTCCTTCCAGACCTCACCAGGTGGAAAAGGCCATTCTGCAGCCCTAGGGTGGAAGCCAAGTGATGTGTCCTTGGAGCCGCAGGGTTGGACAGGCCGGTGGGCAGTGTGGTAGCGTGGGTGCTGAGGGTCAGCTGAGAAGACCTGCCACTTGTGATTGTAGGCAGTGATGTCACAGAGCATGATCCCAAAGTCCTTGTGCAGAGTAAGAATTTAGACGATACATGTGTTCTCTCACAGGGGTTCTGTCTCTGGTGGGGACCTCATGTTCAATCAGGAGCCGTGGTGATGTTGTCGAGGGGTAGATTGTGTCCTTACCCCTCACCCATGGCTGCAGGCACACACATAGACCACACTGTGGCCCAGTGAGAAGGGATGCAGTGGCTCAGGAAGCCCCTCTTGCTTCCTATGGCTGAAGACCAGGCTTCTGTAAACTGGCCGGCTGCTCTGAGAGCCCCAGTTACACAGGGCAGCTTTCCCTGAGCTGCTCCTGAGAAAGTCTTTCTTTGTTCCCTGTGTCTTTTGCTTAGGTGAATGAGGTTTAAGGGGTTCGTTTTAATGATCAGCACTTGCCTGTTCACCAAATCCTTACTGTGTATAGTTCTAGAAATTATACTGCAGAACATGGTTGGGCGCGGTGGCTCACACCTGTAATCCCAGCACTTTGGGAGGCTGAGATGGGTGGATCACCTGAGGTCAGGAGTTCAAGGACCAGCCTGGCCAACATGGTGAAACCCTGCTTCTACTAAAAATACAAAAAATTAGCTGGATGTGATGGTGGGTGCCTGTAGTTCCAGCTACTCAGGTGGCTGACGCACGAGAATCACTTGAACCTGGGAGGCGGAGGTTGCAGTGAGCTGAGGTCACCCCACTGCACTCCAGCCTGGGCGACAGAGTGAGACTCCATCTCAAAAAAAAAAAAATTATACTGCAGAGCAGAACTTATGTGGATTTGGGCCTGTTTTCTCACCACTCTTCCCTCTCCTTCTTACACGCACTCCTCTAGACTCGCACCCCCCTCCCTGTTTTTTGCATCTTGTTAATGTGTTCAGTTCATTTGTCTCCCTTTGTGGTTGACTACAACTAATGTTCTGCTTCTTTTTCCCATTTAGATTTTGCCAGACCTGAACACTGTCGTGTGGGTCTGGCAGTCACTTAAAAAGCAAGAGACCAAACAGGATGACAAGAAAGGGCAGAAAAGGAGCGATGGGCCCCCGGCTGCCTGCGATGCTCACCAGTGCGGTAAGGTCTCAGGGGTGAGGGGGACCCTCTGCCTTTTGCATGGGACAGAGCTGACACTGGCAGCCTAGGATAGCTCCTATCCAGAGAGTCCTGGAGCAGTTTTTGTTTCAAGGCACCTCTGGCTGTGAATGTGTCTATATCCTTTTTTGCTTAGGGAGAAGAATTGGAAAGGAATCATAGATTGAATTTTAGTATCTGTTAGAAACGTGCCCATCTTTATGCGAGCACTGTGTCTCTCTGAAGACTTGAGTGTTGGGTGCCATGTGCTCTGGCCTTTCCAGGGATGACAGTATGGGGGTGCTGTCTCTTGGTTTGCAGATAGAGCTCAGAGCCTTGTTGTTGGTCAGGCATTGAGGTTTGTGTCTTATGTCTGTATCGTATTTCATCCTTTCGGCAGCCCTGCAAGGGTAGGCCCTGCTGTATGTCCCTGTTGCTCAGATGAAGACACGAAAGCACAGGGAGACAGAGTGACCAGAACCTGTCTAAGGTCACAGCAGTGAAATGAGGTTTTAACCCAGACCCCCTGAACAGTTTTAACGTTTTACCACATTGACTCATTAGATCTAGGTACTGAGCAGTCTGTCTGCAGCCTCGGTGTACAGCATGCAGTTGGCTGCAGTGTGGTGCCACACTTGGTTCAGCTGCTCAAGGACAAAGAACCAGTATGTTTTCTAATTCAAGCTATTTTCTTTCTTTCTTTCTTTCTTTCTTTCTTTCTTTCTTTCTTTCTTTTTTCTCTTTTTCTTTCTTTTTCTTTTTTTTGTGCAGATGATGCAGAAACCATTCTTTTGAAAGCTGTTTTGCTCCAGGTCATATGCCTCTACCAGAAGGTGGTCCCCCACGTGGTCATGCAGTACAACTTTGACTTCAGCAAGCTCCTGAAAGGTGGGTTTCAAGGTCTTGCAGACAAGCCGCCACTGTTGCTGCCAATAAACCAGAGCAGAGCCCTGCAGCCAAGAATCAGGAAGGCTGGTGGACGGTTGGCTGCGTGCTCATCCGTCAGCCTGAGAAATTGTACTTGCATCAGTATTTTTTAAATAGCTGGTCTTCCTTAAGTAAATATCAGATGAACACCTGGTAGCAGTGAGAACAATGGAAGAAGCCAGCCAGCTTCTGAGTGCTGAGCAACCTACATGAATGGCCCACAAATCCGATCATGTGACGTTAACTCTAAAGTCACTTTTCAAGGGAGCAGGGTTGCAGAGGGTGTAGCAGAAATGAGGGGCCTGCAGAAGGGACATCCTGTTTATGCAGAGACACTTTTGACATAGTTACTTCATCTTTTACCCCACTGAGTCAGGTTCAAACTTGTAAAAGTAACAATGCTTGTCTGGTCATGTTTCCTGGATGGTAAAGTTTGTCTGATCCACTTTATAATTGGGCCTATGGGAGAAGACTTGCAAAAATATCATTCTTGGAATTTATATGAGCTATTGAAATACTCCTTTTCAAAAGCTGCAATTCACTTTTTAATCATTTGAAGGTGAAAAGTTCTCTTTGCTGTGGAAATATGAAATTTACTAGAATGTGGCCATTTAGTATTTGGTAGCAAAGGAGAAGCCCAGAGAGCCGGCTAGAGGATGAGAACCCAATCTCAGGTGCAGGTGGCTGCAGTCTCTGTCCACAAAATGCTTGCTGTCTGGGGAGTCAGGGAGAATGTTAGCGAGAGCCTACCCCTGGAGGGCACTTGGTGGGTGCCTGATTCCAGCTGTTTGGGGTCAGTGTGGGCTGTGTGGCATGGGAGGGCTTCTTCAGGCAAGTGGGATTTGGGCTTTTTGTTGGAAGATTTGGACAGACCAGGGCGTGGGGGTACATCAGGCGAGATGTGCCATGTGAGGGTGAGCACAGGACAGAGAAACAGAACCCTGCATCCACCCTTTTTCTTTCTCCATGGTGAGTTCCTTGTCCTTCTGGCCAGGGCAGCAATTGTTGGGCACCCACGTCCATGTGACTTTTTTCAGCCTGCCTCTTTTTCACCCATAGGTGTCATCTCTGAGCAGGGCCTTCGAGAGGAGGTGCCTCCCATTCTGCAGCACCACATGCTGAAGGTGGCCCTGGAGCTGCCGGCCAGCAAGTTTCTGTGGTTAAAGGCACAGGTAGGAAGCAGAACTCCCAGTCTTCTGCCCTAAGCTTACCTGCTGGGCCGGGTGGCTTCTTGGCCTGATGAATTGCTAATTGGCTCAGAACCTGACGGGGCAAGACGGAAGAGGTTAACAGTTCTCATTTTAGAGAGACCCACAGCAGAGGTCCTGATTCATGAACCAGGAGGCCTGGGAACCTGCTTGCTTTTGTAAAATATGGTGCTTAACATGTCCTTGCTGCAGATACATTGCTGGGTCCAGGGAGTTTCTTGTTTATCTCAACTGTTTTACATTTTACATTTTTCTCATTTTTAAATAATAAACAAAATAAAATACATTCCTTTTCTTTTGTCCTCATCCTGGAAGAATTAAAGACGAGATGAGAATAGATAACCAAGTCAGGAGAGGGTTGAGGCTGGTGGAAGAATCAGTAGACATTGCCAGCATTTTTTTCTAGGTCTTTAATAAAATATCTACCAGAACTTTTTGGAGAACATAATGTTAAATCATAAAGGGAAGCTCAGGATGCCACATATATTTATGCTGGGCTTAAGCCCAGGATGCTGCATCATTTCTATGCAAAGAGGAGGAGGGAACATTATCAAGCAAAATTAATCATTGTCCAAGTGTTTCTTATAATCTGAGCTGATGTACTTTTTAATGACTTAGATCTTATATGGAACCAGTAGTATGGAAATGTATGTTGGCATTTCTACACGCGACATTTCCAGGAAGACTTAAGAATGCTGTGCCTCTGGGACTATGTGTCTCTCCCTCGAGTCCCCGTTCTGAGGCTTCCCTGCATCGTAGCTGAGGATCATTCTTACTGAGAACTTACTCGCATGCTGGGCAGGTTACGGGTGCTTCATGTGGCTGCTCGTTTCACGTTACTTAAAGACAAGGCAGCTGGGCACAGTGTGTCAGAACCTTCTGCAGGGTCCTGTCCATGAGTGGTGGGTCCAGGATGGGACCCAGGCGGTGCTGCCTAGAGCTCTGCTTGCCACCATTCCACTGAGATGTGAGTTCATTGCCACCAGTCCTGGGGAGGTGACAGGCTCGGGCATTGCTGATTGGTTTTCACTCCAGCTCAACTAGGCTCATGGGATCTTGATAATTTAGTTGGAAAGTGAACAGAGGCCTCATAATTTGAAAGAGCTGGTGTGAATTTATATCCTGCGCCCCACCTTATGCTTATATCTGCTGGCTCTGCCTAAGCTAACCAGCACCTCACCATTTTCAGGGTTGTCCTCATTGCCAAGGGCTGTAGTGAGACACACAGGCTCAGTAGAGTTTGAATTGGGGATCTGGAGCTCCATGTACTTGTTGAAGACTTGTTCAAAGCCCAAAAGCCTTTTGAGGAGGATAAATTATGCATAAGCAATCCGTTCTATCAGCACTGGCATCGTGATGAAAGTAACAAGGACATCATTTGATGGACTCAGACAGCCTGGGGTCCCTCCTGCTCACCATCCACCAGACAGCACAGCATCTGCCTTGGTTCCCAGTAAACAGCCAGGTGCCTTCCCAGTGCCTCAGTTTCCATATATGTAAAATAGGGTAGCAGCTGTACCCACCTCACAGGGGTGTTGGGAGGATTCAGTGAGTCAGTGTAAGCTGGGCCCCTGGGACGGCTCCAGCACAGGAACAGGGCTACCTGTGCTTACTCTTGCTACTCTTCCTGCCAAATTGTGGTTAAAATGAGATGAGGTAAGGACCTGGCAGCATACTGTGTGTTCAGCAAGTGATGGCTCCTGCTACGTTATGTTTTGTTTTTTGTTTTTGGAGATGAAGTCTCACTCTGTTGCCCAGGCTGGAGTGCAGTGGCGTCATCTGGACTCACTGCAACATCTGCCTCCTGGGTTCAAGTGATTCTCCTGCCTCAGCCTCCCAAGTAGCTGGGACTATAGGCATGCACCACTATGACTGGCTAATTTTTGTATTTTTTAGTAGAGACAGGGTTTCGCCATGTTGGCCAGGCTCGTCTCCAACGCGTGACCTCAGGTGATCTGCCCACTTTGGCCTCCCAAAGTGCTGAGATTACAGGTGTAAGCCACCACGCCTGGCCCCATGGTATGTTTCTAATATATAACTATATATTAAAATTATATATGTAATTATATATACTAAAAATACGTAATATTGTTTAAACTCTAGGAAGGCCCAGATGCAGAAATTATTGGAGGTGAACGATCAGTATTTTACTTACTAATGAAAATGTTTGTGACCAGTAGCCATTTACAACTGAAGTCATTGACCAAACTTCTGATCATGAAGGTGAGCATTTTCTACCAGTTTCTAACTCTGAAAAGCATTTTGTATAGATCTTCCTTATGGTAAGTGTTTAGTTAACAGTTATTGAATTCAGGAGGTATTGGAATTGTTTTTAGTTTTAAAATAGAAGGTTTTATGGCAGTTTAATTTATTGTGTCTTACACTTAGCTACATTCCTGGGAGGCAGCCTGGTGCATTGGAAAAATGTTTTTTTTTTTTTTTTTTAGGTAGGTCATTTCTAGCTTGTTGTAGGCTCAATACTAAATTTTGGCTTCTTGGTGTTTATTAGGCAGTGCCTCTTTCCTCCTTCTCAGGCTCTGGCGTTATCCAGGGCTTTCAGCCTTTTTGCCAGAATCCATCACCCACAGCACATGGGTCATCAAAGCCAGTGGAAGAGAATAGGAATTTATTTCCTTATCTTGTTTTGTCCTTGATACTCATGTTTCCAGAGCTATGTCAGGTCTTATGATAGCAGTAGGACATCTAGTCCTCATTTCTGCTCTGCAACAAACAGCTTGGGGGATGCACTATGTTTAGGGTACAGAGGTTTGACCTTTCACTTTTATTTGAAATGCTGATAACCTTGCTACACTTACAGCCTTCTCTCTTGAGCTGCTTAAAGAATGTGGCAGTCTAAGTCTTGACCTCCATAGGTTGCCATTTCCTTCCAGGTAGTGCAGTTGTGAACCTGACCCCAGCCAGATTTCGTGATCACTGACTGCAAATAGGTGAAATTGGCACAGTCAGGCTTTCCTTTGGTGCATGCTGTTGCAGGGCTCTGTGCCGTGAGGCCTCTTAGACTCTGAGTTTCTGCTTTCAGACCATTTAGGGAAATCATTTCGTCACTTCTGCACATTCAAGTCCTGCCTCATACCAGTTTCTCTTCTGTTGGAATAGTGAGTCTTGAGGTCTGCATTTGAAGTGATATGATGTGACTGGCTCGTGACCTTGGAGAATTTCATACAGGCTAAGGGTTGAGTAGCTGTGAGGGGTCAAGTTTTACACATTTACCTGGGTCTTTGTGAAAATCCAGAGGTCTTTGGCTCCTAAGTAGCAGCCAAATTTTTTCCCTTCTTTTTATTTAGGAAATGAGGATAAACGATGAGTAGCCTTGAGAGAAGGGATCATATTGTCTTTTTTGTTTGTTTGAGACAGGCTCTCGCTCTGTCATCCACGCTGCTGTGCACTGCTACAATCACGGTTCACTGCCATCTTGACCTTCTGGGCTCAAGTGATCCTCCCAACTAAGCCTCCTGAGTAGCTAGGGCCACATGTGTGCGCACCACCACTAACCCGGCTACTTTTTTAATTACTATTTGCTGTAGAGGCAGAGTCTCAACTATGTTGCCTCCGCTGATCTCAAGCTCCTGAGCTCAAGCAATTCTCACACCTCAGTCTCCTGAAGTGCTGAGATTACAGGCATGAGCCCCTATGCCTGGCCAGATTATATTGTCTTTGAGAGAGCATAGAATGATTTGCTTGTTTCCCTCAACAATTGGGGATGTTATGTTGAAAGACTAACTTTCAGAGAAAAATGGGATGAAACTTTCACCCCCTGCGTGCTCCTTGGGCGTGTGGTGCTGGAGCACAATGAAACTGCTTGACCTCCGACAGAAAGTGGGTCCTGTAGGCTGGGTGTGGTGGCTCATGCCTATAATCCCAACACTTTGGGAGGCCAAGGTAGGCAGATCACTTGAAGCTAGGAGTTTGATACCAGCCTGGCCAACTTGGCAAAACTTTGTCTCTGCTAAAAAATTAGAAAAATTAGCTGGACGTGTTGGCACACTCCTGTAGTCCCAGCTACTCAGGAGGCCAAGGCAGAAAAATTGCTTGAACCCGGGAGGCGGAGGTTGCAGTGAGCCGAGATCATGCCACTGCACTCCAGCCTGGGTGACAGAGTGAGGCCCTGTCTCAAAGAAAAGAAAGAAAGCGCGTTCTGTTCTGACTTTTTCACCGGTGCCTACTTCCTGGCAGATTCTGCGGGACACGGGGGTGTTTGAGCACACCTGGAAGGAGCTGGAGCTCTGGCTGGAGCATTTAGAGAACACCATGGAAGAGGACAAAGAGACTGTGATTCAGTTTCTGGAACGCGTAAGCACATATTTCCCACATAAAGGAACATGCTCAGAGATAATTATATTAACTTCTTAGCGTCATCGAGGCATTTTTGATGCACCAGCACCAAAAGGCTTCTCGTCCTGGCTTACTTCCTAATTCTTGCTGAGACTTCAGAATCTACATAGTTTTAGAATCTGTAAAATACGTATATATTACAGCATGCTGTTTCATTTCCTTTTGGGAATTTGTTTTTGCATAGGGGAATAGGTAAACCAAAAGTGGTATTAAAAGCAGTGCTATAGTAAAAGGAGATTTTTTTTTAACTCCACAATAAAAAGTTTAGGCCCAATTTCATAGTAAAACTATTCTAATTAAGGATTGAACATATTATCACTTGCCTTGATTTTGACCAGTGACATTTTTTGGCTTCTTCATTTCACCTGTGACCATCTGAATGCTTTCTATTTGGCTCTTTAATGCCCAGATTTTATTGACATTGGTGGCGAATCCCTATTCATACACAGACAAAGCATCTGACTTTGTCCAAGAAGCAAGCATGCTGCAGGCCACTATGACGAAGCAAGAAGCCGATGACATGAGCATTCCCATCTCCCACATTGACGGTATGTTCCATTCTGTTCTGCGCTGCTCAGAGGTCTGAAGACCAAGCCACAGTGACGTGTTAAGAGATTGAGAACAAGAACTGCACTAATGCCCTAGGCCAAGTGCACACAGTCCCTTTGCAGCAAAGACCAGCCTGTTCTGGAAATAATCTCCTTATGTGTTCATGTAATGGGAAACACTTGTTGTTTTATTTGCATAGTATTTACTGGGTGCCAGGTAGGGTTTTAAGCTCTTTTTAAGTTCTAACTCATGTAAATCTCATAAGCAACCCCAAGAGAAAAGAGTATTATTATTCTACTCATTTTATATAGAGATAAAGCGGCTGGGGCACAGAGAGGTTTAGTATAATAACTTGCTCAAGCTCATACAGCTACTACATAGCAAAGTCAGGATTAGAACGCAGGTACTCTGGCTCTGGCCTGTGCTTTAACCCTCACACTATTTTGCCTCTCAGATTTTGGCTTGTTTGCCTGAATATCTGGGTTAAAGTTCCTGGGCTTCTTGTGTCACTTGAGGAAACTTCAACCTATTACCACCTCAGCTGAATATCCTGCATTTTATCAGACAAAGATACAAAAGATTTCATAGGCAATGTTTTTGTCTGTTTAGGGTCAAACTATGTTAAATGCTCCCCCCAAGAGGAATTTGGCTTTTTTCTTTTTGCACGTATTCTGCTTCTGCCTCCCTGTGGGTATTTGCAGTGAAACCCTTCAGTGGCTCTCACATCAGCTGGATTCTCCTCTTTCTGTCTCAGATGTTCTCGACATGGTGGATGTCCTGGTGGAGGGCAGTGAAGGCTTGGATGAGGAAATAGGGTTCACGTTGAGTGAAGACATGATCCTGCTCACGTTCCCATTCAGTGCGGTAGTCCCTGCGGCCCTGGAAGCCAGGAATAAGTTGCTCCTTGGGACAGGCAATGAAGCAGGTACCTATGTATAGTCAGGATGTCTTGGCTGCACCTGGCCGGCTAGTCTGTGCAGGGTGGGAGGTGGGATTCCAGGGGCTCTGGGATCAATTGCTGAGAATCCAGGGCAATAGGAGGTCAGAACCCCCAGAGTGATAGCTACCCAGCCAGCAGAGCTAGGAGCACAGTGGGAGGGATCTTGGGGCTGGCTAGGCTTTTGGGAAATTGGTCATTTGAGCGTGAGTCTGAAATAATGTGTTTGCCTGGCTGCCCAGACAGCCTCTGTAACGTTGATGTTTTTTCGTCAACATTTATTCTTGATACGTTGATGTAGAGGATGAATCCTTCATACTTGTTGGATTTTCCAGGCAACTTAGACCCAAGGAAGTGCTCACAGATTATAGTAGCATGATTGGTTGGGAGAACTCAGGCTTTGCTGCAGTAACAAATAAGCCCTGACTTGTCAGTAGTTTAATAAATAAGGGTCTGTTTCTAGACCATGCTGTGGTCCAATACAGGCCAGGTGGCTCTTCTGGTTGGCTGTCCTTTAGGAGGTTGGTCAGGGATTCAGGCTGCTCCCGTTTTGTAGCTATGCCATCTCAATTTATGGCTTCCAAGATCACCATGGAAAGGGAACTGGAAAGGGTGGACAGTCAAGCAAGGGGTGTTATGGCCTGGAAGTGACTAACCAGGCATGTGGTCCCAGCCTACACGCAAGAGAGGCTTGTGTGCCGAGGCACAGTAAACGGATTGGTGAGCACCTAGCAAGTCCTGGTCCCAGGTGGCTTTTGCCTGGCCTTTTACATGCCTGGGTCTTCACTCCTGGGCCTCGGGAGTGGATGTCTGACTTTGCTGTATATGTTTAATAAAACAGAGCCTAGTACAGTCTCCAGTAGTAGCAATTCCTTCCCTGTGGTTATGTGTCCCCTCATGGAGTTGCATGAATTTTTCAGGGTCTTGCCTGTATGTGGAAGAAGGTGGTGTTGGTAGGTCACAGAAGGGTGGGCCCAGCCAGCCTCTTCCCATATGCATCTCGTTCCTTTGCAGCGGAAAACGTTGTGACATATCTGACGGCAGTGCTGACTGACCTCCTCCACACCCAGAGGGACCCCCTGGCTCTGTGTCTCCTGCTCCAGGCATATGATAAGCTTGAGCCTCCATGCCTGGTGCCTTGCTGCCAGCAGCTCTCACGGTTTAACAGATACTACAGCCTCTGGATCCCGGAGCAAGCCCGAGAGGCCTGGGTGAGCTGCAGCCACAGCTGTGGTCACTGCTGCTGTGCAGGGTTCTTCCCAGGGTCCCAGCTGGCTGGGCCACAGCTGTGCAGTTGGGTAGCCAGACAGCCTGCAGGGTGAAATTTCTTACCCTAAAGTCCCCTGCATAAGAGAGGAAGCTAAGTAGTATCCCTGGTGCTCAGCTAACATAACTGAACACACAGGACTCAGTGATGCAGCCAAATTAAATTCCCCATTGGCTCCCTGATAATGATAATAGGTTAATTCCTCTTCCAGCCTGGGGCAGGAGCGTTGCCTCTTCCTTTTTTTCCTTACCTTGTTATCTGTGCGTGCTTGTCTCCTGGCTCTCCTCTGCAGACCTTAGCATGGCCCTAGACAAACTGTGCTCAGCTGTCACACATGGCCCCTCAAGGCCTCCAGCAGGGTCTCTTCTGTTAAAGTTGGGGAAGGAAAGGAAAAAGTATATTTTCTTTTGCTGGGGACTACATTCTCTTAATGGGATTCTGGCTCCAATGTGCAGGGTATTTACAATGCTGTGTGGGGCACGAAATTTGTGGTATGCATTTTTGTGCATTCATTTCATTTTAGCTGCATTCGAAAAAGCAGTCAGTTTAGACCCTCCTTATCTTGTGATATTGGTAGCAATAGCCAACAGCGATTGCATGTTTTCTGTGTGTTTTTTGGAGGCATACCGGGTCCTGTACTAAGTGTACTATGTGTATTTTTGGCCGTTTAATCCTTACTGTAACTCTGAGAAGTAGGCCGGGACTCTCACCATCCTTTATGCATATGGGGAAACCGAGGCCCAGAGCGGTTCCAACACCAGTCAGTGGCGGAGTCAGGATTTGGCCCAGGCAGTCTGGCTCCAGAGCCCTGACCCATAATGTTGCCACCTTCCCCCACACGTAGGCCACAGTGATAGCCAGACAGCAACTTATGTGGCAGTATTAGAGGTTCTGTCCTGCCCCTCGTGGTTGCTTGGAGTGGGTGTCCACCTTCTGTGGAATAAGACTTAGCAGTGGTTCTCACCCTCCAGGGTGTGTCGGAATTCCCCAGAGGGCCTTTTCAAACTGGACTGCCGGGTTCCAGCCACAGTGTCTGGCCCGGCAGGTCTGGGTGGAGCCTGAGAATTTGCATTTCACACATGCTGCTGCAGGCCTGGGGAACACTGACAACCACCAAGTTTCAGGGCATGTTACAGCCTTGGGTTTTATTAGCCTAAGGAAGTCAAATGGAATTATAGCAACATAAGCCACGTGGAGTAAATAAAGAAGGCAGCTTGGTAGTAATGTTAGAAGAAATGAATAACTTCAGTTTGAGGCAGAAGGGCTCCAGAAATTTCTCTGTGTTCTGCCCATCTTCTGTCCTTCTAACAAGATATTCGACCCGCAGCTCCTGGGGAAGGTCTTCCGAAGGCAGGCCACTCGCAGAGCGGGCTTCTCTGTGGGCTGATTTCCCCCTTTCTAGTGATTCTTGTGATTCACATCCTGCCTCTGTCACACGTGGCTCCTGCCTGTGGGACAGGCTTCTGCCTTGTTCTCCAAGGGGTGTAGATGCAGCATGAATTTGGGCCTTCACATGTGGTCAGTGGAAACGCTCTAGGAAAGTACGCATGACATGGTACGAGAACTTACTCTACTGAAGTAAAATGCCACACGGTCCCGTATTCGTTAGTCTTATCTCAGCATGTGCTTCTTTGTGAAATGTCCGTTTGTTGTGTGTTACCTGTGCCTATGACCGTTTTCATCTGTGGTGATGTGTCTTTCTCTTCCCCGGCCTTTTGCTGTCTCCCTCAGCTGCTGCAGGCACAGGGCAGCCCCTCGCCCCCTGCCCTTCCCTTGGCCTCGTCCTTCACAGCCCTGCTGCAGGCAGCCTACGAGAGCCAAGCGCTTCGGGACGAGCACATCCAGGTGCAGCTGCAGGCCACCATGCCACACCTGTCCATGCAGCAGGTCCTGCTCGCGGCCAAGCAGGTGTTGCTCTACCTGCGGAGCACTGTGGAGAACTTCGGCCAGGTCAGCGTTGCCCCCATCCTCCACAGGCTTCAGAGCTCTGCCACCAGAGAGCTAAGCCTTCTCTGAGTCGGGCCCACAGCCCAGCACACTCTTGCTCCCTGGAACTCACTGCAGAGGCAGTTTAAGTGCTGTTCTGTCCAGACCTCAGCTGCAAACTCTTCATGTCCCTCAGCCCTGCCCATGGGAGCCAGGTCAGCCTGACTTTGTTTTCAGGGCAGCCTGGTCAAGACAGAGCCCTTCCTACAGTAGAATGGGTTGGCAGCCCTGCCGGGCCTTTGTTTTTTTTGTCACCAAGTCTGGAGTGCAGTGGCGCATCATAGCTCACTACAGCCTTGACCTCAGTGGACTCAAGCCACCCTCCAACCTCTCAGCCTTTCAAGTAGCTGGGACTACAGGCATGCACCACCATTCCCAGCTAATTTTTGTGTTTTTTGAAGAGATGGGTTCTCACCATGTTGGTCAGGCTGGTCTCAAACTCCTGGGCTCACAGTGATCTGCCTGCCTCAGCCTCCCACAGTGCTGGGATTGCAGGCATGAGCCACCGCACCCAGCCCTCCCTCCCTCTTTTTTTTTTTTTTCTGAGACAGAGTTTCGCTCTTGTTGCCCAGGATGGAGTGCAATGGCAGGATCTTGGCTCACTGCAACCTCTGCCTCCCGGGTTCAAGCTGTTGAACCCTCAACAGCAACCCTCAGCTCACTGCAACCGTCAGCCTCCCTAGTAGCTGGGATAACAAGTGCACACCAACACGCCTGGCTAATTTTTGTATTTTTAGTAGAGATGGGGTTTCGCCATGTTGGCCAGGCTGGTCTTGAACTCCTGACCTCAGGTGATATACCCGCCACAGCCTCCCGAAGTGCTGGGATTACAGGCGTGAGCCACTGAGCCTGGCCCAGCCCTCCCTCTTAAGTGTATTAATTTAGTAACTGGCTGATGAATTTCTGTTCCTGATGTGGTTCAAGGGATTTTTAAGTTTTGAGGTGGGCCTGTCCCTTTCAGTTTAGTCAAAACAACCTTTGTGTTTCACCAAGGCTTAGGAAGACACATCTCTTATTTGAGAAATGGCATTGCATTGATGGGTGTCTCACACACTCTGTGAGGAGTTGCCATCTCAGCCTGCCTCCCGAGTCTCCTGCTCTGAAAACACGGGCCCTGGAAGTCACTGCCTGGTAGCTGTGAACCCGTCTCTTCCCTGCTGAGGCTCGTGCTCTTGTCCTCACAGCTGGGCAGAAGTGTGGGCCCGCCCCTCCTGCAGCTCTTCCTGGATCTCCTCAGGCGCCTGGTTGTCCACTGTGAGCAGCTGGATGCCCAGAACCAGCAGAGATGCGAGGCCGCCCGGGCCGAAGCCGACCTCTTCCTGGACATGGAGTCCGTGGCCTCGCTGGAGTTGGCCAATGATCAGGTACCGCCACAGGTTGCCTGGTAGCCTATTCTCAGAGTCATGGGCAGTGGCTTTCTCTTCACTTCTGATTAAAAACAAACATAGGTCCATTGTGGGAAAATTGGGAAATGCAGAAACTACAGCAGAGATCATAAAAACTTCCTGGCACCCGCCCAGCATGCGGTTTAATTTGGGCTTCTCTTTCCTGTTGCTTTTCTGTGTACAGTCACCCTCCCTGCAGACAGCTTTCTCTCACGCTGTGTGAGGTGAGCCTGCTGAGAAACAGTGTGAATAGCTGCAGCTTGTGTTGAGTGAAAGGTGGGCAGCAGGTGCTGCTTTTCACAGGAAATACACACAGGAAATAGACTGCTCTGAGAAGCAGCAGCCTTTCTGTCCTGTTGGGAGTCTTGGGAAGCAGGCTGTTTAATTGGGGCCAAGATGACTATTTCACAGTTTGCCATGTAACCTGTTTTACCGGGTTCAGGAGGCAGACACGTTCCTTGTTGCACAATCTAATTGAAATATACACTTTTTTCCTTTGAGCTCTGAGTTGCCTTTCTGGGAGGTATTTTCTTGGGTGGGACCACCTATTATTAGCCAGTCAGCGTGAGGCAAAGCATTCTCAATATGTAATCGTGCTTTGCTGTTTTTAACTGGTAAAGCTTGAGTGGAGACTGTGATAGGCTCCTCTTTCCTTCCCTAAGAATAAATAAGGAAAGAAAATTTCTTTCTGTCTCTGGGAACTGGTGGAGTGTCGTTGGCGAGGAATCGGTTCAGCAGGGCTGTGAGGAATGACTGAATGAAATTATTCTCTAATCCAGCAAGGGAGCTCAACTGCATTCTGCTCAATGTTTACTCAGTTGGCCAGGTCAGAACTAGTTTGGGGGTTTTGTGGGGTCACTCAAGGCCCAGTCTCCTCCTGACAGTGGAGACAGGATTACTTTCAATTCAGGATCGTAGACACACGGTGGTTTAATCCCAACCCACTTTCCCCGGACACATGGTCTCATCTAAACTGACATCACCCCAGCTGTAAGTAGACACCCCTGTCCCTCAACCAGATTTATCTAGGAGGGCAAGGCCGCTGAGGAGAAGCCAGCAGCTGATTGATCTTACTCACATGGTGGTGTTTCTGCACGGCCCGCCCCCCACACTGAGTGACCATAGAGAGCACTTTTCCCATGCTGGAAATTCACCCAGGCTGGGTTCTTCAGACACGTGCTCGCAAATGTGGGTGGGGCACCAGCCAGGTCACAGTCCAGTCCTTCCGGGGCAGGTGGAGTGTCTCAGGCGATTGTGGTATAACTGGATGACAGCTCTGGCTGGGCTTGGCTGCGATGCCTTGGGCACCCCGAGGGGGGCATGGAAATGTAGGCTTGAGGATGGAATGGATTAGGAAAGGGGCCTTCTGCTCTCTGTCTCGCTAACAACAGTGAATACTTGCGTGGCAGCTGCCGCCCCTGTCTTAGCCCTGTGCTCTATGTGACGTCTGTGCCTCGTCACTGCCTTTCAGACGCTGGAGGAGGTGCTTGTGGCCATCCTCAGGCACCCCACCCTGGAGGGCTGGTTCCTGGCCCTGGAGCAGCAGGCCCTCCCGCCGCACACGCTCAGCCCTGTCCTCGTGAAGCTCCTGGCCACCCACTTTAGTGCAGGGGTCCTTCAGCTGCTGGCAGCAAGTGCCCCGATCCTCCAGAACATTGGGCAGCTGGGCCTTCTGGCCAGGTACTCAGAGGCCATCACCCAGAGTGTGCTGAAGGAACTTCAGAACAGGAGGGCGGGCCCGGCCACATCACCACCAAAGACCCCGCCGCAGCTGGAGGCCCTGCAGGAGCTGCATCCATACATGGAGGGTGCCCAGCTCCGTGAGGTCACCCTGGCCTTGCTGAGCCTGCCTGAGACACACCTGGTGACCCAGCAACCCACGAAATCCCCCGGGAAGGAAAGACACCTGAATGCTCTTGGAAAGACCCTGGTGCAGCTGCTGACCTGCAGCCCCCAGGATCAGCTGCAGAGTGGTGAGCTCCTGTGGTCCTCCGAGTATGTGAGAGGCCTGGGGGCTCTGCTGCCCACGCTAGCAGTGGACGAGCTGGACACAGTGCTCCTCCACACTCTGCAGAGAGACCCTGTGCTGGCCCCCGCAGTCGGGGCTGATCTGCTTGACTACTGCCTGGCCCGGCGCACACAGGCGGCCCTCAGCATCGCTGCCCTGCTCCTCCAGGAGAGCTGCACCCACTTGCTGTGGTTCGAGCAGTGGTGCCTGCAGGCTGGCCCAGGGCTCGGCCTCCAGGGGGACCTGGACGACTTCCTTCCCCTCATCCATGTGTACCTCCAGTGCAGGACACGGAGCCACTTCACACGCCCAGCAGGAGGTAAGGGAAAGGCTAGCTTTGGGCAGCTGGGGTCTTAAGTTGCACGGGCTAAGAAGGTGAACTGCATGGCCATTTTTAAACCCTAGAAATTCAGGTTCTGGGATGTGGGTTAGTTTCCAGTGTCTGACACAACTCTGAAGATGGAGAAAGGTGGAGTAATTCTCCCCAGTACCCTGTCTCCCTTCAGTCTCCCTACTTTGTGGCTTGAGGCACAGCCCATTGTGCCCCATCAGGTCTGAGTTCCCCCACATGAAGCTGGCGGGAGTTGGGTACAGTAGCGGGGGTTATTTAGGGCTGTCCTGTTACGTTGAAGGAGTTCTTGGGTGCCAATCCATCCCATGTCCCAGGGTTCCCTGCCCTCTGGGGAGATGTTGATGAGTTGATGTTGAGTCGAGGCAGCCTGGGTTCAGCTCTCTCTTCTGTCTCCACTCACTGGGTTTCAGAGCTGAGGCACTTTTCAATTACCCCAAATTTAATGTAATTCCCTTTTGTTGAATGCATGGGTGATTTTTACTCACCACTTTGCCTCTGTTTTGCATAACTTCCTATCATTGATGACAGAGGTTTTAAAAAGTAAGACAGTGCCCTGCAAGTCTTCTAGTCATAGTCCATTTAACATTGGTATAACGGAAGACCTGAGGATGAGTGATTTATAAAGAAAAGAGGCTTATTTGGCCCATGCGTCTGCAGGCTGTACAGGAAGCAAGGAGCTAGCGTCTGCTTCTTGTGAGGGCCTCAGGCTGCTTCCACTCATGGTGGAAGAAAAAGCGGAGCCAGCTCTGCAGAGATCACACGGCCAGAGGGGAAGCAAGAGGCACAGGAGGTGGCAGGCTCTTTTTAACACCTGGCACTCTGGGAACTAATAGGGTGAGCCAGAACTCATTCACTCTACCACAAGGACTGCACCAAGCCATTCATGAGGGACCTGCCTCCATGACCCAAACACCTCCCATTAGACCCCACCTCCAACACTGGAGATCACATTTCAACATGAGATTTGGAGGGGACAGACATCCAAACCATAGCAGCTACCCTCCCTATTCCATGGCTTTGAAGAATGAATCCCATATGAATTGAGAACCTTGGCACTCATGGTCTCATCATGAGCTTAGAAATAGCGTCTATAGCCAGGGCCCCCTGTGTTGAAGAGTATCCATCAAGAGTGTTGACTGATGAGATAGGGGAGGACCCTTGAAGGAGACAGGTGTGCCAGTTTCCATGGTGTCAGTACTCCTGCCGTGACCAATTTCAGGCCACCGGTGTGGCATCACCAGGGTCACAGGATACCTAAAATATAGCAACCAGTTCCTAGGAGCTGGTCCAAGCTGGCTGCAGCCCACCATTGGGTGTGATGACTTCTCCTTTGTATCTCTGCCCTAGTGTCTTCCGCTGTCATTCCTGTCTTGAGGAAGACCCTGTGGAGGCAGCTACAGAGCAGGCTTCTTAGCACTGACAGTCCCCCAGCATCTGGGCTGTACCAGGAGATCCTGGCACAGCTGGTCCCGTTTGCACGAGCCAAGGATCTCAGTGTACTCATGGACCGCCTGCCCAGCTTGCTTCACACCCCAAGCAGTCACAAGAGGTATGAAGGCTCAGGTTGGTTGCAGGATGTTCCACTCTCGGTGTCATTTTTTTTTTAATTCATAGAGTAAGTCATTGAAAAACTGCTGCATTACTGTTGTGCCCCATCTGTGATCAGGCAGTTCCTATGAGAACTCTACTTCCAGCCATCCTGCCTGGAGCTTGTACATCTCCACAAGTAGATGGCTGGGTCGGGTTCCCTGAGAGCCATGGATCTCAGCTGGGGGTGATTTTCTCCCAGGGGACAATTGACAATGTCTGACATCTTTTATTGTCACAACTAGGATGAGAGGGTGTTGCTTCTGGCTTCTAAAGGGTAGAATTATCTGTCCCATAATGTCAGTAGCACTGAGGTTGAGAAACCCTGATTTAGAAAAAGTCTGGACATACGTGTCCTTTTCCTGGTGTACTAATAGTATTTCCCTTGCTTGTAAAAATTTTGGTATATCTTTGGCATTTGAGTAAGAGTCCAGGGAAGCCTGTGATTCCTGTGAGTGGGTAGTGTGGGGAGCAGGACTCAGCATCTATCCCATATGGCTCTTTGTGATGCTGGATTATACGTAAAGTCAGAAGGATTTAAACCTGCTCTCTGTCTCTGACTCTCATCTCCTGCTGCAGGTGGATCGTGGCCGACTCCATTTCAGCAGCTCTGGAAGGGTCAGCAGAAGAGCTGTGTGCCTGGAGAAGGACCCTTTTGGAGTCCTGTGTGAAGTGGCTGATCGTGTCTTTCAGTGGTGGACAGCAAGATGATGATAATACTCAGAATCAGGAGAAGGAAATGCTGCTTAGATTAAATGCGTTGTTGGTAAGTGTCTTTTCTTAGAGATCCAGATTAAATTTCTGTGGGAAAGAGTATGCTAGACAAACCAAGCTATAGATGCATTTCAAGCCAGGTGGCATGAATATGGCCCTGTAGGAAATGAGAGGGGCTGTGTCTGGGGCAGAGTGGCAGATACTGGATAACCCCAGAATTGATGAACCATCTTTTATCAGGAATGGATGTTTGGATTTTGTCAAATGCTTTTTGTCAAGTGCTTTTTTCCATTTCAAGATGTTATATAATGTCTTGTTTTTTGATTAGTCTACCAATAAGATGAATTATATTAACAAATTTTTGAATGTTAAACCAACCTTGCATTCCTGGGATAAGCCTGCTTGATTTTGATGTGTTATTTTTATATATTGTTTGATTTGTTAATATTTCATTAAGAATTTTTGCATCTGTGTCCATGAGGGATATTTGTAATTTTATTTTCCTGCAATGTCTTTGGTCTTAAGGATTAAGTAATGCTGGCCTTATAAAACAAGTTGGGAAGTTTCACTGGGTATAAAATTCTATGTTGATAGTTTTTTCCTCCTTTAAGTATTTCAAACTTGTTGCTTTTCTGTCTTCTGGCCTGCTTTGCTTCCAGTAAGAAACTTGCCTTTCTTGCCTTTGTTTCTCTGTGTGTTGTGTCTTCTTTCTCTGACTGATTTTAGGATTTTTTTTTTTTACATGGTTTAAAGCAGTTTGATAATGATACACTTCAGGGTAGTTTTATTCAAGTTTCTTGTACTTTGGGTTCAGTGAGCTTCGTGGTCTGTAGGTTTATAGTTTTCACAAAATTTAGAGATATTTGGCCATTATTCCTCTCCATCCAGTGGGTGGCTTGATGATGGAATGACAGACTGGGCTCTTTTAGAGGGTTGCCTCCCTCCTTACCTGCCTTTTCTTTTAATTGAGGTAAGTTTACATATTTTGAAATATACAGAAATATGTGTACTTCATGTATCTGTGTACCCCACATTCCTATCCAAGAAGATTTTCATCATCCCAGAAAGTTTCTTGTGCATCTTCTCAAAATCCCCTTCCCTCCAAAGCAACCACTCTTTTGATTTCTGTAACCCTGAGGTTGTTTTGCCTGTTTGAGACCTTTGTATACTTGGAACCGTGCAGTATAATCATATAGTGTGTCAACTGTGATGCGTTTCACTTCTTTAAGTTCAGTGATGCTTTCCAGATTCATCCATGTGGTGGGAATAAGTAGTTTCTTACTTTTTGTTGCTGAGTAGAATTCTACTGTATGATGTCCACTCTCCTCTACCACTCATAAAATTTGGAATTACTGGTTTTTGTGATCACAGGGCTAAAAGACATACTCATTGCAAGTATTCACACTGCAAAAAATAGAGAAGAAAACAAAAAAAAAACTCCCATTACCCAGAGTCTATCTCATTATAAGTTTGGTGAATTTCCCTGTAGAAACCTTGTTATATATCTGTGTGTGTGTGATAAAATTATGTATAATTTTATATATTAATAGGATATTATGCATGCTGTGTGTAGCCTGGTCTTTTGTTTGTTTTTAGCATAATACCATATTTAGAGATTTTTTTTCCCCACCCGATGACTGCGGACCTGCTGTGACTTTGTTAGTGGTCAGTGGTAGATGGGTAAATGTACCATCATGTATCACGCAGTTGTATGATACTGGAGCTGTGGGTGGTTTTCCAGTTTTTTATTATGATAAAGAATGCTGTGATAAACATCTTTGCATGGTCCATTTTTGCACACTTGGCCATTTATGTCCAGTTGCAGGAAATGCTGGGGGAAAGAGAACATGTATATAAAAATGTGATGAGCCAGGCATGGTGGCACGCGCCTGTAATTCCAGCTGCTCTGGAGCGAGAGGAGATCCTGACCAGGGTTCCGGCTTTCCTGGTTCACAAGTTGGCACTAGTGCTTCCTGGAGCAGGAGACCACCAGGTTACCTAAGGAGAGGTGAACTGGCCTAGGTTGGAAACAGAACAGGTCAAAACTCCTGTGCTGATCAGTAGTGGGATTGCGCCTATGAATAGCCATTGCACCATTGCACTCCAGCCTTGGCAACCTAGCAAGACCCAATCTCTTTTAAAAAAGAAAAAAAAAAGTCACGAGTGTGAGATATACCTCAGCTGATGGGTCCAGGATCTCCTTGGATTTCCTTGTGATTTCTGGAACTGTGGCCTCCACTGCACAGCCAGCCTGGTGGGAGGCAGCAGCCTGCACACACACGGCCTGTAGCTGGTCTCTCTGGAGCCAGCATTGATCATCCAGTTCCACAGACCTCTTCATGTCATCCAACCCTGTGTCCTGGAGGCTGGGTAAAGGTGTCACACTAGTAGTTTTCATTGGCTATTTAATAAAAGGCTAATTACAAATCTATTAGTGCTATTTGAAATGATAGACAAAGGAAAAAAATAACAGGACTACTCAGGAAATTTCCTTTGACTATTTGATAAACACAATTATGCTGATAAAATGTCAGAGCTACTAGCAGAAATAACCAAACAATTTTTTTTAAGTTAAAAAAAAAAATCCAAAACCTTCATGCTCTTGTGGATTGTTTGGATGACTGTGTTTCATATTTACTGAATGGCCCTAAGTGTAATTTCATATTACATGGCTCTAAGTGCTCTAAGTGTAATTTCATATTCTGCATTTTAGTTTTTGTTTTAAGATTAATCTTGGTTCTGCTCTCTGCCCCTGTAAGTTTGAGCTATCACATGCTTGTCAAGAATTGTGCAAACAAGAGTAACTGCTCAGTGATTTTTCCCACGCACATTAATAAATTTGTATGCCTATTCTATTAAAAAAAAATAATCATTGCACAGAGAGTCCAGAACAGAGCAGCTGCTGGGTTGAATCACAAGTGTCAGAGCAGAAGGGGACACCAGCGCTCCTCTTTTCAACCCTTTGATCATGGGTTTTACAGAGGAGGTAGTCAGGCCATGGAGGCAGATGCCTTTCTGAAGGCTCTGCAGCTGGGGCCTTTTAGTATTTTGTAGACTGAGATGTTTCATGTGTTTTTCTTACTTATTTTATTCATAGCATGCACTTAATGAAGTTGATCCTGGTGACTGGCAGAAATTCGTGAAGAAGGGACTCAAGTAAGTTGATTTTATTTTCTTGGTGCCCTTCGGTAAAGGTGTGAATGTCGTTCAGCATGCAAAGCCTCTTTTATAGCTTGTTATTAGCATAATCCACGTGGTGGAGCCGATGTCACCTCGTTTTTAGAGATAGAAGTTGGAGAAGTTAAATGATTTGCCTCTTGACACAGGGTGCTTCTGATGATGAGAGAAGCAGTCTTTTAAAAGAACTATTTAAAGAAATACAGAAATGTGCAGAGAATAATAGTAGCCCCCACATTTAATACATGCTGACAGTTTTCTGTGTTTGTCCTGTTTCTTTCTCATCCCTCTGTAACCAAAGGTCAACACTCTTCTGAGGTTCTGCTTTGTCTCGTCAGTATCTTATTTTGTATTTTCATACACTGAGTGTTAGTATGTTGTTAAACAGTATTATTTAGCGTGTTTAACATTTTACACTAATGTATCATTCTTTTTTTTTTAATGTATCATTCTTTATACATCCTTTTGTTCACTGAGATGTTTCTAATTTACCCGTACTGATACTTGTAGATCTAAGTCATTCATTTTTACTGCTGTAGAATATTCGGTCTTTTGACTATATTCCAGATTACTTAGCCAGTCCTCTACTGACAAATGTCTAGGCTGTTCTCCCTATTCTCCCCTTTACATCACATCTCTCTCTCCCTCCCTCTCTGTTTTTCTCTTTCTCTGTCTCATTCTCTCATTCTCTCCCATTATAGTCTTACAGTCTCTATCATGTCTCTTGGGGTGGATTGGGGACTTACTAGCTTTTAGTGTGGGTGCATCTTCAGTTCTAGATGCTCAAACTGCTCTCCAAAGTTGTTGAGCAAATTTTTTGTTTTTGTTTTTGAGACAGAGTTTTGCTCATGTTGCCCAGACTGGAGTACAATGGTGTGATCTCGGCTTACTGCAGCATCTGTCTCCCAGGTTCAAGTGATTCTCCTGCCTCGGCCTCCCAAGTAGCTGAGTCCACAGGCACGCACCACCATGCTCGGCTAATTTTTTGTATTTTTAGTAGAGACGTGGTTTCACCATGTTGGGCAGGCTGGTCTCGAACTCCTGACCTCAGGTAATCCACCTGCCTCGGCCTCCCAAAGTGCTGGGATTACAGGCGTAAGCCACTGTGCCCGGCCAGCGAATTTGCACTCCCAACAGAGTGTGTGTCAGCGTTCATTTTCCCTTAACATCCTTCCTGACCCTTGATACATTCCAGCTCTTCAGTTTGGGGCAATCAGATAGTCATGCATTATTTTCATTTCCCTGACCATCCCATGAACTTGAAACAGAGAAAAGTATTTCACACAAGAGGAGAGAGAGAAGTGAGAGTGGGTGCCAGGTTAATGACAACTATAGGTTACCATCACAGAATTATGATATTTCTTTCCATCTTAGGTTAAAGTTATTCGTATAGGACTGAAAAACACTTTCTTTAGAGCGTGTTGCTTTCCTTTCCTTAGTGGGTTTTGAAGGGATTTAGGACATAGAAGGCTTCTGAACCATTTGATGGAAGTTCTGAGTAGAGGAGAGTGAGGAAGGAGGGAGGCCGGGCAAGGTGACCTGGGAGGCACTAAGTTGCCTCTTTCTCAGGCGCAGCTGTTCTCATGCCTCCTGGCGTTTCCACTAAGCAGGAAGTTCTTTTGGTGTTTGAGTCATAAAGAAAACAAATGCACTGGGCTGGGCTCAGTGGCTCACGCCTGTAATCCCAGCACTTTGGGAGGCTGAGGCGGGCGGATCACGAGGTCAGAAGATCGAGACCATCCTGGCTAACACAGTGAAACCCCGTCTCTACTAAAAATATGAAAAAATTAGCCAGGTGTGGTGGTGGGCGCCTATAGTCCCAGCTACTCTGAAGGCTGAGGCAGGAGAATGGTGTGAACCCGGGAGGCGGAGCTTGCAGTGAGCCAAGATCATGCCACTGCACTCCAGCCTAGGCGACAGAGCGAGACTCCGTCTCAAAAAAAAAAAAAAGAAAAAAAAAAGAAAATAAATGCACTGCATCCCTCCCTTGTTTTGAGAAGTGCTCCCTGTGTCAGTGGACAGACAAGACTGTGATAGAGCTATGCAGTGCCGTGTCAGTGGTAGAGCCTGGATGGTGGGTATAGGGTATTTGCTGCAAAATTCTCAACTTGGTGTTGTTTGAACATTTTCTTAATAAAATACTGAGAAAATGGCCGGGCGCAGTGGCTCATGCCTGTAATCCCTGCACTTTGGGAGGCCGAGGTGGGCAGCTCACCTGAGGTCAGGAATTCAAGCCCAACCTGGCCAACATGGTGAAGTCACGTCTCTACTAAAAATACAAAATTAGCCAGGCGTGGTGGTGCATGCCTTTAATCCCAGTTACTCTGGAGGCTGAGGCAGGAGAATCACTTGCACTTGGGAGGCAGAGGCTGCAGTGAGCTGAGATTGCACCACTGTACTCCAGCCTGGGCAATAGAATGAATGAGACTCCATCTCAAAAATAAATAAATAAATAAAATACTGAGAAAAAGAATCTTTATTGTTTCCTGTAAAATAAATTTTCCTTTTAGCAAAGCTCTTTTCCCTTTGACTCTCGCCGCCTAGATTTCGGTACCAGGACCACACATTTTTAAAGATGCTCCTCACCGCCGTACAGCTCCTGTACAGCCCAGAAAGCTCCGTGCGCACGAAGCTCATCCAGCTCCCGGTGGTCTACGTGATGCTCATGCAGCACTCGCTGTTTCTGCCGACTCTACTGACGTCTGACGGAGAGGAGAGCCCGGACAGCCAAGTAAAAGGTGACCCCTCACCCCAGCCCTTCCATTCCGTATCCAGATTTTATCTCCTGATTTCCTTACACTGGCTGCACTGAGGCTCATCTCCCTCCGGCTCTCGGAGCTAAGGAAGCATTGCCAAGACAGTGTCAGAATGTTTTATTTCTGTCAAATCCAGGGTGAAGAAATGTCTCCTCTGACTTGTGGTCAAACAGCAAATACAAACCTGTTTTCAAGGCCTTAACTGGCTTACAGAAGTTGTGTTTGAGATCTTAGTGCCGTTATCATGGGCTCATGTTAAAATCTGGGATCGAGGGGAAGTCACGCGTGGGAAAAAAGTGTGGGTGTCTAACCTGAGAGAAATTGATTAGTTGCATGAAATTTCTGCTTGGGAAGATTGAAACTTTTATCAAGGGAAAACGGTTGGAACTTGCCCATTGACAGTTCAGTGGTAAAGAACTTCAAAAGCCTAAGTTTAGGCTCCATCCCTAATTCAGTAAGGATTCACTTTAGTGCTCACAGGTCGGATGTCAGAGAAGATAATCCGAGGGTTCCTGCCCTCCTGACGCCACGCTCTGTTTAGACAGATAAAATTCACACCCGGAAGTATTAGCAATCACCACAGGGTCAGACTGTAATAAACTGCTATTAATAAGTCGAAGACAGCCATTAGCCACATCACTGGTATGGGTAGTAGAAAAACTAAAAGGGCTCCACCATTCAATTCAGGCAAGAGTAGACAGAGTAGAGGCTTTGGTAGCACAGTCATGGGGAAAACATGCCTGGATTGAAAATCTGTATTGGCTTAACATTTGGGAGGGGGAATGCGCAGGGACTGAATTCAGCCTTGTCAAAGGCCTAGGAAGAAAGGTGACTGTGGAGATGTCTTAATTGAAAAACACGTGGGGGGCTGGGCGCGGTGGCTCATGCCTCTGATCCCAGCACTTTGGGATGCCAAGGAGGATTGCTTGAGCTAAGGAGTTCAGCCTGGGCAACATAGCACGACCTCATCTCAAAAAAAAAAAGAAAAAAAGAAAAGAAAATAATAATAACAAAAAAATAAGCGGGGAAGGGATTAGATGGCAGTCCAAACACCAGTATTATTCAGAGGAGGAGATTTCCAGCATTTCAATGTTGCCTGGAAGGCTCTCTCCTCTTCTGGTATTCAGTGTGTCTGCCCCACCATGCCATGTGTTTCAGGGTTGTTTTCTTGCAGAAGCGCTGGTGGACCTGATGCTGACGGTGGTGGAGATGTGCCCCTCTGTCTGTGAGAGCAGCCACTTTGCAGTGCTTCTCGGGGCCTATGGCGCCACTCTCAGCGTCCTAGGTGAGGGTGTGAGGGCTGGGTAGTGTGAGCAGGGGGAGGGAGTGAGGGCCGGGGGTGTGAGCAGAGATAGGGAATGAGAGCTGGAGGGATGTGAGCAGGAGGAGACAGTGAGACCAGGCGGTGCAAGCAGGGTGAAGATATGAGGACCGGGCCATTTGAGCAGGGAGGGTATGAGGGCAGGTGGTGGGAGCAGCAGGAGGGTGTCAGGGGTTCATCTTCCTAAACCGATCCTGCTTTGACTTGTAGATCAGAAGATTTTACTTCTGCTTCGAGCGTATGAGCAGAACAAGCTCAGCCTCATCAACTTCAGGTGAGTGTTGGGCTAGAGGTAGACTAGGCCTTGAGGTCACAGCCTGCTCTCCACACAGTGAGCTCCAGACTCGAGATTTTCTCTCATTCCATTTTGGTTCTCAGGGAAAGAGTGAGGCAGGCAGCACTCCCCTGACTCACACTGGCTTCTGCATAGGGTGCTCTGGGGAAGCTTGGCCTTATGCCATAAGGCATCTGGGCAGGGCCACTGCAGCTGACTGATGGGTGCCTGTCTGTCTGGAATTGCCCCTGTTGTGCACTGTCAGCTGGACTGGGGTGTCTCATTTGGTTGATTTTTCTGAAAACTTTTCTGCTCATGCCTTTAGGTAGATTGACTTATGCCATAGGGATTTCAGGGGAAGTGTCAGGGGGCTCAACTGTACATAAAATCTCTTTTTTTTTGTCTGTATGTGCATGCATGCTTGTGTCTGTGTGTGCATGCGTGTATGTAGGTGGGTGTGGGTGTACATGTCTGTCTTTCCTGGGCTCCCAGTCTTTTGGTCAGGTGGGCTTTGGTCCTGCAGGGCTGAGTGTGACACCTTTCCCTGTGGGCCCTGCCTCACCTTTACAAGTGCCGCACCTAAGCAGGAGCTTGATCAAATGTGCCATTGATAGAATGCACTTTTGGATCCTCTTTGCTGCCCTAGAGTCTTCTTTTCTCCTTGCCATTTGGGACTAGCACTGGAACATCTGCTCAGTATGTACGTGTGTGTGTGTGTTCAGCCAGGAGGCGGGCTGACTGGGCCAAGGAAGATTGTTCAGGAGAGCTTGCAGGGAGGAGAAAACAATTTCCACGTCAAAGTACTTTGTTTAAAGATTAGAGCTGTATCAGCCCAGAAGCTATCTCCCAACCCTCCCCACCCCACAAAAAAAAGAAAGAAAAAGGAAATGAAAACATTTTTTTCTGTCTCTTAAGAATGCCCAGGGCTTGCATAGAAGCTCTTTTCCTTTCTCCTGCGGCAGCCTCGCTCTTTTGACGTCGGAGCTGGTGCTATGTCAGTTATGTCCTTTCTGGAGTAGAATAGCCCTTCTTATGTGAGGAAGAGGGGAGAGCAAGTCGGAGGCGGGTTTTATCACAGTGCAGCATTGTTCCAGCTACCCATTTCTGCAGAACGACCTCTAACACAGCAGAGAACGCCAAGCGAGGCTGCCCAGGGAGTCACAGGACAGGGCTGGCTGTGAAGGGAGTCTAGTTTCAGCTGCCGGGGAAGAGCGAATCAAGGATGTGCCGCTCACTGGCACTGTGGCTCTAAGGGGCACAGAGCATTTCCGCAAACAAAATAAACATCTCGTCCTTAGATGAGGGAGCAGGCCTGAGCTCGGGGAGCTGAGCTGGGGATCCTGGACGCTACGTGGCGGCTCTCCCGCCGGTCTGTGATGGGCAGTCTGCCGGGTGTGCCTGGCGCATGGGCTCTCTGCCTGCCAGAAACTGGGGTGAACAGCGAGCATTCCTGAAAGGATGATTCTTTCCTTTTCTGACATTAGTGACTGTTGTCGACTTGCACAGAAGCGAACCTGTATTTAGAAGAATTTTGTTTAGAAGTATTTAGCTCTATAGATAATGTTCCTTGATTGCCTGGAGGCGCTGGGCTTGGTGCTCTCAGGAAAACCTATGGGAATGAGATACAGTCTTCCCATCTGCTGAGGGTAACAGACTGTGAGAAATTTAGACATTTTTAAAGTGGCAGCTGACTCACGCCCCGTGATATAAACCAGCTCTTACAGGAGCACCAAGAGCCAGGCCCTATGTGCTCAAGACCGATTCGTGCCAGGGTTGGCATTTGGCGAGTCAGAGGGATTTAATTGAGGTGAGGTGGGCAGAGGGGCCTGGGGCAGCAGGAGGAGGAAACAGCATGCAGGAGTGGAAACTCAGGACATTTGGGGAAAGGGTGAGTAGCCCGGCTTATCGGGGTCATTGGATGTGTGCAGGGAAACAGGCAATGGGAAGGCCACGTGGATTGCCAGTGGAGGGTGAAAGTACCAGATGGAAGCATTTCCATTCCATCTGGGAGACAGCAGGGAAGCATTCCTCGTCACAGCTGGGCTCTGGGGAGCGGCCTGGCAGCAGCGGGGCAGCAGCAGGGCAGTGGATGGGGGAGGGAGGAGGAGAGTTGGGGGAAGTGCTAGGCTGGAGTCATTTTCTAGGAGGAAGGAAGGCAAGGTGGCCTCTGACAGCTGTGGTGGCGGTTGAGGTATGAAGGTTGTCCATAGCACACACATGGTGGGCTTAGCCGAAAGGCTTGTGTAGGCAGACCTGGTTCACTCGTGGCCACATGTGAGCAGTGAGAGATCAGAATTCTGCCGCTATGTTCTAGCATGGACTCAGGAGCCAGACTTCCTGAGTCTGAATCCCAGCCCTGCAACATACCATCTGAGCAGGTGAGCAGCTGAGCAACTTGCTTAATCCTCTCCGCACCTCTTTCCCCCATTTGCACAAGGGGTATAATAATAGTACCCACCTGATGGAGATGTTGTGCAGATTGAGTGAATTGATCTACATGAAGGGCTTAGAATAGGGCCAGCTGAGTAGACACCAGCTTCTGTCGTCATCACTGACACTGTCACCCACCCTCAGCCTCACCATCACCACCACCCACTTCGTAAGCTGTGATGGGATTGAGTGATATAACACGTCGCATGCTCAGAACAGCACCTGGTGTGAACTGGCAGCCTGACAACTGCTACCTGTTGTTGTTATCATGATTAATTCTGTTCCCGGGGGGCTCTGTGACCAGTCTCTTTTCCCTTTTCTGGCTCTAGGGTGCTGCTGTGGGGCCCAGCGGCCGTGGAGCATCACAAGACGTGCCGGAGCCTGGGCAGGTCACTGTGGCAGCAGCCGAGTGTCGGGGACATCCTTCGCCTGCTGGACCGGGACCGGATGATGCAGACCATCCTGCACTTCCCCCAGAACCGGAGGCTGCTGCCCCCCGAGGTTGGGCTGCTGCTGTTCTGTCCCTACCCACCCCTTCACCCCAGCCTCAGGGGCTCCATCTGCACCCTCAGCTTCGTTTTTCTTGTTATTTACCTTTTTATTAAGTAAGAATCTTATCATATATAAAGGTATAGAGACCAGACCCTCATAAGCCCACCGCCCAGCTGCAACAATGATCTGCACTGGCCACGCTTGTTCTGTTTATACCACTCTGTTCCCCTGCCCCCAAGGAGATTATGTTGCAGCACATCCCAAGGATCCTATCATTTCATGTACAAGCACTGCTTTTTACACAAGCACTTTGCTTTATGCCCTTAAATATTCAAAATAATTTGAGCTCTGGCAGTAGAGGGTAAACAGTTATGCCATACAGGTTGAGAATCTCTAATCTGAAAATCCCAAATCTGAAATGTTCCAAAATTTGAAGCTTTTTGAGCACTAACATGAGATAGAGACGCCTTTGCTTTCCTGAGGGTCAGTGTACAGAGACTTTCTTTCATGCACAAAATTATCTTAAATTCCTGTATAAAGTTACCTGCATGCTATGTATATTACGTGCATATGAAACATAAATGATTTGTGTGTTTAAACTTGGCTCCCATCCCCAAGATATCTCATTATGTATGCAAATATTCCAAAATCTGAAACATTTCTGATCCCAGGTGTTTCAGATAAGAGATACTCAACCTGTATTACCTTTGTGAGGTTGAATCACACGTTTTTGTTGATTTTGGCTCTTTCAGGACACACAGGAGCTGATATTCAAAGACAAAAGCAGGGTGGATCTTGATGGCCTCTATGACCCCTGCTTTCTCCTTCAGCTCTTCAGTGAGCTGACCAGGCCAGGTAACTGCAGTCTTCTCTTGGGTCAGGGCTTGCTATGCATGACTTCTCAGAGGTCAGGTTGATTATGGTAATTATTGCCATAATTACCACATGAGGACCTGAATCTTGGAAATAATTCTTAAAGGATCTTCAGCCATCCTCATCTGTTCATTCCAGTGATTTTCAGCAAAGTCACAGTTAGTATTTTGAACATACAGTGATTTAAAAAAAAAAATTGTAATTTTAAAATCTGGAAATGTCCAATTGTCTTTGATGTTTTCCTAATTCCTAATGATGAACATTTTCTGCATTTTTATTAGTTACTGGTCAAATACCAACAGAAATGAGAGATTTTAGTCCTGATAATGGGTCAGCCTGCTGAGGTTGCCTTTTTCTTGGCTTAAGTACATTTTGGAAATTATGTTTTGTGTCTAGTAGCCTCAGAGTGGGAGTCCTTGTGGGTGAATGGGTTGTGGGGAGAGAAAGAAACACTTCCATGTAACGCACATTGAGAAACACTGAGATTGATCTTCCCAGGCTGGTCAGGTCTCTTGGTTGGGAGCATTCTGACAGTGTGCAGGGATAGCTCATTGTGGCTTGAATTTGCATTTTTCTAATGGCTAATGATGTTGAACATCCTGTGGCTTATTTGCTATCTGCACATCCTCTTTGGTGAAATGTCTGTTCATGTCTTTTGCCCATTTTCTAATGGGATTTTTTGTTTTTTGTTTTTTTAACTATTGAGTTTGGGGATTTTTTTTTTTTTTTGTCTTTTGTTTTTTTAACTTGAGTTTGGGGATTTTTTTTTTTTTTTTGTCTTTTGTTTTTTTAACTTGAGTTTGGGGATTTTTTTTTTTTTTGTCTTTCTTTTTTCAACTATTGAGTTTTGAGTGTTCTTTATATATTCCAGATACTAGTCCTTGGAAGGATTTGTGGTTTGCAAATATCTAACAATCCGTAGCTTATCTTTTAATCCTTTTAACAAGTTCTTTCACAGAGCAAAAGCTTTTAATTTTGATGAAGCCCATTTGGTCAGTTTTTCCTTTTACGGATCATGCTCTTGGCATCTAAGAACTCTGTCTACTCCTAGATCCTGAGGAATTTTTCTTATGTTTCTATCTAAAAGTTTCTAGTTTTACTCTTTAAATTTAAGCCCGTGATCTGTTTTGAGCTCACTTTTCTGTGAGGTGTGATGTCCAGGTCTGGATTCATACTGCTTCACCTGTTGTTGTCAGTTGTTACAGCCTCTGTGTGTTGAAAAGTCCATCTGTCCCGCTTGTGACTGTTGGTTGAGATGGGGGTCCCAGCTGCTCACTGGGCCTCTGCAGGTCTTTCCTGGCGGGGACAGGTAGAAGTGGGGGCTGCCCAGTCACTGCTGGGCATGCTGAAAGTCCTTACTCTCTGCTAGGCTTCCTCTGACACCCCAGTGGGGGCAGGAGGAGTGTACTGTCACTGCCCAGGAGAGGAACATCCTGCCTCCCTACTTGGCCTTCTCTCATGCCACCCCAACAGGGGATTTGGGGCTCCTCTTTCCAGCCTGGCAGGGGTGGGAGTCTAGGCTCCACCTTTGCTGGTGTGGCTGGGAGTGGGGCACAGTGAAGTGTTTGGCTGAAGTATCGCCGCTCTTGGCTCACAGTTTTCTGTCTTGCTAGGCAGCCCTTTTTCCATTCTTTTTTGTTAGAGAGAACAGGCTTTTGTTCCGGCCTTTGTGTGTGTGAGAGCCTGTCGATGTTTCCAGGTTGCTGACTTGAGTTCTAAGTCTAGGACAAATGAGGCAAGAAGACAACCCAGGAACGCACTCCCTTGTTCTTTGGGTCTCAAGGTCTCTGACTGGTCTGCTTTCTTTCTACCTTCCAGAATCATCTTATATTTGTTCTACATATGATGCTCAGTATTTTTAGTTCTACTTGATAGGAAGAATAGGAAAAAGCATGTCTACTCCATCTTGCCAGAATTGGGAAGTCTAAGTTCATTAATTTTTAACATTAGGTAATACATTCACAGTTTGAAATTCAGCAGGTGCTGAAGGGTATACAGGGAAAATGCACTTCCTGCCCTACCTCTGGCCACAGTTTCCTCATTCTAGAGGGAGAACTGTTGCAGTTCCTCATGTTTTCCTAGGTCCAGCTTGAGATTCCAGTGGGGTGTGCTGGGGGTGTGGCGGCACACATTTTGCTTCTGTGCTGGTTCGCGTGATCCCTGAATGGACTCCCAGACTTCACAACTGGGGAGATTTAGGTGCACTGGGGAGACATTGTTCCACTATTCATCCTGTTTTCCTCCTTTTTAAACTTGAAATTTTATTTTCTCAACAAATGCTCCTACTTCTGAATAGATTTGCCAATCCTCTATCAGTGCCCTTTGTATCCCTTTTAAAAAGATCAAAGAGGCTAGGATATCATAGAGATCTTCCCATCAATAGGCCTTTGTGTTGGCTCTAGCTCCCCATGGTGAGCACTGTGCTCTGTTGCTGAAGCTGGATTTTGTTTGCAAGAGAGCAGGGGGCATTTCATACAAATGTCAGATTACGGTAATAGCAAATGGATATCTTAATTGCCCTGATGGCGATTTTAAGCAGCAGGCTAACTGCAGCAGATCTCCTAGTCAGTGGCCAGGAAGCTCTTCTGATTTCCCCTGTGCCTCAGTGGTGCTGCTAAATCTGTTACTCATCAAACATGGAAATAAAGTTTCCATACTCTAAAAAAATGCAAGACTACTGGACCTTTTAACTTTAGTGAATTATAACAGATAGAGCTTTCAGGAGAAAAAGGCTTGGAAAAAGTTTAATAGCAAAATCAGGATGTTAATTTTCATGAAATCTTGAGTACTGTGCTTTTTTTTTTTTTTTCCCTTGGTCTGGGAGGACTTTTTTGAAGAGCTGTCATTAGTAAATGGTCTTTCAAATTAGGAAAATGTACCAGGTACCAGTTTCCTTACCTTAAATTTCCAAATACGACTATTTAAGTTTTATTGGTTTAATACAGGTAGAAAAATTTGCAGAGCTTGCCTATCCCAATTTGAAAAGGAATTGCAATAGTCAAAAATTTACACGAAAAATTCATATCAAAGTAGAACATTTCAAAAGGCATACAGGTGGAGAGGGAAATGGATATACCCAAAAAAAAAAAAAAAAAAAAAAACACTCCCCAAAAAGTACATTTCTTAGATGTTGCTCTGAGCATCTTGTCATCCCAAACGAAAGATGGAGGCCTGGTTTTTAAACAGATTTCATTGACTGCTGAAAGGAAGCACACTCATTCATTGGAAGAGGCAAATTCCTGGCACTAAAATAGTTGAAGTGTGACACATAGAAAAGTCAGTAGTGGTGACACCACCAGTGAGATCAGGGCATAGAACAGTAAGCAGCTCCTCAAGCCCCTTCCTCCCTAGAAGGGGCCAGCATCCTGTATTTGAACTTCATGTAAATGGCGATACACATGATGTAATCTTTGCTGCCAAGCTGCATCTATCCCATGTTACATTTGTGAGATTCAGCTATGCAGAGTGTAGCAGAAGTTCTCAACTGTATGTTTTTACTTCCTGCGGTGGCATCTGGGTCCAGATATTGCTAAACTAACTGCAATCCTAAATTGAGCATCCAATTAATTTTTATATGTGGCTGCCAGTCTTGAGAGTAATTACAGTCCCACTGCTCCGTTTTCAGCCCTTTGCTGGAAATGGGAACCTATTTTCTTAACCTTATTCCTTCCCTTCTTTGAGTCCTTGGCCAAGAAACAGGGCCAGCCAAGGCTGTTAGCAATGGCAGTGACAAATGCTTTTTCCACAGCAAACTCTTGTCCTCAACAGAACTGGGCTGAAATCTACAGCTCATAATTCACACATGCCACAAGGCAGCCAGAACAGGAAGCCCCATTTGCAATTCTCTGAGCCTCATCACTAGATGACCAGAGCACGCAGGCTCCTCTGACTCTTCTCACTGTGATGAGTCTAGCCTATTGGGGTGCCTCTGGGGGATATTATGTAAAAAGAGGTGTAAGGAAGATTTCTGATGCTCCAACAGCAGTTACACTGCTACTGAAGCCCACTAATACTGGGGCACATTTTTTTTTAAGAGTCAGGGTCTCACTCTGTCACCTAGGTTGGAGTGCAGTGGCATGATCATGGCTCACTGTATACCCAAACTCCTGTTCAAGCCGTCCTCCTGCCTCAGCCTCCTGAGTAGCTAGGACTGCAAATGTGCACCACCATGCCTAGCTAATTTTTTTTTTTTGGTAGAGACTGTATCTCTCTATGTTGCCAGGGGAACTCCTGGCCCCAAGTAATCCTCCCACCTCAGCCTCCCAAGTTGCTGGGGGATTACAGCACCTTGGGAGGCTGGGTGAGCCATTACACCCAGTTCTGGGGCAGTTTTAATTTTAATCCTTGATAACTGTCCTGGTTAAGCCATTTTGATCTGAAGGTCTGTTAAGGCCACGTTGCTATTCATGAGGTTCTTGAAACAAAGAGAATGGCATTTATAACTATTTTTAAATAGCCTATCATGTTTTCAGCATTCTGAGGGCGGCTCTTTTCCATAAGTGTTACAAAGCCAAGATTTTCATAGAGTAGCAGAGATGAGCACAAAACAGGAAACTGACTTTTCCTCATGGACACGTGGAAAATCCATTTGTCTTAGAATGTCAGTGATTACTAAAAATATCCCAGCCAGCTGAGTATTAGCTGCTTTTAGTGAGTATAAACTAAATGTTTAGACTTTTCTCTTTCCCAAATGTATTCCATTTACCTATATTTGTTATGTACTTATGTAGGTGTCTCTTAAACACATTTCTTCCATCTTTTGTAAAACAATATAATTGTATCTAGTTTGGTGCTTTTAAAGCTTTTGGATTTCTTTTTCCCTCTTATCAAAAACAGTCACTTGTGAGAAATAAGAAAATTAGGCTGGGCACGGTGACTCATTCCTGTAATCCCAGCACTTTGGGAGGCCAAGGCGAGCTGATCACTTGAGGCCAGGAGTTTGAAACCAGCCTGGCCAACATGGTGAAACCCCGTCTCTACTAAAAATAAGAAAATTAGCTGGGCATGGTGGCACATGCCTGTAGTCCTAGCTACTCAGGAGGCTGAGGCACAAGAATCGCTTGCACCCGTAAGGTGGAGGTTACAGTGAGCCAAGATTGTGCCACTGCACTCCAGCCTGGGCGACAAAGGAGACTCTGGCTTTAAAAAAGTAGAGATAAGAGAATTAGAAAATTTTGTTCCTAAACTGCTATGCCCAAGAGTCATCTGACTATGCTCTTTTCATCCTTTCACTTTTAGTCTATGTCTTGATATTGAAAATGGGTTTCTTGAAGGCAGCATGTACCTAGGTTCTGCTTTTTATCTAATCTGACCATCTCTGCCTTTTATTTTGGAGTGCATACATCATTTATATTTAATGTGATTATTGATCTGACTCTATTTTATCTCTTGTTGACTTTTACCTGCAACTTTTGTATGTGTATGAGTGCATGCATGCATATTTTTACTGGTTGCTTTAGGGTTTATAGTACACATCTTCAATCTATTATAGTTTATCTTCAAGTGAGATGATACCACTTCATGTATAGTATAAGGACCTTGTAACAGTATAGATCCATTTCCTCCCTTCTGGCTTTTCTGCTATTCTTGTCATGCATTACATTTCAGTATGCTATAAACCCTACAATATAGTGTTGTTTTTGCTTCAAATTGTCATTATTTCTAAAAGAAGTGTAAATATTTGATATTTGCCATATTGTTACCATTCCTTTGTGTAGATCTAGATTTCTATCTGGTATCATTTTTCTTCTTCCTAAAATACTTCCTTTAAGAATTCTTATTGTTCAAGTCTACTGGTGACCAATTGTTTTAGCTTTTTTGTGTCTGAAAAAAGTCTTAACTTTTGAAAGATTTTGATACTGGTGACCAATTGTTTTAGCTTTTTTGTGTCTGAAAAAAGTCTTAACTTTTGAAAGATTTTGATGGGGTATAAAATTCAAGGTTGACAGTTTTTTTTCTTACAGTACTTTAAAGAAGTTGCTCCTCTGGTTTCTGAATTGAGTTATTTCTGACAAGAAATCTGCCATTCTTATCTTCATTCTTCTGTATGTCATGTGGCTGCTCTTAAGATTTTTTTTAAATCACTGGTGTCAAACAATTTGATCACAATGTGCTTTCGTGTGATTTTCTTTTATATATAAATATATATGCTTTATTTGTGATGATGCTTGCATGATATTCTTAATGTTTTATGTTTTGAGTTTCTTGGCTGTCTAGGTTTATAGTTTTTTTTGGTCAGATTTCAAAAAGTTTTGGCCATTATTTCTTCGGATTTTTTTCAGGGACCCCCTATTACACATACCCACAGGACACTGATGTTCTGTTCATATTTTTCCTCTCTGTGTTTTCAGCTTGGATAGTTTCTATTGCTGTCTTAAGTTCGCTAATCCTTTTTGGTCTAGTGTCTAATCACTGATAATCCCATCTCTATTGGTCCATTCTTGCACTGGTATAAAGAACCCGAGACTGGATAATTGATCAAGAAAAGAGGTTTAATTGACTCATGGTTTCATAGTCTGTGTAGGAAGCATGGCTGGGGAGGCCTCAGGAAACTTTCAATTATGGTAGAAGGCAAAGGGAAAGCAGGCACATCTTACATGCCAGAGCAGGAGGAAGTGGGGCAGTGCCACACGCTTCTAAACAACCAGCTCTTGTGAGAACTCACTAGCATGAGAACAGCAAGGGGAAATCTGCCCCGAGATCCAATCACCTCCCACCGGAGTCCCCACCTCCAACATGGGGGTTTGTAATTCAACATGAGATTTGGGTAGGGCCACAAATCCAAACCATTTCACCATCCAATGCATTTTTCAGCTCAGATATTTTAGTTTTCATCTCTAGAAGCTTGGTTTTGGGTTTTTGTATCTTCTGTGTCCCTGCTTAAAATGCTTTATCTTTCTTTAACTTTTAAAAATGTCATCAATGGACTATCTCTTATTGATGTTATATTCCATGATTACTCATTTGGAGTAGTCATTTCAGTTGGCTTGTGTTTGGTTCCCAATTAGGCCACTGGTCACTCTATCTCGAGAACATCATTGTGGATAATTATCATGATCAGTTTAATCATTAATAATTAATTCCTATTCTAAGGTTCTTCTTGACAGTATTTATCTTGTAGAATAGCCTGGGTTTTTATTAAGGAGTGGGAAGGTGTCCTCAGTTTCGTTAGTGAAGAGCCCTCTAGGTTGTGGTAAGGCGCATCCCCTCATGTGTCTGACCTTCTCCCTCTCTCTGTGAGTCTTCTCCTCTCCTCTAGTGATTGTCAGCTTCTCTCGGCCTCACAAATGGCAAATGGATACCAGCCAACAGGCTCTCTGGACCGTAGCTTTTGCTTAAGCTTGATGAGCCACTTTTCTGTGAGACTTGTGTTGTTTATTTGAAGGAAGAGCTAGGGTTGCAGAGTGGGTGTGAGTGAGTCCTTTGTCGGGCTGGTTGGCATCAGCTGCCTTTTCCTGCTTTCACTGCTGTGTGTGCTTTCCTCGGTGATGCTTATAGACAGGCGCCCGCGGTGGAGGGCTGAGCAAGGTGGAAGCTGGGGACTGATTTTCTCTGCTGATTCCCAGTTGTGTTCCCCAGGCCTCTGGCATGCTGGGGTCTCCGCAGTGGGTCTCAGTGTCACCTCCAATATCCTGACTCATTGGGTGTTTATGAGAAATAATGAAATTATCCTGGTTGGGATGTATGAGCATTTTAGAAACTGAAGGTATGGTCATTATTGCCACATAAAGGAAGAGGTTTTTTTGTCTAACTTCAGCAGAAGTTAGGAGGAGTTGGAGAGAGACTTGCATTCCTTGTGCTTGGCACATGTAGCTATTGGTAAGACACAAGAGGAAATTTAATTCTCCAGGTTAACAAGAATAATAAAATCATATTGTGTGTGTTTCATGCTGTATTTCATTTCCTGCAGAGTTTGTGGTGGATTGTCGAAAATTTTTGGATTCAAATGCTCTGGGCCTAACTGTCACAGCCCTCAGCAGCTATGACCCCCAGATGCGAGCCATAGCCTACCATGTCCTGGCGGCCTACTACTCGCACTTGGAGGGCGCACGGTTCCAAGAGCAGTCCCAGGTAAGTAGGAAGAGCGTACATCCTACTGTGGGGGTGGGCCTGGCGGACTTCAGAGAGCTGGCTGTCCACCCGGTTTGGTAGAAGGATTTACTAGGGAACACGGAGGTGGCATGTTGCCGGGAGATCTCTGCTGAAGAGCAAAAGTCTGTTCCCTTAGGAGGTGATCCCGGAGGTCGCCTTTGATCCACAACCCCCCGTGGAGGTTGAGAAAGGTTTCTCCTTACAGGCTTTCTTGTGTTGTGTGTAGACAAAATTATATGACTTCTACTGAGTATTTCTTTGGTCTAAACTCAGTGGTTAAGGTGGCTATTATCCACGACACACTGAACCTTAGAAACCTGTACCCCATGGTGCTGGAGGAACAAGAGCAGATTAGATTTTCAGGGCATGGTGCCAGACTTCTCTCTGCTGTTGTGCACCTGACTGACTCCTAAAATAAAAACGAAAAGCGTTCCGGAGATGCTGGCAAGTAGTGTGTCTGCTCCTGTGAGCTTCGTCTTCAGTGGCCCCTGGGATATGAGAAGCAGGCACACCCTGCCGAGCCCTGGTTCGGCTGCACCAGAGAGGACTGACCATAGCTCTGAACACGCTCATCTTACATTTTCCTTTTCTGTTCTGTTTTCAAGCTACTTTACCTGTTGGATGTAGTCCGGAATGGGATTCGAACTCAGGACATGAGACTTACTTTTACCTTGGCTCTCTTCATTGCCAAAGCAGCCCTGCAGATTTTGAAACCAGGTACCACTGACATAATTAGGTTGAGGGGAAATTGAAAAGCTGAAGCTGAGCAAGTCTACTTCTAGGGATTAGTCCCACAGGTATAGTGGGTCACACATCTGTGTTCAAGGCCACTCCGTGCTCATGATTGTGGAAGATGAGGAGCCACCGAAGTCCCCATCAGCTCTGGACAGTAAATAGGTGATGGCTATGAGGAAGCTCGTCATGGACCCCTGGGGGGTGAAATCCAGAAAAAAGTAGATGGCAAAGCAAAGTGCAGAACAGTATTTATAATGGAGGGAAAGAGTATATATTCATATTCGCTTGTAGTTATAGGAAACTGTGGTGAGAGCAAATAAAACTGAAGTTAAAATGTGGGCCAATCACATCATAGGGATTGGAACCCAGGGGCTGAAAGCGTGGACACAGCCAGACGGTCCTGGACTTCCCCATGCCCGTTTCCTCCTCTAAGATGGGGTGATGATCGGACTCACTGCCTCTAGCATTGCTGTGAGGGTGATGAGGATCACACACTTTTTTTGTTTTTTGGAGACACGGTCTGGCACTGTCACCCAGGCTGGAGTGCAGTGGCATGATCTCGGCTCACTGCAACCTCGACCTCCCAGGCTCAGGTAATCTCTTACCTCAGCCTCCCGAGTAGCTGGGACTACAGCGAATGCCACCACGCCTGGCTAATTTTTTGTAGAGACAGAGTTTCATTATGTTGCCCAGACTGGTCTCAAACTCCTGGGCTCAAGCGATCCTCCTGCTTCAGCCTCCCAAAGTGCTGGGATTACAGGTGTGAGCCACCATGCCTGGCCTAGATCACGCACACTAACACACATGTAAGTGCCTGGCACAGTAAAAACTCATCAGTGATAGCTGCCGTCACCATCACCGCCATTATTCATCATTGATTCATGCTTAGGCTCACGGGTCCTTAGCTACAAAGCTTTTGGTATGTGAGTACTGCACATGTGTAATCCACGCTGTTAGAACAAGGCTCCTTTTTGTTACAGGAATGGGGGTACCACTGCTAAGATAGTGTGACTAGAAGTTAGCTCATTCTAAGACTTTTTTTGGTTATTGAGAGAAAAATCATAGAAAGTTGGTACCATCAGGGACCACAGGGTGCTGTTTCCACCTGTATCCCCCATACTCACTAACTGAGGCTCCCAAGGGTAGATAGCTTGTCAAGGCCCCACAGTTAGTTCACAGTCAAGTTGCTATTAGAATTCAGATCTCATTTTCATCTGCTCCCATTTCATTTTATTCCATGGATTTACTTGCCTTGGAGATTTGGAAGGGGAAGAAAATAATTGGCAGAGACCATGATGGTTTTGGTCCTGGGTGTGGCTGTGTCCCACACCGGTGCTCATGTCGGGGTGGAGCGTGTGCAGGGCAGCATGGTCATGGGGTAGACTCATTGGTGATCCAAGGATAGGAGGTAGCAGGAGCTAGGGTGTCCGTTGCCCTCTGCGTTGCTGCATTCCAGAGGCACTCAGTAGTGTCTGAGCCTCCCCCGCTGTGACGGTTCCTTTCAGTTAGAAGCTAGAGGCAGGTGCAGCGGGTGGGTGTGGTGTCAGCCCTGATCTGTGGGATGTGTGACCAAGTCCCACCCTTCCCACCGGCTGGTTTGAAGCCTGTGCTGTAGGACGGTAGCTGGGGAGGCGGAGGGTGCGAGGTCCCTGAAGGACTCAACATCCAGCAGTGGTTTCAGAGCTAGGAGAGCAAGCCCATGTGTGGTATGGAGCTGACGTGTTGAATTCTGTTCTCATTCTCAAGAGCCAGTCCTCTGGGTCAGGACACAAAAGTTCCTGGGAGGGGATTTATGTCTGATACCCAGAATGCCTGCCTCTTAGTGCTGCCAGACCAGGGGGCGTCCTGCTGGGGCCTGCCATGACTGACTGACTGCCTGTGTTCTCAGAGGAGCACATGTACCTGAAGGTCAGCAACTTCCTGCTGTCGCATGAGTACTTGAACATGGACAAAGTGCCAGGCTTCTACCAGTTCTTCTACAGCTCCGACTTTGAGGTATGCTTCCAGAGTCCTCACGGCTTTCTGCAGGCCCCTGAATTGATGATGCAGCCACCGTTGTCATTCTGACATTTCCCCATGGATCCTGTATGCTGCACGGCCAACACGATTGTGCAGTCGGTGGCCACGCAGGCCTGCACTTCGGAATGTCTCCGTGCTGTTGGCTCACTTCTACATGGCGCCTCAAACCTTAAAAACTCTGCTTCAGAGTCCTGAGTTTTACGACATTCTCATATTTTCTTGGTGAATCACTGGGTTAAATATTAAATTCTGTTTTTAGATATTCATATTAAATATTCTTTTATAGAATACTTATCTGACTTCAGTATTTAAACTTGACTCGATCCTCTATTTCTGACCTGAAGAAATGGAATCAAAGATGAGATCAGGGATTTTTCATAATCAGACATGGAGGTCAGGGCTGCTGTGTTACAACTTTTGCCACCACTTAAAATAGTGGTGTTTGAACAGTTGTCAGATGAAAGGACTTTCACTTATTAACAACAGTTTTTTGTGTGCCTGGGTTATAGCAAAAAACAGAGCAGAAGTGGGTGTTTGGCGTTCTGCGGCAGGGGATCCGTGACAAGCAGTGCTACGAACTGTGTGCCCGGCGTGGCATCTTCCACATCATCCTGTCCTTCTTCCACAGCCCGCTGTGTGACGAGGCAGCACAGGTACATGGGTTCCGCAAGCTTATTTGAGAGCGAGAGGTCTGTGCCCCTTCTTAAGATTTTATCTGGAAGTCAAGTCCGTATGAATTCAGTTCCCAGCCTGGACACGACCGACCTAACCCTGGCTCTCAGTTAGGGGAAGTGAGATGTTGAGAGCGCCTGTCCTGTTCCCTGCATGCAGAGCAGGTGGATTCACTTGAGGCTGCAGTGTTGTGACCCCCAGTGTCATTTGTCCTCTAAATACTCTTCACTGCAACCCTCCTACTGTGTATACGGCCCTTGGCATATACGAAGGCCATCAGTGGGGGGTACTGATCAGTAATCATGAGCCTTCAGAGTGGTCACAAGTCTAGAAACCCCCTGTCAGTGACTGAGGTACTCTGAGGCACTTTTGAATCACCAGGATTCCACCTACTACAGAAGTTGGGGGTTGTCAGAACTCATTTAGAAAGCAAGGGTCAGGTTGAAACAGACAGCCTCACCTAGCCAGTCAGGAACCAAGAGCTGGTGTGTGTACCTTCTAAATATTACAGGTAGGTGGTAGAAGGAAATAGGAAAAGCTTTTAGTATTTTGATTAATTTCTAGCGTAGTCAGCTTTTGTTTCTCATATGTAAAATGTGGGTAAATAGGAGTAAGTCAAGATTAAGAAGCCCATTTGAATAAACTGAATTTGAGTATAGTAACTTTTTGTTTTCTATGGCATGTGAGAATTCTGAAGCACCCCATGAACAAGTCAGGGGACCATCCCATTTTTATGTCCTCCCTTCCAGGTGGTAAACACAGGGCCGCATGGCTCGTGGCTGGCGGCCAGCAGCTGGCCTGGAGGCGGGCCCTCACGCACTCCCTGTGCCGGTGGCTGCGCATCTGGGCCATTTGGCTTCTGTGGTGCATCTTTGCTTGTGGGTGGGTTCCAGATGATGGATTAACGGAAGTGGGGATCCCCGGGCCCAGAGATTGCTGTGGAAGTCTGTGTCCTCTGGCTGTCTCTTGTAGGGAAGGGCACGTTCGTACATGGCCACCGCTCTGACGGACTTAGCAAAGCAGGCTTCATTTGCAGCCACCACCTGTAATGGCACCATACCATTAATTTTTAAAACGGTTTCTTTAATCAAGTAAAGTGGGTTTTCTCACTGAAGAGTAACTTCTTGTTTGGGGTTTTCAGAATTGGATTCTGGAAATTCTACAGAATGCTGCCCAGGTTGCCAGATCTGCGTATGAAATCATACGAGACTATAGCCTTTTAACATGGATTTTACACATCCTTGAAAGCAAGTAAGTACCTTTTGCATGCGAGGTGCGCGTCAGGTGGGAAGGAAAGGAACAGAAACGATGACGTCTGCTGCCAGCTCTGTTGTTGGTTGGAAATGTCCAGTAAAATCCATGCTCTCTGAAATGCAGTGTCCTCCAATGCTACCATATGCCTGGCAGTCCCGTTCCTGGCAGTGCCAAAGTGCCTTTCCTCCATTCACAGCCTTTCCTTGAGTGTCTCTTGTCTGCCATGGGACAGCAGACACCAGCTGCTGTTCACATCTGGCAGAGTCTCCGCCAGCCTGTCTGGCTCTGTTCTGCACAGGTCAGACTCCTCCCCGGTGTCCCAGCAGCCTTCTGTGCTCTGAAGTGAATGTCCTGTTCTCTAAGGCTTTAGCAGCTGCAGCCCTCTTGCAGGAAGGCCGGTCTGACGGGTGACAGGGCTCTGCTGTCAGTGCAGGGTCTCTGTCCTCAGTGATGAGCCCGCATTAGAGGAGCAGCACCAGGGGTCTGAACTTGATGATTTATTGTGATTCCTGATTCTCCTGCTGTTTGAGACTGTCTGAAAAGATGAAGACCCTGTCACAGCAGACAGCACTTGGCGGGAGGGCTCTGTCTTACAAAGAACTAACTACTATAATAAGCCTGGGAGAATGCAGGCCCTTTTGTGCATTTTTTTAAAAGCATTTCCTGAAATTTCTCTAAAAGAAACTAATATATCCAAGTACATCTGCAAACAACAAAAAAAGTGGGTGGGGGGAAGAAATTAATATCCAAAATTAGAATGTGTATTTGGACATCAACTTCAAGACTGTTTCAGGTTTATAAAAGGCACAATTAGCTAATGTTCCTGGCTTATAGTGTCTTGTTTTAGAAATTGAGTTGTTGTCATGAACAGGACAGTTTTTATTAGTGTGCCCCAGCGGCTCCTGAATTTTTGGAGGGACTTAGGGCAATCTTCTGTTAGGACGGTGCACCTTGTCCTGTGTGGAAGCTGCGTTTGTATAGCAAGCACCCTGTTTTTACTTGGAGACTATGCTTATCTAGGGGGATGAGCAGATAGGATTATGGAGGGCGATAGTCTGATCCTGCTGAAAGGTCAGGATGTGGCGGATTGAAGGCTGTTGTGCTTGGTTTTAGGTTTCTGGAGACTCCGCTGCTGTCTAATGTGATCTCCTTGCTACACACACTGTGGGTGACCAACCTGGGGGACAAGGCAGTGGAGTGGGAGAGCCAGCGCCTTTGCCAGCCTAGCTCCCAGGAGCCTGCCAAGCGGCTTGCCCTGCACCTGGTCAATGAGTTCCTTTATGTTCTCATCGTGCTCATGAAGCACCTGAGGTGAGTCCTGCCCCCGCCAGGGGGGCCCTTCTGGCCTCTTGGATGCTGTGTTGGTCTGCCACCTGTGGACACCATGTCTCAGTCATGACTCTGTACCAGGGGGACGCTGGGCCGTGATCTGCTGTGGATTGGGGCAGAGCACCAGTGTCAGGTGTAGGTAGTGTCAGAACATCTATTTTATTAGCTCTTTCTTTGCCCTTCAATTTTATAAAGCTTCTTGTCAAGACCCCGAGAACTTAACATACTTGTTAACATTAACACCTAATGTGCATCGTACGAGGTCATTTTTAGCTGGCGAGCCATCTGCCTTGATACTGTGATTCAAACACTTGAATCAAGTGATGTTTCTTAGAAAGAAAATATTTTCTGTGACTCTAACATAAGACAGGGTGTTCCCAAACTTGCCTCTGCCTTCATTAGCCTGCGAAGACTCATTGTCCATGAATTCTCTGGAATGTTTCAGTATTTTCCTCCGATCCCTTGGAGTCATGCTTTTGGTTTCCTCAGAAGAGCTAAATTTCCCTCCAATTCTACCATGTTACAGAAAATACACTGTGTACACTCATTATTTCTGATTTGGGAGCCAAGTTATGCTAACCGGAACCAGAAGGTTGGTAGCAAGAGGATTGTAATCTCAGAAGGAAAAATGTCCTGATAAAAAGAACAAGGCCTTTTGTTTTGTATTGTTCAAAACTAAATTGTTAAGTCCGTGCTGGATAGTCAACCTTTCCTATGTAGGGATCTTCGGAAGACATGCTGGTGTCTAAGAACCAGTTGCTATTTAAAATACTGGTTTTATGTTTACAATTGTGTGGAACTGATGTTACAGGCTTTAACTGTCTTGGAATTCAGGGAGATCTTTTTCCTCCTGGTGGTCATCAGGTTTTGGCCGTGGGTGGTGACACTGTCCCAGGGCCTCCCTGGGTTTTTCTCACTTTACTGGTGGTCTGTGAGGCAAGGGAAACTGGCAGGCCTGGAGTGGAGCCCTCGCAGGCTCTTGGTACCCTGGCTGTCAAGCTGTGTGTTTGGCTGCCCTGTTTAGCCAGGGTTTCAGGAGGTTTCTGTGCCTGTGGGGTGCAGGTCAGACTCCAGGTCCCCTTTGTGCCTTCCTGGAGTGGCTCACTTTTTTCTTTTCTGCGTCCTGGGGGCCCATGCTAGATGTCTGCTGTGCAGGAAAACCTGGTTCCTGGAGGGACTGTGTGCACCTCTGGGTGTGTGATGTCGTCAGGGTGCCGCAGTGCTGACTGCCAGGCAGGGGCAGCAGCCTTTGCTCAGTCTGTAACATTGACTCCCAAACAGGCCCACCTTGGCCCCCGTCCAGCTGACCAACTTCTTCGGGACACTTGACTCCGTGCTGAGGTACCGGGCCACTGTCATACAGGCCTTTAGGGACATGAACAGATTCACCGTAAATGAGACAGTGCTTTCCACCAAGGACGTCCTTGTCCTCTTGCACAAGTGGAGCCTCATTGAAAGAGACCTCAAGCTCCAGGAAGACCTGAGAGCAGCCATTGAGAAGGCCCAAGCCCGGGAGCTCATGAGTGAGTGTCAGAACCCAGGACTGGCCCAGAGTAGCCAACATGTCTCTCTCACCCTGTCCGTCCCTCCCTCTCTCTCTGTCTCTCAGCCACATTTCCAAAGCTAATGAGGCTCAGAGATGGGACACATCCATCTTGGAGCCCTGGATGGGGAGCTGGGCAGCCTTTGAGTTTCAGCCCAGCTGCTTACTAGCTCCCTGTCTTTGGAGAAGTCACTTCACCTACCTTAGTATCATGGTGCTCACCTGTAAAGAGGCTGGGGGTAGCTATGAGCTACTTGCCCCAACCTCCTCCTGTAGTGCAGGGTTAAGGAAAAGACTGGAACCTGGCCTCCTGGACTGAAGCTCTGATGCTGTCCTGATTCCCTGTGTTTAAAGAGGACAGTAATGGCTTCTACCTCATGGTGTGAGGATTAATAAGTTGGTTATAATAACAGTGATGACAGGCGTAGTGAAACATCGAGCACTCACCAGGCTCCTGACGTGGGAGCAGGGCCGGGTGCTCAGGACATGCAAGCCGCCCCTCGTGTCCCCCATTGACACCTCCCCACATCTGGATCTGTGTGGGCAGGAGGGACCCCAGTCTCATTACCTTCTCTTTGTGCATTTAACAGAAATGCTCAAGGATAAGAACAAGCCTGTCATGCCAGCCCGAGCCAAAGGCCCACGGGGCCGAAAGAGGAGGCCTGGGGAGGCAGAGGAGATGGCTGACCCTGAGCTGATGGCATCTACCTTGGAGACATGCAAGGGCCTCCTGAGGTCCATCTTGACTTACTGGAGACCAGTGATCCCTGGTCCTGACCCCACTCAGGAGCCTGTGGACTCAGCCAGCCCCGAGAGCGATGCGCCAGGCCCCGTATATGCTGCCGCTTCCCTGGCAGTCAGTTGGGTGCTGCGGTCGGTGGCCGAGCACCCGCTCAGCAGGGCAGAGGCTGCAGGACTCATTGGCTGGCTTAAGAGCCATATTTTGCCACACCCTGTGGTCGTGGCTGACCTCCTTAAGGACAGTGCCGTGAGGAGCAGCATATTCAGGCTGTATAGCCGGCTCTGTGGGGCTGAGGGGCTGGCAGGGCCTGTGCAGGAGGTGGCCTGCCTGTTCAATACGGTCATGCTGCAGCTGGTGGCTGCCCAGGGCCGGGCAGGGAGCCCCTTCCACCCGGCCATGGAAGCCCTCTCCCTGTCTTCTCTGAGTGAGAAGGATGAAGCCACACAAGGTAAGGCTGGTTCTTTTGTTGGAGGCTGAAGAAATAGATGCAGAAGTGGGCCTGGGGGCAGGAGTGATTTCTGTGCTTAGAACACTCAGGTTTCTGCTGACTTCCTCAGCTGGGTATTGTGCTTGTTTAGGTGGCCCCTTACGGTTCTGGGGTTGCAGAGAGCTTGCCACTGGGCAGTGAATGTGAAGGGAAGGAAGTCTTTGCCTTTGCTTGCAGGGGAAACCTTTGGTGCTGGTTATGTTGACGGTGCAGAGAGGGCACCTCAGAACCTTGGCATCCCTCCACCCCGCAGGCAATGGGTTTCTGACCATTAGGCACATGATGAGTTCTGTTTCACATGTGGCCAGCTGTGTGTGCGCGTGCGTGCGTATGCTTGCATGTGTGCGCATGTGCATGTGCATGCGCGTGTGTGTGCACATAGAGCTTCACATGCGTATAAATGCGCACATGAACAGTTTATGTACTTGGCAGTCACTAGGAGCCTAGCAGTGTGAATGAGTGAGTAGCACAAGCTCCAGGGGGCCGTTAGAGCTCCAGGGAGGTGGGTGTGGTAACCCAGAGGTCTGTCCTTTCACAGAGGAATGTGGGGGCCCAGGGGAGGGAGGGGCTGGCAGCCTATCGGGTAGGCTCACCTGGTAGCAGGGTGACCTTGCCCTCTGGTCTGGCCGCAGTTGGGGAATTGAGCCTTTTTGCCTGCAAGCTTTCTCCTCCTCCTCACCCATGCCACTGAGGAAATGGTAGGAAATGATTCTGGGAAGTTCTTCTCAAATTTCATTGTCATTCTTGGCATGGATGGTCAGAACCAGGAAGAGACTTGTCTTGTAACAGCTTTTTGAGGGGATCCACACATATTCATCAGAAGAAAGATAAATTTCTGCCAGGCACAGTGGCTCACACCTATAATCCTAGCATTTTGGGAGGCTGAGGTGGGGAGATTGCTTGAGACCAGCCTGGGCAACATAGTGAAACCCTGTCTCTACAAAAATTAGCCGGGCGTGGTGGCACATGCCTGTAGTCCCAGCTACTCTGGAGGCTGAGGTGGGAGGATCACCTGAGCCCAGGCAGTTGAGGCTGTAGTGAGCTGAGATCACACTACTGCACTCCAGTCTGGGTGACAGAGTGAGACCCTGTCTTTTTTTTTTTTTTTTTTTAAAGAAAAGAAACTTTTTAATAATAAAAAAGATTAACACAAAAGTTAAGCAAAGGCAGAGTGAGTTGTTGTATCGGTGTGCTCACCTTGGGTTGCCCAGGCCTGTGGCACGGTTCATTTGGGCACTTGGCAAAGCCGTTGCATTGTGGGCAGGATGACCTGTTTTCGAGCTGAGCAGGTGTGCATCCTAATGGCCTATCCCCTGCTCTTGTTCAGCCTCCGCAGCATTCCTAGTGTCTCTCTACATAAAGGACATCTGGCTGGGGGCTCAGCGGCCGGACACCCTCTTAACCCACGTCCGGATGGTGTGTGAGGCCGCAGATGATGCCCCGAGCAGTGAAGAGGAGGCCATCGTGGTGCTCTGCAAGGACGCCGCCAGCGCAGCCTCAGATGCTTGACTCCTGCCGGCCAGCACCTTGCACCCTGATGACCAGAGCCTCGAGCACAGCACCAGCTTCTAGAAGTTTGGTTGAGTCAAGGGTTTCCAGAGAAGGCATGGGAAACAACAGGTTCAGTACATTGGCTCAGTTCTTTGACAAGAAAAGTTGAGAGGACTTTATTGAACTGCCCAGTAAATGATAAACTCGGGCCTGTAGGTGCCCAGCATCAGAGTTGCAAGGAATGTGGGGACTTCTAGGCCATGAGGCCCATCCAGTGCCTCGTCAGGCCGCCCCTTCCTCTCTAGGGGCTTGGAGCTCATCACAGGAAATAGCTCGAGTTTGAGGCAGCACTTCTGAATGCAGAAGAGATTCATCTGTGTTAAAGCTGAAATGTCAAAAGGTATCAGATTTTTTTTATGAAAACGAAGAGAGATGTTTAAAGTTTATTTTTCAGCAGGTGAGGTGGCTCACGCCTATAATCCCAGCACTTTGGGAGGCCAAGGCGGGTGAATCACCTGAGGTCAGGAGTTCGAAACCAGCCTTCCCAACATGGTGAAACCCCATCTCTACTAAAAATACAAAAATTAGCCAGGCATGGTAGCGCACACCTGTAATTCCAGCTACTCGGGAGGCTAAGGCAGGGGAATCGCTTGAACCTGGGAGGTGGAGGCTACAGTGAGCTGAGATCGTGCCATTGCGCTCCAGCCTAGGTGACAGAGCAAGACTCCATCTCAAAAAAATAAAAAAATAAAGTTTGTTTTTCTATAAAAAGTCATAACAAAGTATTAGTATGACTTTTTGAATAAGTTAATTTCTGCCAGTGTTTAATTATTTTATTAAAGAAAAGGATGTTACACTGAATCCTTAAAGAATAAAAGTGATTTGACCTCTGCTTTGAGAAGACAGCCTGTAATTTTTAAAGCTATACTTCAAAGAGGGGATTTTGAATTTTATAAATGCTTGTTAATGTCTATTTTTGTAAGGTTTTTGTGTTTTCCTTTCATTGTTGTCAAGAGGCTATTTTTGCTCCACATAGGCCTGCATTTATTTTAAAGGTCAGAATTTTACTCTTAATGGTCATATATTAGTTGGGGTTGTAGCTGACAAAAGTCATGAAATTTCGTGGTTTTCACAGTTAAAATTTCCGTCTGTTCCTTTAAAACTCTCCTGCATGCCTGGGGCTCTTGGGATCTGCTCTGTGGCCTAGGATGTGGCTGTTTTATCTGCCGTATAATGTACATCGTGCTGACAATGCCTTGGTTTTGTCTGAAACATTTACACTTCTATTTTCCACCAGTGTTCTTTAGAATTGTTTCTGTTTTAGGTGACTTAAAGTTTTAACTAAAGCATGAGTAACGTTTGTTGGCATACAGTCCCTTCACCACAAATAATTGTCTTGCACTGTCTACAAAGCAAGGATCAGTTACCTCACTTGTCCCCTTCCCTACCCAAATAAACCTTACAACGCTATTCTTTGAGACTATCCTGAACTTGAAATCCCACGTTTAGATCCAAGCTGGACTCAGGCAAGCGCTGCTCCAACAAAGCGTTCTCTTCCTGGTTCCCCTTAATCTTTATCCACCTCTCCAAGGCCTATCTTTGGGGATTCCTTTGGTTATAGGCACCTCTGCTTGTTTATGCAGGGGGCATTGGCCGGAAGGACATTGGTCTGGGGAATATCCCTGAACCCCATGCCTCTGGGGGCACAGGGAGGGGCAGCGAGCAGGTGGGGTGGATTTCCACGGCTTCATCCCTGGCTCCAGGCCTAAGCTGCCTCCCAGGTTCTTAGGGCCCAGCAAGTCAATACATACTACGTCAGGTGGCGACAAATGCTCCAAAGCCGAGTTCCAGCTCAGTCAAGTGAGGACACATTTTCAGCACCTCACCTTCTTTTCTGCATCTCTGGAGCTCATCAGTCTTGCTTTTCTTTGTTCTCCCTTTTAAATCCACTGCCCTGACCTTGTTCGTGTATTTTCCAGTCACTTAGTGTGGAGGAAGGGAATCTCATCCCATGGAGAATAGATCGAACATGGTCTTCACCTGACTTAAAATATAAAATGCTAAATTAGAAATATCTTAAGTGGGGCGGGGGGCACAGTTATTTTAAAAATAAAACCTATCAACTCCCTCCTTGCCTGAAAGCTGTAGGGGACATATGGGTCTTCTGAGATTTGCTGTGTGATGCTGTCTCCTCTCCAGGGACAAGGCTGCTGGGCACTAGAGGACTAGATCTTTCAAGGGTCCCAGATCCACTGTCACATAAAGTCACATCCAGAAGACCTTTCCTGCCAGCTTCCAGGGCTCTTTGTGTTCTGTGACAGCATTTGGGCATAGATCCTGCTTACCCGGCCTGGCTGCTGACAGGCGTTGGCTGCCTGCCCTCCAGGGGAGACACTTTCTTGGGCTCTGTCTTTGAAAGGCTGTGGGGAGGTTGAAGGTGCAACTCAGGTCCCCAGACTGCAGTGAGCTGACCTGGCAGGGCAGATGCCATCACATCTGGGGGAGCCGGCGGGTGTTAGTGGAGCTTGGATGGGAACTTACCCAGCATCCTAACAAAGGTACAGAAGGACCAGGTGAACTCAGGGCTGATAACGCATTACACAGTAATGGTAAAGTGGCATAGTAAAGATTAGTAAGCAAACAGCTTTTCCTCTTGATTTGCATATATTTTATTTTCCTACTCTTCCCTGAGCAAATATAAGCAGTAAGCAAGCAGGCTAGGTGTGCTCAATAAACTCAGCAACACCTGGGATGACCTCTGCACTCGAGGGGCCACTGCAATCTTTGTCAAAGGCATAGGATGCTCCTGCTCTAGTTGCACTTGACCTAGGTGCCCTTTCTGCTACATGCAAATGGCCTCTAAGAAGAACGAGGAACGTATGTGTCCAGGTTGGCTTGATTTCACCAGTTCACTCAGCTATGGCCACGATTTACTGACATCAGCTCTGCAATTGAGAGGTCCTGTCTCCAGGGGGAGGCTCGCTGGGCTTGCTCCTGACGAGGGGACCCCCATTGAGGGTCAGTTCCCAGAGGAGAGTGGGGTGGGTCTGGAAACCCCCGAGGGGCAAGGTGGAGGAGCTCTCCTGTCGTAGCGGCTGGTCAGGGCCAGTTCTGCTCCCTGGCTCCACTGAGCTCGCCTGAGCCTGTGAGGTTGCCAGGGGTTCCCTGTGGCACGGCAGGCACTTCTGGATGCAGAGGTGGAGGTTGAGGCCGTGACTCCAGGGGCATGTTTGGTGGTGCTTGGGGCTGTTCCTGTGAACAGAGCAGAGTGGGAGGCAGGCATCATAGTTGCTGCAGAACAGTCCATACTGTGGGGCTGGGGGGTTTCCTGCCACACCTGCCATCTGCCCGGACCCCATAGGGAAGGCCACACAGGCAAATTCCTGAGAAGGGTCAGCCAGCTCACAAAGGTGGCCATTCTAGAGAAATCTCAGAGGAGAGGAAGTGCTTTGTCAGGAACTAGGCCTCAGGTCTTTCCCTGGAGGCCACTTCTTCCTACATTGATTTAGGATGGGGGGGGTGGGGGGTGGAGGGGAGCAGGTTGACCTCCCATCCAGCGCTGTATCTGAGTGTAGTTCATTTTATATCCATAGCCCAAGCCAACTTGTATCTTGGTGATATGGTTTGGCTGCGTCACGACACAAATCTCACCTTGAATTGTAATAATCCCCACGTGTCGTGGGAAGGACCCAGTGGGAGGTAATTGAATCATGGGGGCGGGTCTTCCCATGCTGTTCTCGTGATAGTAAGTCTCATGAGATCTGATGGTTTTATAAAGGGGAGTTTCCCTGCACATGCCCTTTTGCCTGTGTCATGTAAGATGTGGCTTTGCTCTTCCTTTGCCTTCTGCCATGACTGTGAAGCCTCCCCCGCCATGTGAAACTGTGAGTCCATTAAACCTCTTTCCTTTATAAATTATCCAGCCTCGGATATGTCTTTCTTAGCAGCCGAGAACAAACTAAAACACTTGGCTAGAGATGCATCCTCCCTGTGCCAAGCATGGAGGTTCACACCTGTAATCCTAGCACTTTGGGAGGCAGAGGCAGGTGGATCATGAGGTCAGGAGATCGAGACAATCCTGGCCAACATAGGGAAACCCCGTCTCTACTGAAAATACAAAAATTAGCTGGGTGTGGTGGTGGGCGCCTGTAATCCCAGCTACTCAGGAGGCTGAGGCAGGAGAATCACTTGAACCAAGGAGTCGGAAGTTGCAGCGAGCCAAGATTGCGCCACTGCACCCCAGCCTGGCAACAGAGCAAGACTCAGTCTCAAAAAAAAAAAGAAAAAAAAAAGAAATGTGTCCTCCCTGGGTGGATTCTCCTGCCCGGGAAGTGCTGGGGCAGTGGACATGGCCATCTGGAGTGAGCTCTGGCCACCACTTCCCAGCTGCCTTTAACGTCATCCATAAAATGGGACAATATTGGCTCACAGATATCCTCAGGATGAAATGAGATGATGTATAAAACGACTTAAATGTGGTTACAGCGCTGGCACAAATGAAGAGTACCAAGTGATGAACCCACTGGGCAGAGGCCATGCTTTCAGATGGCACTCGCCTAAGAATGCTCTCCCCACCTCCCTCCTCCCCTCCCCCCCCCATCATGGGAAGGTGTCAGCTCCTCAGGGAATGACTCCTAAATCTTGCTGAGGATCCACTTTGCCGCCCTGAGCATTCCAGGAATGTTACCAAGTGCCTTGAGAGCATTTTCTTTAGTAAGCCATGTAGCTGGTCAGGATGTATAGTGTCATCAGTTTGCCCCTGTGAAATAGCCCAGAAGGCCTGTGCCCCCCAGGGAGCTGGGCGTGGTGGAGGCAGCCCCTGGGCTTGCCGGACCAGACCAGGGATCTTTGCACCTTCCCTGGCATAGGGCGGCTGCAGGTCATCTCAGAAGAGTAGTAAAGAAAGGTGACATCACTCGTTTATCCCTCAGATGTGTCTTGGGTATAAAAATGTGCTTAAATTGAATGTGAGTTCTAAAAACTGAAAGAAAAGAACAGATTTCAGGCTGTGCACAGTGGCTCCTGACCTCAGTGATGCCATCTCGGCTAACTGCAACCTCTGCCTCCCAGGTTCAAGCGATTCTCTTGCCTCAGCCTCCCGAGTAGCTGGGATTACAGGCACCGGCCACGATGCCCAGCTAATTTTTGTATTTTTAATAGAGACAGGGTTTCGCCAAGCTGGCCAGGCCAGTCTCGAACTCCTGACCCCAGGTGATCCACCCACCTCGGCCTCTCAAAGTGCTAGGATTACAGGTCTGGAGTTTGAGACTGGCCTGGCCAACTTGGCAAAACCCTGTCTCTACTAAAAATACAAAAATTAGCTGTGCGTCGTGGCGGGTGCCTGTAATCCCAGCTACTCGGGAGGCTGAGGCAAGAGAATAGCTTGAACTTGGGAGGTGGAGGTTGCAGTGAGCCGAGATCACGCCACTGCACTCCAGCCTGGGTGACACAGCGAGATTCTTGTCTCAAAAACAAAAAAAAAAAAATGAATTTCTTCATTGCTCTAAAGCTACCTTCCATATGTGACCAAAGGTGAGCGGAAATGGCCTGGCGAGTGTAGCCCTGGTGGGTGAGACACCACGGGCAGGGCAGGCAGGGGCGGGGAGGAGAATCAGAGGCCCCTTCAAGGTAATGTTGGGCTGTGGTATGGTTTGTCCCCACCAAAACTCGTGGAGACCTGGTCCCCAGTGTGGCAACACTGGGAGCTGGGACCTTTAAGAGGTAATGAGTTTTTTTTTTCTCTAGACTGAATTAGATCTTTTTACAAAATGAGGCCCTCACCAGAAGCTAAGCAGATGTCGGTGCCATGCTTCCTAGACTTCTAAGCCTTCAGAACCATGAGCTAAATAAGCCTCTTTTCTTCATAAATTACTCAGCCTCAGGTATTCTGTTACAGCAACAGAAAACACTAAGACGCTGTGCCAATGCGCGAGTCCACGGCTCTTCACGGGACCTGGCATGGGACGCACTGGCTCAGGGGCTCCAAGGCCACTCAGCTCTTCCTCAGCACAGTTTGGCTCATCTCTCTGCTGACCAGCTTCCTACGCTTAGGGTTTCCAGTCCCCAAGACTTCCGTCCGTAATGGACATAATGGTCTATAATGGCACCCAGCCCTAGTCCTCCTCCTGGACCAATCAGTGCAGCCCCCATAGCCACCAGGTCCATCCCTCAGGTTCTAGATTCCAAATTCCAAAGATGAGAATCTGACCAGTCCCAGCTCTTTTGCCAGGGCACACGTTTCCAAGGGCATGGGCCAGCCACTGGACAGGCCCTCTTCGGGTGAGCGATGGCAAAATATAGGGTCCCTCCTAAGAACAGTCATTAGGAGAGCAGCAGCTGTGAGGGCTGATTAGCCTAGAAGGGAACATTGGATGTGTCAGCCAATCCTCTAGCACAACAGAATTAACATAAAACAAGGTGGGTTCCAATTACTCCTTAAAACTCCTGGATTTCACCTCCAATTTAGTGGCACACAGCAGGCATCTGAGAACAGATGCTGGCCATAGGTGCCTAAGGTAAGGATCTTTCTTTTTCTTTTTTCTTTTTTTTTTCTTTTTGGAGACAGAGTTTCTCTCTTCTTGCCCAGGCTGGAGTGCAGTGGTGCAATCTCGGTTCACTGCAACCTCTGCCTCCTGCGTTCAAGCGATTCTCCTGCTTGGCCTCACGAGTAGCTGGGATTACAGGCATACACCACCACACCTGGCTGATTTTTTAAAAATATTTTCAGTAGAGATGGGGTTTCACCATGTTGGCCAGTCTGGTCTCAAAGGCCTGATCTCAGGTGATCCGCCCACCTTGGCCTCCCAAAGTGCGGGGATTACAGGTGTGAGCCCCCACACCTGGCCAAAGGTAAGGTTCTTATGTTCCTGGTGAGCTGGCCGGCAAGACTTAATGCCCATGGTGTCAAGTTGGCTTCATTTTCTTTAACAGCTTTAGTGAGATATATTTTCATTCCATGAGGTTGACTCATTTAAAGAGTACAATTTCAGTGGTCTTCAGTACATCCATAGAGTTGTGCAACCATCACCATAATCTAATTTTAGAACTTTTTGTTTGTTTGTTGAGACAGGGTCTTGTTCTATCACCCAGGCTAGAGTGCAGTGGCGCAATCACAGCTCACTGCAGCCTTGACCTGCTGGGCTCTAGTGATCCTCCTGCCTCAGCCTCCTGAGTAGCCGGGACTACAGGTGCGCACTACCATGCCCAGCTAACTTTTTGTTATTTTTTATGGAGATAGGGTCTCGAACCCCTGGGCTCAAGCGATCCTCCTGCCTTGGCTTCCCAAGGTGCTGGGATTACAGCAGGTGTGAGCTACTGGGCCTGGCTTAATTTTAGAACTTCTTTTTTTTTTTTTTTTTTGAGACGGAGTCTCACTCTGTTGCCCAGACTGGAGTGTAGTGGCACAGTCTCGGCTCACTGCAACCTCCGCCACCTGGGTTCCAGCAATTCTCCTGCCTCAGCCTCCTGAGTAGCTGGGATTACAAGTGCGTGCCACCACGCCCGGCTAATTTTTGTATTTTTAGTAGAGACAGGGTTTCACCAAGTTGGCTAGGCTGGTAACTTGAACTCCTGACCTCAAGTGATCCACCCATCTCAGCCTCCCAAAGTGCTGGGATTACAGGCGTGAGCCACCACGCCCAGCTTAATTTTAGAACATTTTTATCATCCCCAAAAGAAACCCATCAGTAGTCATTCCCCCTTCCCCGCTCTCCCCCCAGACCTAGGCAGCTGCTAATCTGCTTTCTGTCTCTACAGAATTTGATTTGCCTACTCTGGATGTTTTGTGTGAATGGAGTCATACAACATGCAGCTCTGTGTCTGTCTTCTTTCACTTAGCATGATGTTTTTGAGGTTCATGCATGTTGCAGCATGGATCAGAACTCCATCCCTTTTTATTGCTGAATACTATTCCATTGTAGGGACGTAGGTTGAGCATCCCAAACCCGAAAATCTGAAACGCTGCAAAATCTGCAACATACTGAGCACTGACATGAGGCTCAAAGGAAATGCTCGCTGGAATATTTCGGATTTTTGGATTTGAGATGCTCAGCTGGTAGGTACAATGCAAATATTTTTAAATCCCAAATCTGAAACACTTCTGGTCTCCAGCATTTTGGATGAGGGATACTCAACCTGCACTGTTACTCACTGGAGAGCGTCTGAGTGACCCACAGACTCACACCCCTTCTTACCCACCTCATCTGCGGGGAGGCGGACCAGGACATGTAGAGCAAGATGAGGAAGAGCAGCACCACGAAGGCAGCCAGGCTCACCCAGAATGCGATCACGATGGAATCTGCGGGAGGAGGAGATGCATCTCAGCGCTGGGTTATGTCAACATAAAGCAACGCTGAGGGGCAGTAAGGAGTCCCAGGGTATTGTGGAATGAGGGCCCTGAGTTTCGGTTGTCCTCCAGCCTCTCAGCTGTTACCATGGGGAAGATCTCCCATTAACAATAACTTTGGGAAAGAACAGGGGAGCCAAGAAGTGTCTTTTTCCTCAGGGCAGCTGGCCACGGGGTCTGTTTAGGGTGATTGTTAAGAGGAAACACTGAATGGAATTGTGTGCCCCCCCACCCCATGCATCTGCTTGCCCGGCTCCTAGTGGTGCTCAGAGGAACAGTCCTGAAGGATGGGAGGGAGAGGAGAGGGCTGTGGGCAGCTCTGTGTGTTAGGAAGGACTCCTGGGCCCCCGGGAGGGATGCAGCGCCTACCAGGGGCCGTTGGTGGAACAGCTTCAGAGACCCCAGGAGTTGATACCCTGCGGAGGATGTGCGCTGGGCTACAGCGCTCCGGTGGGGAGGCCCTTTCTGCTCTACGGGAGTTAGCCTAGGTCTGCTCATGCCTGGATCGGCAAGGTGGAAATAGCGAGTCCCTCTCTCAGGCAGGAAGTCTCATCTCAGGGGCTGTGGCAGGAAGGAAAAAGCACTTTTGCTACCAGCATGATGGCTGTATTTGTGGCCTGAGGCTGAAGGGGGAAAGGGAAACCAGGAAACACACTTAGCCCCCCTGGGGCCCTGGGTAGAACCTGGCTGGCCAGGAGGGGCCTTTTTCCTTCTCCAGGCTCCAGTTTGGGAATGTTAGGCCAGTTGCTATGGAACTACTTTCTAGCACGACAGTTTTTCTTGGTGGTTGTCTGTGGCTGTGGGCAATCCGGCTCGTAATTAGGGTCTGCAAGTGTCTTATCCCAGACCAACTGCGTAATGCCAAGATGTCACAAGCTGAGATATTCTAGACGCCTATGTGTGTGACCAAAAGGCGCTATTAGAGGATGATAACCTAACGAGAATTCATTGAGCGCCTTTTGCGAGGGACTGTTCAGGATTCAGAGGGGGCTAAACCAGCACATTAGAAATTGCTAACTCCCCTCATTCACCCACAATGTTCCACCCCCAACCTCCTCCTCCTCTGAACTTCTGCAGTGCTTCCAGCACTAACACTGTGAGTAAATGAATGAGAGAACGTGCAAACCACTGAAAGAATGAATAAAGTGAGAGTAATCTACATAGAGGCAGAGGTGGAGGCTCTGGGGTGAAGATTGGTATTTGAGTAAAGGATGTCATCTCTGCCATCTACGACCCCTGAGAGATAGCAGGAAAAACTGAGGACTCATAAGAGTTGATCTTGGACCCTAAAATGTAACATTAAAAACAGGGTATAATGGGCTGGGCACAGTGGCCCATGCCTATAATCCCAACACTTTGGGAGGCCAAGGTGGGAGGTGGATCACTCGAGTCCAGGAGTTCGAGACCAGCCTGGACAACATAGCAAGACCCCATGTCTAAAAAAAAATTTTTTTGATTACCTGGGCACGGTAATGCCCATAGTCCTACCCCTTCATGAGGCTGGGGTCGGAGGATCACTTGAGGCCAGGAGTTCAAGGCTGAAGTGAGCTACGATCACGCCAGTGTGCTCCAGCCTGGGCCACAGAGCAAGATGCTGTCTCAAAAAAAAAAAAAAAAAAAAAAAAACAACAAAAAAAACAAATCCCCCTCAAAACAGGGTATAATGAAAAGGCACAGTATTGGCGAAAGAATCATGAGCATCCATTGCCTTGTAATTCATCAGCAACTTGGCATTTACACTCCACGGGGGCAGGGACAGCAAAGACCCCCAGGCTGGCTCTCATGTCTCTCCTGTCTGTCTCCGAGCTGAGAAACTGACGCAGTCCCCTAGAGCAGGGAACTGTTTAAGAGCACCTCTGGATTCCTGGGGAAAGGGAAATGAGGTTGAACTGTGTGTCCTAAGCTTAAAAGGAGTTTTTTTGGTTTGTTTTGTTTGTTTGTTTGTTTTGTTTTGTTTTTTGTTTGTTTTTTTTTGTTTGAGACAGAGTCTTAATCTGTCACCAGGCTGGAGTGCAGTGGCACAATCTCGGCTCACTGCAACCTCCGCCTGCCGGGTTCAAGTCGTTCTCCCGCCTCAGCCTCCCGAGTAGCTGGGATTACAGGTGCCCACCACCACATCCAGCTAATTTTTGTATTTCTAGTACAGATGGGGTTTCACCATGTTGGGCAGGATGGTCTTGATCTCCTGACCTCATGATCCACCTGCCTCGGCCTCCCAAAGTGCTGGGGTTACAGGCGTGAGTCACCGCACCCAGCCAGCTTAAGGATTTTTGAAAGAAGCCTCTGACTCTCTTAGCCTTCCTTGCCCACCCCCTGTGCATTGTCCTACACTCCCGAAGAGTTACAATCTATTTTACAACCCTTACAGTAAAAGAGTGCATATGCTGTCAGAAAATGGGATTGGAAGTTTTATTCTGTAGGGATATTTTAGGTTTCTGCGGACACTAATGCTCTTTTTCCTTCCTAAAAATAGTGCAGGGTTTGAGGTCTTATAGCACCTACATAAATTCTACCAGGGATCTAAGGGAACAGCTTCAAACTCAGCACCTGAGAGCCCCTTTCTCCCAGACTGACACTTGTCTGAGTCCTTATCGTCATCCCCAGATATTGAGCAAGAAATAAGATGACAGGTTTCACAGAACGCAGTGTCTTCATATAAGTGGAGTTTAAGTTTTGTCAGACCAAAAGGCAATCGTCAGCCAATAGTCATTTTCTTTACTAAAATCTCCTTCATCATGTTCTGTTGAAAAAAAATAGGCAAGAGAATATCATTCTTTTTCCTCTTCCTTCTGAAGGTTCACCCAAGTGCTTGGAGAGAACATTTCATTCCAAAAGCAAGAGCTGTGTGACTCTCCAGTGTCAGAAATAGTTAGACATCCCTAGGCTGGTTTTCCCAACAGGGAGCCCCAGGCTGGGTTGACAATGAAAGTGGTCCAGCCATAGAAACTTATCTCCTTTCCTCTCTCCTATCCTCCCTTCTCCTCCCTGCCTGTTCTTTCCTCCTTTCCTTCCCTCTCTCCTCTCTTCCCTCCTTCCTTTCTCTCCTTCCCCTCTGGGTCCACACTGGTGGAATGAGGGGAATTAGTCCTCAGCAGCGGAGTGACAGGAATGGTTCTGGATGGCATGGCCAGGCTGCACTTCATCTTGGGAGGATTCTTATCCTAACTTGGAGTTAACAAATTAATCCAATCTAAGGGTTCATTCTTATAGTAGACACTTCTGTTTTGTTAAATAAACAGTTTTAGCATTCCTCCATTCTTCATTCTACTAACGTTTGGGTTCCAGAGTTCCAGCAGAAAATCAAGATGTGGTTGGGCATGGTGCCTCAGCCTGTAATCCCAGCACTTTGGGAGGCCAAGGTGGGTGGATCACCTAAGGTCAGGAGTTCGAGACCAGCCTGGCCAACATGGTGAAACCCCGTCTCTACTAAAAATACAAAATAAAATTAGTCAGATATGGTGGCACATACCTGTAATCCCAGCTACTTGGGAGGCTGAGGCAGAAGAATAGCTTGAACTTGGGAGGCAGAGGTTGCAGTGAGCCGAGATTGAGTCACTGCACTCCAGCCTGGGTGATAGAGTGAGACTCCATCTCAAAAAAAAAAAAAAAAAAGGGAATTGGGGCATAGGTTACTACTGTCAACTCTAAGGTCAGCCCTTGTGTGCTTCCGTCGTGATAGAACCTTTGCTTTTAGCAGGACACTTGGCTGCCTGAGTTAAAGACTATGTTTCCTTGCCTCCTTTTCAGAGAACAATGTGACAAGGTTCTGGCCAATGAGATATGAGTGGAGCCATCACAGGACAGCTTCTAGGAGCCTCCCTCCAGGGGTTACTAGACTTCTAGCACCGTGTGTCCGTTCTTATTCCCTTACTCCATGTTGCTCCGTGAACACGGATGTGATGGTCAGAGCATGGCTTGCAACCTGAGGATGAGGGCAGCCATGTCCCAGGGATGGTAGTGCAATGAGCTAGAAGGATGTGAGTTCCTAAGGACTCCATGGAGCCACCTCACTAGCCCAGTCCTGTAGACTGAGATAAACTAACTTCTGTTTTATCTGGTACTCTGTTAGTTGTAATCCATTTTCTTTACCAAGTCAGCAAAGAAACGGACTTTCTCAATGAATGTACCAGAACTTAAAAATCCAAATGAAAGGTGACCTTCAAAATAATCATCCTCTCTCTACCATGGAGTCATAGAATTCTTACTAAAACACATATATTCATCAAATACTTACAGGTCTCTTCTTTTGGAATTACCTTCAAGGACTCACACATAGACACAATTTTGCTATGTTGTGAGATAGTTTATTTATGACATCCAGATGGTATCAACCAGCTTAATCACCCATTTCATTAACCTGACTTTTTTCTGGGTCAGTCTTAACTATTTCCAAAAAGAAAATTCATCCTCAAAAGATATACACAATTTATCACCACAGATGTTTGCTAGAATGTTTTGTGGCCACCCAACAACATCAGTTCAAGAAGTTGTTGAGCAACAGTAGAGTCATTCAAGTGTTGCACCTGCCCCTGGTGCTACCTTGATGGAAATTCATTTACAGATACACATTCTGTTATCTTTGTTTAAAAATTACTTTCACTACTTATGTCATGCCCTGAATATGATTGCTCTGAATGAGAGAAAAAGAGTTTTATGTAGTCGTTTTGTTTAATCTATACTTTGAATTTTCTACATTGTGTGCAGAGAAATTGGTTGACAGTGTCATTTTGTTCTCTTGCGTCCTGTGCTCAGAGAAGCAGAGGAACAGACTGTCTCATTGAACCACCATGACAGCAGAGGTCAATATGGACTATGACCAGTTCTTCTTAACCCATAACTAAAGGGAAGCAGATATATTGACCTGAGAGGTAAATAATAGAGCATTAAGCCAGGCACTACTCAAGGGAAATCAGCCCATCCTACTCTCTGAAAGGGAGCATTAGGCTGGTATCTGGAGACTCACTATGTTAGAATAATCTGTATTGCTGCTGTAAGATTGATTTTCTTCTAAGCTTAGCCTCGGAAAAGGGCACAGATGAAGATCAAACATGTAATTAGTCAATTCAGGCAGGGCCTCAGGAAACAGGCATGGCAGCTTCTGCTTCTGGGGAGACCTCAGGAAACTTACGATTATGGCAGAAGGCAAAGGGGGAGCCAGCACTTTCCATGGCCAGAGCAAGAGGAAGAAAGAGGAGATGGCACACACATTTAAACAACCAGATTTCCTAATAACTCACTCACTATCATGAGAAAGCACCAAGGGCATGGTGCTAACCCACACATCACACATCAGAGCATAAGCACAAACATTTTACAATCCATCCTAATTGGGCCAGGCGTGGTGGCTCACGCCTGTAATCCCAGCACTTTGGGAAGGTGAGGCAGGTGGATCACAAGGTCAGGAGATCGAGACCATCCTGGCTAACACGGTGAAACCACGTCTCTACTAAAAATACAAAGAAATTAGCCATCATATATCATATGATATATGATATCATATACGATATATCATGATATATATGGATATATGATATGATATATATCATATGATATATTTGATATATCTGATACATATGCGATATATCATCATATCATATATCATGATATATGAAATATGATACATCTTTGAAATCATGATATATCATTGATATGACATACACGATATATCATGACACATAGACACATGACGCCCCGACATAGGATGCATGACACCCGACATAGGACGCATGACGCCCCTGACATAGGGCGCATGACATATCCGACATAGGACACATGACGCCCCTGACATAGGATGCATGACACATCCGACATAGGAGGCATGACGCCCCTGACATAGGACGCACGACACACTGACATAGGACGAATGACGCCCCGACATAGGACGCATGACGCCCCTGACATAGGACGCGTGACACATCCGACATAGGACGTGTGACGCCCCCGGCATAGGACGTGTGACGCATCTGACATACGACGCGTGACATATCCGACATAGGACGTGTGACGCCCCTGACATGACGTGTGAAACATCTGACATAGGACACGTGACGCATCTGACATGCGACGCATGACGTGACATAGGATGCGTGACACATCCGACATAGGACGCATGGCGCCCCTGACATAAGACGTGTGAAACATCTGACATAGGACGCATGACGCATCCGACGCAGGACGCGTGATGCATCCGACATAGGATGCGTGACGCCCCTGACATAGGATGTGTGACATCTGACATAGGACGCGTGACGCCCCTGACATAGGATGCATGACACATGACGCATCTGACATACGACGTAATCCCAAAGTGCTGGGATTACAGGCATGAGCCACCATGCCTGGTCTGCGTTTACTTTTTCTGTGTGTGTGTGGAGATGGGATCTCACTGTGTTGCCCAGGCTGGCCTCGAACTCCTGGCCTCAAGTGATCCTCTCTAGTTGGTGGGATTACAGGCGTGAGCAATTGCACCCAGCCCTGCATTTACTGTTTGACAGACAGTATGTGATTATAGTGAGTGAAAACCCAAGGAAGCTAAGACTTCCTACGGGATAGGTAGCGCATGGGTTTCCAGGGCTGAGACCCAATCTTCCCAGGCTTTGTTTTTGTTTTGTTTCTCATGCTCACTTCCGCATCTAATTTGTCATTGTGATCAAGTAGCTGGACTCCTCAGAGAAGATTGTCCACACATGCCACGTTAGCCAAGAGATAAGGAACCCGAGGGCAGATGAGCAAAAAGAAGTGAAGTCATGCTGGTTTGTCCTTGCTGAGACTATGAAGATTAAACGTATGTTGGCATTTTAGTAAAAATCATTAAATCTGCATTTTAGGGATGGAGAGAATAACTGTCCCAAATCTAAATACAGACAGTGGAAAAGGCAAATCTTTAATTTGAGGAAACTCGCTCAGCTTATTGGAGCCCCAAACAAATTAAACAAGAAATCTATCTTTAAAAGAATATTCTCGCCAGGCACGGTGGCTCACACCTGTAATCCCAGCACTTTGGGAAGCCGAGATTGGGGGATCACTTGAGGCCAGGAGTTCCAGACCAGCCTGGGCAATATAACATGTCTCTATAAAAAAATACACAAAATTAACCAGGCGTGGTAGCATGTGCCCATAGTCTCAGTTACTTGGGAGGCTGAGGTAGGAGGATTACTTGACCCAGGGCAGTCGAGGTTGCAGTGAGCTATGGTCACGCCACTGCACTCCAGCCTAGGCAACAGAGCTAGACCCTATCTCCAAAATAAAATAAAATAAAGTAAAAAATAAAAATTCTGCTTCCAAAGTGTCTTCGTGACTTAGCAGGTTAATTCCAAGCTTATTACAGAAGTTAGCAAATACAGTTTCTCTCCCAGCCCCATTCATTTATATCTATGAGTGAACTGGCCACATTCCTGCTTTCCCATGATGTCTACCGGAGTTAATAAGTGAATGCAGAGAAAGCCGGGAGTGCCCAGTCATTTGGGCCCCGGCCCCCAGCCTCTGTCTGACCGGCTTCCCTAGTTCAGACTTACGTTTGTGGGCTTTCAGCTTCTTCTCGTCCACGGGAATGAGGTCCAGATAGTCCAGGTAGTATTCATAGCTGTAGTATGGGGCAGAGGCGTTGGTCCCGTTGGCCATGTCTGTGGCACTGGGCAGTCAGCGTCCGGGCCGGCAGCCTCGCCTCGAGCCAGGCGCCAAGCCCCTGGGAGGAGACTGCCTCACTGATTTCTGCAGGAATCGTCCAAGTGTGTCTGTGGGTCTCTAGGCTCAAGGTCTGCCCACTTATCAGAGCTATTTGGCTGGAAGAAAGGTCAGGGGGGTGTGTCTCACAACGCCAGCATCCAGCAGAGCTTCCCATCTGCCCCTTCTTGATAAAACTCCAAAGCACACAGAGCAGAGAGGCAGGAGAACGGCTTTCCAGGGCAGCCCTAGGATCCCTCTCTGTGTGAGGACAGGGAGCTGGGCGGGAAATAGTCGCCCAGGGCCCCTTAGAAGATGCCCAATAGGGCTGGAAAGACAATCGCTTTTTGTCTTAAATACTTGAAAAGTTAAAAGAACCAAAATGTAAGCCCGACAGTGCCCTTGACTTACATTTAAGCAATTCTGGATGCTATTGAGCAACCACCAAACTGCTGGCTTAGATTCAATATCTGAGGGCAGAAATCGAGTGATGCCAGCCGTGAACTTGTAAACCTCTGTCATGTACTCATAGCCAGTTAATTAAAACCAAAAGAGAGCCCCCTGCCCCAACAGAGTGCACCTCTCCACTTATATCTAAGCCCCCCAAGAACCAACCAGCCGGCTGCATTTGTTCAGACTCAAAAGGCTGTTTATCTCTGACACAACCCCATGTGGTCCAAGCTCTTGGGAAATAGAGTCCACTCAGCTCTTGGCTGATACCACACGTGACGCAGATTCTTCTGGGTTTCTGTAGAGCTTGACTCCAAATTATACACCCTCCTCTGAGATCCTCAGACACTAACAAGAGGAACATTCTGAACATCTGGAATGAGCAGGACCACAGGTGAGAGGAACCCTAGAATTTAGCCTTTGAGAATTAGGAGGCCAAAACACACGGCTTACATGGCCTTTCCCTCCAATACGCCCAGCTTTCTTGTGTTCTTGATTCAGGTCTACAGTATCAGAGTAAACCTGGGTATTGACAGTGTAGACAGTCCACCCAGATAACTTGAGCCCCTCCGCTGGTTTTGCTGAGGCCTGCCACGCCTGAGGCATTCCTTGGGGAGCACTTTGAGGGTAGTTCAGTTGACCAGAAGGGGAGGAATGAGGCTCTTGTGTTTCCCAAGTGAGGGGCAAAATATCTACTTGAAAAGTAAAATAAAACCTCTGCTCCCGCTACACCGTACATTTCTGACGCCAGACTTGTGGGCTTTTCCATACCAAGCAATTTCCTATTCTTGGTAGACACTCGCTGGGTGTCCTACAATGTAACTCAATCCTGACACTATGTCATTTGCTAGAATGGCTCACACACAGAACTCAGGTCAAACAGTTCACTTACTAGATGACTGGTTTGTCATAAAAGAATACAACTCAGGAACAGCCACGTGGAAGAGACACATGGGGCAGGGTGTGGGAAAGGGCACGGATTTTTCCACGCCTGATCCAGGTGCACACCCTCCCAGCACCTCAATGTGTTCACCAACTTGGAAGTTCTCTGAAGCCCCTTGAGGAGGGTTTTTGTAGGGTTTTATCATGTGCTATGCCATCTAGATGATTATTATATTCCATTATGTGGGCACCATTGATGAAATCACTGGCTATCAGTGAATGAACTCAATCCCCAGCCTCTCTCCCCTTTCCAGGGTGGGAGTGAACATTGCAACCCTCTAATATATGGTTGGTTCCTCTGACAACTAGCCCCCACCTCATTGGCATAAACTCAGGTAGAGTTGAAAGTGGCTTATGCTGATTAACAGAAGATGCTTCTCTTACCCCATTACTCAGATATTGCAAGTTTTATGAGTTCTGTGCTACCAGGGACAAAGATCAAATACAGTCAAATGCTGACTAATAATGCTTCCATCAATGACCAGCTCCATATAGAACAGTGGTCACATAAGATTATAATGGAGCTGAAAAATTCCTATCACTAGTGACACCGTAGCCAACATAACATCATTGCACATTTACTTTATTTTATAAATAAATTTAGTATAGGCTAAGTGTGGTGCTTATAAAGTCTACAGTAGTGTCCAGTAATGTCCTAGGCCTTCGCATTCACTCACCACTCCCTGCCTCATGCAGGGCAACTTCCAGGCCTGGAGGCTTCATTCATGGTAAGGGCCCTATACAGATGTACTATTTTTAAAAAAATCTTTTATAGTGTATTTTTACTGTACTTTTTGTATGTTTAGATATGTTTATATCTAACACTAATAATATCATAATACTATCATAAATCCTTACCATTGTGTTATAATTGCCTACAGTATTCAGCATAGTAACAATAGGTTTATAGCCTTGGAGACAATAGGCTAGGCCGTTCAGCCGAGGTGTGTGGTAGGCTGTGCCCTCTAGATTCGTGTAAGTAGACTCTCTGATGTTCACACAATAACGAAATCACCTAGCGATGCAATTATCACAATGTAACCCCGTTGTGAAGTGACACATGACTCTACATGTTTCTTATATCAAAATATCACAAAGACATCCCCCACACCATGCACCCACCTGTGTACTTCCAGATGTTTCTGTGTACACTGCTGTACACATGTCTCCCAGGTGTGTACAACACTGTGCAAATAACACTATTCTGGGCTGAATTGTGCTCCCCCAAATTCCTAAGTTGAAGCCTTCACCCCCAGTATCTCAGAATGTGACTGTATTTGGAGATAGGATCTTTAAGGAGATAATTAGGTTAAAAAGCCATGACAATGGGTTCTAATCCAAGATGACTGGTGTCTTCATAAGAAGAGGAGGTTGGGATACCACCGAGGCACAGAAAGAAGATGATGTGAAGACACAGGGAGGAGATGGCCATTGACAATTGCAAGGGGCCTCAGAACGAAACCAGGCCCACTTATACCTTGATCTTGGACTTCCAGCCTCCAGAATTGTGAGGAAATACATTTCTGTGTTTTTGTTTTTTGTTTTGTTTTGTTTTGTTTTTTGAGATGGAGTCTTGCTCTGTTGTCCAGGCTGGAGTGCAGTGGCGTGATCTTGGCTTACTCCAACCTCTGCCTCCTGAGTTCAAGTAATTCTCCTGCCTCAGCCTCCCAAGTAGTTGAGATTACAGGCAGGTGCCACCACGTCTGGCTAACTTTTGTATTTTTGGTAGAGATGGGGTTTCACCATGTTGGCCAGGCTGGTCTCGAACTCCTGATCTCAGGAGATCCGCCTGCCTCGGCCTCTCAAAGTGCTGGGATTACAGGCATGAACCACCACTCCTGGCCATATTTCTGTTAAGACACCTACTCTGGGACTTTGGGCTAGTTGGGCAGACCAAGCAGACTAATACTGTTATAATGGGTAGCTAGTCAGGTATGAGCAAGGCAGGAGAGGGCTCCCCCTACACATACACCAGGAGTGTCGGGCAAACATCAAGTGATGGTTAGGCTGTTGTTAACTATCTCTCTAAAGTAATAATTGGTCACAGGCGGCGCCAAGAAAAGGCAGAATCCCAATAGATAGAAAACACCTAAAACTGGTCATCAGCTTCCTGATAGGATCTCAGGAGTTGGGCGAGTGGGCTCAAGCATGGCATGTGGACAGCCCACCCCCAGGGAGGAATCAGGGGAGAAGGAATGCAAGTCCCCAGAAGTATGCCCACATATAAAGCCCAAAGACAAAAGGCCCAGTTGTGCACTTGATCTCGCCAGTTGCCCGCTTGGCCCCCTTCCATGTGTACTTTACTTCCTTTCGTTCCTGCTCTAAAGCTTTCTAATAAGCGTTCACTCCTGTTCTAAAACTTGCTTCAGGCGCTTTTCCTGTCTTATGCCCCTTAGTTGAATTCTTCCTTCTGAGGAGGCAAGAATTGAGGTTGCTGCAGACCCGTATGAATTTGCTGCCAGTAGTGATACCACTATCCATCATCTAGATCTAGTTGCCTTGGATAGAATACTATATTCAACAGTTGCAGAATACACATTATTTTTAAGTGTAATTAATGCTTTTTTGATACTATCATAAATGTTTTCTGTTAGTGTCAAAAATTATAAAACACATAGGAATAAAATTAACAAAAGATATGCAAGAGTAAAACCTGCAAAATGTTACTGAGAGAGACGAAATAAGACCTAAAATATGGAGAGAGATACCAGCTTATGGTTTGAAAAATTCAGTATTATTAAGATGTTAAATGGCCCCAAATTGATCGTGTTCCCTGCAATCCCAATCATCATCCCAGCAGCTTTACAAACTGTAGAAATGGACATATTGATAAATTACATTCAGCTGAAATTTAAAACATTTGTTTATCGAAAGTGATTACTAAGAAAATGAATAGGCAAGCCACATACTGGAAAGAAAGTTAAAAATTATATATCTACTAAGGAATTTATACCAAGAGTATATACATCAATAATAAAAAGACAGATAACCCAATTAAAAAACTGGCCATAGACTTGAACAGATACTTTATAAAGAAAGATATGTGAATAGCCAATACGCACATCAAAAAGTGCTCCAAGTCATTAGTCATCAGGGAGATGCAATTAAAATCAGGAGACACCTGTCCGGGTGCGGCGGCTCATGCCTGTAATCCCAGCACTTTGGGAGGCTGAGGCGGGTGGGTCACAAGGTCAGGAGATCGAGACCATCCTGGCTAAAATGGCGAAACCCCTTCTCTACTAAAAATACAAAAAAATTAGCCAGGTGTGGTGGCAGGCGCCTGTAGTCCCAGCTACTCGGGAGGCTGAGGCAGGAGAATGGTGTAAACCCAGGAGGTGGAGCTTGCAGTGAGCCGAGATTGCACCACTGCACTCCAGCCTGGGCAACTGAGTAAGACTCTGTCTCAAAAAACAAGCAAACAACAAAAAACAAAACCAGTAGATACCTCTACAGAATGGATAAAATTAAAAAGACCTTCCTACATTTTCCAGTTGAGCATAATTTTATTAGTTTGGAATTTTTACTTCTGTCTGACAAAATACTGATTATTAAGTTGAATTTATTTGTCTGATAATAATCTGGATTTTAAAATATCCATGATGGATAAGCAGAGACTGACTAGAAAAAAAAAAAAGATCCATGCAAGTCCCCTAGTAGAAAAACAATTTAAAAAAATGTTGCCCCTTTGACATTAGTAAGAAGTGACACTGCTGTCAAGGTTAACTCTAAGATAATAATGACATACTTATATTAACAAATACCTCAAAGTCCTTGACTGTTAGCATTGTTTTTCTTCTCCCTTTAATTTGTAACCCAAGTCTTGAAGGTGAAGTTCTTTTTTCTAGGATGTTTTCTATTACATTAGTGATCATCACAACTACAGATTGAGTGTGGAGAGAAAGGTAGAAGGGAGAAATCTAGAGAGGGAGACGGCACAAACGTTTATTGAACGATGACCTGGACGAGGTGCTTTAGGCAATTCTCACAATACTATGGTCTCAGGTGGTGGGACCTCATTTTCCAGGCAAAGAGCTGGATACAGCCAGATACAGCCGTCTCCAGGCCCTGCTGTTTCCAGTACCCCTGAGATTTGCAACCTGGGTGCATTAGTGTGCTATGGCTGCTGCAACATGTTACTAGAAACTTGGTGACTTAAAACAACATAGATTTGGTGTCTTACCTTATGTCAATTTCTATTTTTTTTTTGCCTTACAGTTCTGGAGGCCAGTAGCCTGTAATGAGTCTTATGGGACTCAAACAAGGTGTTGCCAGGACTGGTTCCTTCTGGAGGCCCCAGGAGAGAATCTGTTTCCTTGCCCTTTCCAGCTTCGGGGGGCTGTCCTCATTCCTTGGTTCATGGCCCCCACCACACTGCCGTCCTCCCCTGCTTTCATTATCACATCACCTTTTCCCTCTTCCGTAGTCAACTCTCTCTTCTTCCAAAGCTCCTCTTCTTATAAGGACAGTTGTGATTATACTGGGTCCGTGCAGGTAATCAAGGATAATTTTTCCATCTCACAATCCTTAATCACATCTGCAAAGTCCCTTTTGCCACATAAAGTAAAATGCACAGGCTTAGGGGACTAGAATGTAGATATTTTTGGGGGCCATTAATCAGCCTCTGCACTGGGCAAACAATGTCACATCCTGGGAATATAAATCCTCAAAATAAACACACTTCTTTCTGGAGTGTCCATGTTTTTATTAAAGATTTTTGCTATAAAAGTTACATTTTAATGGCTGGGCATGGTGGCTCACACCATGCCCAGCCATTGGGAGCCAACATTTGGGAGGCAAATGCAGGTGAATTACCTGCAATTTGGGAGGCAAAGGCAGGTGAATTACCTGAGGTCAGGAGTTCGAGACCAGCCTGGCCAACATGGTGAAACCCTGTCTCTACTAAAAATACAAAAATCAGTCAGGCGTGGTGGTGCACACCTGTAATCCCAGCTACTCAGGAGGCTGAGGCAAGAGAATCGCTTGAGCCCAAGAGGAGAAGCTTGCAGTGAGCCAAGATCACGCCACTGTATTCCAACCTGGACGACAGAGCAAGACTCCATCTCAAAGGAAAAAAAGTTACATTTTAATACTGAAACAAACATAGGTGTATATCAGAGTACATGCAAAATTTGCATAACTTTGATAAAAACTCAATTTTTATCATAGATAATTTCAACATTTGCAAAAGCAGTGAGAAAGCATAATTAATTCACATGTAACCATCACTCAACTTGAACAGTTTTTATCAAATCATGGCCAAGGCCAATTTAGTTTCATCTGTAACCCTACCCACGTCTCCAACCCTGGATTACTGTGAAGCAAATTCAAAATATATCATTTCATCTGCAAATATTTCTCTATGTATCTCTGCAGGAGGGCTTTTTTTTTTAAACAAAACCATATTATCCCACCTGAATATTATTTAATTGAATCAACTATCTAGTCAATGCTCACATTTTCCTTATTTGTCTCATAATTTTTTTACAGTTAATTTGCTCAAATTGGGAGCAAGTAAGGGCCATGTGTTGCAATTGCTTGATGGGAGATGTGTCTCTGAAGTCTTGTTAAATTTACAGGTATCTTCTCTTTCCTATTCTTACTCTCTCTCTTTCTAATAAACCTTTTTTTTTAAAGAGCGGTTTTATATTCATAGCAAAATTGAGAAAAAGGGGCAGATTTTCTATATACCTCCAGCCCACACACCTGCATAGCCTCCCCATTATCCACCTGCTGCCTCAGAGTGGTACATTTGTTACAACTGATGAACCAACAATGACAATGACACATCATTATCACCCAGAGTCCATAGTTTACATTAGGGTTCACTGTTGTTGTACATTCTACGGGTTTGGGAAAATGTATAATAACATGTATCCACCATTATCGTATCATACAAAGTAGTTTCACTGCCCTGAAAGTCTTTTATGCTGCACCTATTTATCCCTGCCTAGCGTCTTCCAACAGTAAATAATAAGAAGCTTAAAAAAATTATGCATTTCTGAGGCTGGGCACGGTGGCTCATGCCTGTAATCCCAGCAATTTGGGAGGCCGAGGCAGAAGGATCACTTGAGGCCAGAAGTTCAAGACCAGCCTGACCAACAGGGTGAAACCCCGTCTCTACTAAAATAATACAAAAATTAGTCAAGCATGGTTGTGCACACCTGTAGTCAGTCTCAACTACTCAGGAGGCTGAGGCAGGAGAATCGGCTTGAACCCAAGAGGTGAAGGTTGCAGTGAGCCAAGATCATGCCACTACACTCCAGACTGGGTAATGGAGTGAGACTCTGTCTCAGAAATATATATATATAAAATGCATTTTTGAACTTAAATCTATGTACATTTTGTACATTTCTTGTCCTAGAACAAGCTTGCCATAGGCCACATGTGGCCCAGGATGGCTTTGAGTGTGGCTCAATACAAATTCATAAACTTTCTTAAAACATTATGAGATTCTTTTGCATTTTTTTTAAAGCTCATCAGCTATTGTTACTATTTGTGTATTTTATGTGTGGCCCAAGACAATTATTCTTCTTCCAGTGTGGCCCAGGGAAGCCAAAAGATTGGATACCCCCGCGAACCTTGAATTCAGTCATTTCTCCAAGGAATCCCAGTTCTTAGTAGAAAATGGTATTTAGCTATCATGGTCTAGATGATAGGGGTGCTTGTTGCTACTGGGTTGGTTATAATGTTTAGACCAATTCAATGTAGAGAGCTAGAAAATATTTATTTTTTGAGATAAAAAATAGCATGAGTTCATACTGATGCTTCCACTTCAAAATCACAAGCATGGAGTTTTTACTTAACCTTATCTTTCTTAGCTGTATCTCTTTCTCCAAAACTTAAAATTATATTCCCAACAAGACTAACATAATTACTCAATATACAACGTACACACAAACGACCCCAGAATAGCAATATCAATTCTTTTTTGTCTTTGGAAGAATTTATTATTTTTGTTCTTTTTTTCAAAAACTTTTTATTTCCATAGGTTTTTGGGGAACAGGTGGTATTTGCTTACATGAGTAAGTTATTTAGTGGTGATTTGTGAGATTTTGGTGCACCTGTCACTTGAGCAGTGTACACTGAACCCAATTTGTGGTTTTTTATCCCCCACCCGCTTCCCACCCTTTCCCCCTGAGTCCCCAAAATCCACTGTATCATTTTTATGCCTTTGCATCCTCATAGCTTAGCTCCCACTTATGAGTGAGAACATACAATGTTTGGTTTTCCATTCCTGAATTACTTCAGGAATTACTATTATTCCTGAATAATAGTCTCCAATCCAGTCCAGGTTGCTGCAAATGCCTCTTTGTGGCTGAGTAGTATTCCATTATATATATAATGGAATATATATATGTGGAATATATATATGTGGAATATATATATGTGGAAGATATATATATGTGGAAGATATATATATGTGGAAGATATATATATGTGGACTATATATATATATATGTGGACTATATATATGTGGACTATATATATGTGGACTATATATATATGTGGACTATATATATGTGGACTATATATATGTGGAATATATATATATGTGGACTATATATATGTGGACTATATATATATGTGGACTATATATATGTGGACTATATATGGAATATATATATCACAGTAGATATATACAGTATATATATAATGGAATATATATACTGTATATATATAATGGAGTATATATACTGTATATATATAATGGAATATATATACTGTATATATACAGTATATATATAATGGTATATACATACAGTATATATATATAATGGAATATATATACTGTATATATATACAGTATATATATATAATGGAATATATATATATCTCTCTCTCACAGTTTCTTTATCCACTCATTGATTGATGGGCATTTGGGCTGGTTCCACATTTTTGCAATTGCTATTGTGCTGCTATAAACATGTGTGTGCAAGTATCTGTTTCATATAATAATTTATTTTCCTCTGGATAGATACCCAGTAGTGGGATTGCTGGATCAAATGGTTTTAGTTCTTTAAGGAATCTCCACACTGTTTTCCATAGTGGTTGTACTAATTTACATTCCCACCAGCAGTGTAGAAGTGTTCCCTGTTCACTGCATCCGTGCCAACATCTACTATTTTTTGATTTTTTGATTATGGCCATTCTTGTGTGGGTAAGATGGTATTGCAATGTGGTTTTGATTTGCCTTTCCCTAATCATTAGTGATGTTGAGCATTTTCCATATGTTTGTTGGCCATTTGTATATCTTCTTTTAAGAATTGTCTATTCATGTCCTTGCCCACTTTTTGATGAAATTTTTTTTTTTTTCTTGCTGATTTGAGTTCTTTGTAGATTCTGGATATTAGTCCTGTGTCAGATGTATAGATTGTGGAGATTTCTCCCACTCTGAGGATTGTCTGTTTATTCTGCCGATTTTCCTTTTGTCATGCAAAAGCTCTTTAGTTTAATTAAGTCCCACCTATTTATCTTTGTATTTGTTGCATTTGCTTTTGGGTTCTTGGATATGAAATCTTTGCTTAGGCCAATGTCTAGAAGGGTTTTTCCAATGTTATCTTCTAGAATTTTTATAGTTTCAGGTCTTAGATGTAAGTCCTTAATCCATCTTGAGTTGATTTTTGTATAAGGTGAGAGATGAGGATCCAGTTTAATTCTTCAACATGTGGCTTGCCAATTATCCCAGCATCATTTGTTGAATAGGGTGCCCTTTCCCCACTTTATGTTTTTGTTTGCTTTGTCAAAGATCAGTTGACTCTAGGTATTTGGGTTTATTTCTGGGTTCCCTATTCTGTTCCATTGGTCTATGTGCCTATTTTTATACAAGTACCATGCTGTTTTGGTGATTATGGCCTTATAGCATAGTTTGAAATCAGGCAATTTGATGCCTCCAGATTTGTTCTTTTTGCTTAGTCTTGCTTTGGCTGGGTGGGCTCTTTATTGGTTCTATATGAATTTTAGGATTGTTTTTTCTAGTTCTGTGAAGAATGATGGTGGTATTTTGATGGGAATTGCATTGAATTCGTAGATTGCTTTTTGGAAGTATGGTCATTTTGACAATATTGATTCTGCCCATCCATGAGCATGAGATGTGTTTCCATTTGTTTGTGTCATCTATGATTTCTTTCAGCAGTGTTCTGTAGTTTTCTTTGTAGAGGTCTTTCACCTTTTTGGTTAGGTATATTCCTAAGTATTTTATTTTATTTTTTTGCAGCTAACAATATCAATTCTAACAACAACAACATGCTTACTAAAAATGGTTTAAAATCTTTTTGGGAAAGAGATGGTAGAAATGTATTTATTTATTTTGGTACTTAGGGTATATCTCATGAGATACGTATAGTCAAGTTCATGTTTTAAAATTACTCAAAATAGTTCTTCTCCATGCAGCTATGCCATCCACTAGATATATTCAATATCTACATATTTAGAGATTGCTTTTTTAAAAAAAGATTTTGTTTTATATTTATGTCAAATAGTTACATGATTCCAAAGTCAAATATACAAGACAAGGTACACTTGTGGATCCGTAGTTCCTATTCCTCTTCTGTGTTTCTGTTACTTTCAGCTAAGTAGGCACTTTTAAAAAATGTTTTTGGTATATCCTTCAATTTTTAAAAATATAAGTAAATATGTATGTGTATTAATGTCTTCCCCCTACCTTTTTTTAGATGTCCATTGGCAAATTACATTTAAAAAAAAACATTTTTTTTTTTTTTTGAGGCAGGGTCTTGCTCTGTTGTGCAGGCTGGAGTGCAGTGGCTCAATCTTGGCTCACTGTAACCTCTGCCTCCTAGGCTCAAGCAATCCTCCCACCTCAGCATCCTGAGTAGCTGAGACTACAGGCATGTGCCACCATGCCCAGCTAACTTTTTCTGTATTTTTAGTAGAGACAGGGTCTTGCCATGTCACCCAGGCTGGTGTCGAACTCCTGGACCCAAGTAATCCTCCCACCTTGGCCTCCCAAAGTGCTAAGATTACAGGCCTGACTGAGCCACTGCGCCCAGCCTGCCTTTTTTTACTTAACCGTTTATTCTGGTGTCCCCTCCATGGCATGTAGAGATAAGCCTCTTTCTTTTTCACAGGTACGTAATGTTCCCATCATGTGGTTGTACTACAGCTTATCCATTCACTTCCCAGTTGATGAATGTTTGGGTTGTTTTCAGTCTTTTCCATTTCAAGTAGTGCTGCAATGTCTTGTGTTCATGTTTTACCATATTTTTGCCAGTGTACTTTTGGAATCAGCTCCTAGATGTGAGGTGTGTGTGTGTGTGTGTGTGTGTGTGTGTGTGTGAGAAAGAGAGAGAAAGGATACATATGTATGCAATTGTGTTAGATATTGCCAAATTCCTTTCCATAGAGGTTATAATATCTTGCATTTCTATCAACAATGTATGAAAGTGCCTGTTTTCTTGGGCAACAGTATGGAAAACAGATCATGTTGTCAAACTTCTGGATTTTATCAGGGTGACAGGTGAGCTATTAGTTTTTAGTGTAGTTTAAAAATGAGCATGGCAGAGAATCTTTTCATATATTAAATATTTGCTTTTCTTTTATAGTGACCTATCTTTCTACATTTCTTATTGTAGCATATTTTCAAATAAGAAAAGCTATGTGGCCGGGTGCGGTGGCTCACACCTGTAATCCCAACACTTTGGGAGGCCGAGGCAGGTGGATCACCTGAGGTCAGGAGTTCAACACCATCCTGGCCAACCTGGTGAAACCCCGTCTCTACTAAAAATACAAAAATTAGCCAGGCGTAGTGGTGGACACCTGTAATCCCAGCTACTCAGGAGGCTGAGGCAGGAGAATCACTTGAAACCAGGAGGCGGAAGTTGCAGGGAGCCGAGATCACGCCATTGCACTCCAGCCTGGGTGACAGAGCAAGACTATGTCTCAAAAAAAAAAAAAAAAGCTACGTAAAAGATAAAATTTTCAAGTTCTGTTACATCTGAAAATGTCAATTATACCTGGATCATGATTGGAATGGGTATATAACTCTAGTCTGAAAATCACCTGCCCACTGAACTTTGAGCTTTCTGGCTTCTGAAGTCAGGTTGCTGATGAGAAGTCTAATGTGATCTGATTCTTGCACCTTTTCCCTCTTCTCTGAAACTTTTAGAAATTTCTCTGAAGGTTGGAGTTCTGATAATTTACAATGTTAAGCCTTGGTGTGAGATTATTTCATTTCTTGTGCCAGGAAATTAGTATGCTCTTCCAATCTGAAGATTCATCTTTTAGCTCTGGGCAATTGCATTCCCTCCCTTCTTCCTCTCCTCTTCCCTCCCCTCCCCTTCCATCTCCTCTCCTTCCTTTCTTCCTTCTTTCTTTCCTTTCTCTCTCTCTCCTTTTCTTTCTTTCTTTTTTGACAGGGCCTCACTCTGTTGCCCAGGCTGGAGTGCAGTGACAATTGCTGTCTGTCTGCCTGCCTGCCTGCTGCCTTCCTTCCTTCCTTTTTCTTTTCTTTTCTTTCTTTTCTCTCTCTCTCTCTCTTTTTTTTTTTTTTTTGACACTCTGTCGCCCAGGCTGGAGTGCAGTGGCATGATCCTGGCTCACTGCAGCCTCCGCCTCCTAGGCTTAAGTGATTCTCCTGCCTCAGTCTCCTGAGTAGCTGGGATTACAGGCATGCGTCACTACTGCCCAGCTAATTTTTGTATTTTTAGTAGAGACTGGATTTCATCAGGTTGGCCAGGCTGGTCTCGAACATTTGACCTCAAATGACCCACGCACCTCAGCCTCCCAAAGCGCTGGGATTACAGGCATGAGCCACTGTGCTCAGTCAACTGTATTTTTTTTTAATGATTTTTTCTCTTTATTTTGTGTTCCCTGTATATTTGAACCACCTATTAGTCAGATGTTGGACCTCCTGGACCTATGCCTCTTGTCTTTTCTTTGGCCATTTACATTTCTTACTTATTTGATTATATATTCTGTGAATTCCTTTATCTTTCAATCCTTCAGCTATGGATACGATGTTTCTTGAATCTCTCCAAGAATACTTGATTTGTAATCTTAAGCATCTCTGATATTATTCCAGATTCAGAAGTCACAAAACTCACTTTCTGATTAGTCTGTGCTGTGTTTAGAAAATACCCTTTTAGTTAAAAGGGAGATTTACATGTTTGGCATAGACGCTAAAACCTATTATTCCCTAAGGGCTATAGCATAGCCCTGGTGATCAGTCTTAGCCATCTTCCTCCAGTTGTATAAAAAAAAAAAATGAACAGAACTGTGGGGAAACAAAGGAGAGCTCAGAAAGAAAGTGAGGGGCTGATAGAAGAATTTTACATTGAGAGGCTGGGCACAGTGGTTCACGCCTGTAATTCCAGCACTTTGGGAGGTCGAGGTGGGCGGATTGCCTGAGGTCAGGAGTTCGAGATTAGTCTGGCCAACATGGTGAAATACTGTCTCTACTAAAAATACAAAAAAATTAGCCGGGTGTGGTGGCGTGCACCTGTAATCCCAGCTACTCGGGAGGCTAAGGCAGGGGAATTGCTTGAACCAGGGAGGTGGAGGTTGCAGTGAGCTGAGATCACGCCATTGCACTCCAGCCTGGGTGACAGACTAAGACTGTCTCAAAAAAAAAAAAAAAAAGAAAAAGAATTGGATCAACTGGTCCTCAGATGCAGCTGCAGCCGACTCTTTATGCACTAAAGGAGCCAGCTCACTGATTCCAGCTACCTGTCATCCCATCATGTTAGTGTAAGGAAGCGAATGAAATTAAAATATAGCCATTTGATTGCATTCTGTAGCCATTAATTTTTTTTTTTTGACAGAGTTTCACTCTTTCACCCAGGCTGGAATGCAGTGGTGCAATCTCATCTCACTGCAACCTCCACCCTCCAGGTTCAAATGATTCTCCTGCCTCAGCCTCCTGAGTAGCTGGGACTACAGGGGACCACCACCACAGCTGGCTAATTTTTGTATTTTTAGTAGAGATGGAGTTTCGCCATGTTGGCCAGGCTGGTCTCTAACTCCTGACCTCAGGTGATCCACCCCCTTGGCCTCCTAAAGGGCTGGGATTATAAGCATAAGCCACTGCGCTCGGCCTATAGCCATTAATTTCTGATTTTCCTCAATTGCCAGAGCACTCTTAAAAGGCCACAATTCTCCCAAATTATTAAGATCTCATTTGTTTCTTCTCTTTTTCCTTCTCTCCCCCAGTTATATTTTCTTGCTCTGTCTCTCTCCCCTCTAGTGCTAGCCATTGATATAAATTAGATGAGCATTTGTTTGTTATTTACACTAAAGCTTTCGAATCAAGCCAAAAATTAGGGTTGAATCAGGTAGTTCAAGTAACCCATATGTTGTGCAAGAAAAGACTGCAGGTTATAATAAAAATGGAACTCTCTTTCACATTTTGCCTTCTGCTACGCCCTTAGACCTTCTTCGGTGACGACCGCCTTCCCTGTGGCCCTAGATGAGCACAAGGGCAGTCTGTGTGTGGGATCCCTTCCCATTCACGCTCCACCCTGCTCTTGACCATGGTGAACTTGTATGGATTACATCAATATGCTACGTGCCCTGTGGATTCTGGCTGGATATGGGCAATGGCGAGTTCCAGCAGGAAACTGGAGGGACAGAAGAGAGCGAGGTCAGAGAATTTAATCTCCTGCCTCCCTCCCTATGAGGTCACCCCAGCTGGTGACTGTGACCCTGGATGGAAGGTGATTGTCTCAAGGTGGTCTGCTCTTCGCAACTCTCCTTCTTTCTGGTAACCTCGCCCAGCATCCCTCTAGGTCGAGGGAGGGGTGGTGTTGGCCTCATTGCTTTTAACCTGGATTCCTGTACCATCCCTCATGGTTCTCTCCTACAAACCTTTGCAAAGAATCCCTCCCCACACGAGCAGAATTTTAGTGCATGCTCTCTGTGTTCTTCTAAGGTCCTCTTAGGGAATAGACAATTCTGTAGGCACTTTCATTGCAAACAGAATCCCAGTGAAGAAATGGTAGCGTCAGTCCAAGATACTAATCAACATGGCAATCTTCACTACAGGATGAGAACTGTTTTCCCTTTGCCCCAGGTAGGACATAGGCCGCCTTAGCCTTCCCTGCCTCAGGTGGGGAAGGGGCTGTGGCTGGCCCTGCTCTTTCCCACCTCACCTGTTCCCTGCGGTTTTCATTTCTGCCTAGCCTGAGATGGGGAAAGTGGGGGATAGGACAGTTTTCACTTTGATATGGTTTGGCTCTGTGTTCCCACCCAAATCTCATCTTGAATTGCAATCTCCATGTGTTGAGGGAGGGGCGTGGTGGGAGTAATTGGATCATGGGGGCAGTTCCCCCAGGCTGTTCTCATGATAGTGAGTTCTCACGAGATCTGGTGGTTTTAAAGTGTGGCACCTCCCCTTGGCTTGCTCTCTCTCTCTCCTGCTGCCACGTAAGACGTGCTTTGCTTCCCCTTTGTCTTCCGCCATGATTGCAAGTTTCCTGAGGCCTCCCCAAGCCATGCAGAACTGTGAGTCAGTTAAACCTCTTTCCTTTATAAGTTACCCAGTCTCAAGTAGTTCTTTATAGCAGCATGAGAACGGACTAATACACACTTGAACTTGTTCTAACTTTGTTTTGCACTCTTAGGTAAGATCTAGTTAGACCTGACCCTCTCTCCTAGTCCCCTCGGGGACTCCCTGCACATCCCAAATCCCAGTGCATGCCCATGACCCACTGGGCAAGGCCTCATCTCAGGCTGGCTTTCCCTCTGCCCTGGTTCTCCAGGAGTGCTGTTCACACTTGACTCACCACTGGGGAGTCTTCGTGCTTCCAGGTTAGCTCCTTAGGCAGAAATTAAGACTCTAGGTGACATCCTGCCAGCAAAGTTCCGATCTGGCTGACAACCTACCTTGTTTGCCTTTGTTGTGCTACCAAAACACACGCAGCTTGACGCTCCTGCAGGTCACCCTGTCCCCAAGTGCCTGGGAACCAACAGGTATGTAAGTGTCTCCTCAAAGTCTCTTATCAGCCAAATTGAGGCAAGGAGGCAGATACCCTCATTTTCTCTATTGGGGAGGGGCCCATCTCCAAAGAGATCCTTCCAGTGAAGTCATCTTGGTCACGATTTTCTCCCTTCCTTTATATTCCCAAAGTGTGTGAGAGAGGTGTTTAAGAGAAGGAGGAAATCAGCTAGCATGGTGGCCCATGCCTGTAATCCCAGCACTTTGGGAGGTCGAGGTGGGTGGATTACCTGAGGTCAGGAGTTCAAGACCAGCCTGGTCAACATGGTAAAGCCCCGTCTCTACTAAAAATACAAAGATTAGCTGGGTGTGGTGGCACGTGCCTGTAATCCCAGCTACTCGGGAGGCTGAGGTGGGAGAATCCCTTGAACCTGGGAGGTGGAGGTTGCAGTGAGCTGAGATCATGTCACTGCACTCCAGCCTGAGTGACAGAGTGAGACTCCAAAAAAAAAAAAAATAATAATAAGCAGGAGGAAATCATCTCTCCTAAATCTACTCTGAAGATTCCCCCAGGAAGGAGGGCAATCTCTCTCACACACACTTTGATATCTCATTTTTACTTCATCTTGGAGTCTTAGTGGAAACTTCAATTTTAACATACTGTAACAGATTGCTACATACATTTTTGGTTGCTAGTAAAAACAAAACAACAATTGAAACTGGCTTCCACAATAACTGGAACTGGTTGGCTCACACAACTGGAAGGATCTAGAGATTGGGTGCTGTTTCTCTGTGATTCCCTTACTCAGATTGGGCAAAATTGAACTTGACAAGGCCAAGTTTTTATTCTGAGCCAATCCCTATTGCCAGGGGAGCAGCACGGGTCGCCAGGGGTAGGTGCCATCCCTGCCCCAATCGCTATGGAAGAGTCATGGTCATCCTGATTGATCGGGTTAAACCTCTAGGGACTCATTCCCGGAACTGGTGGTGAGAGTGGTGGAGATGGACTCAACCTTATCCAAATCTCCTAGTTAGATAACTAGGAAGTACGGTGAGAATGTAGTTTAGGAAGCAACCACAACCACAAACTACGAGGTCATCTTTTTCAAGCATCTCATTTTGTCCTCCCATAAATATGATGATTTTGTGGTTAGCTGAGGTTTTGTTTTGTTTTTTATTTTTTTGAGACAGGATCTCATTCTGTCACCCAGGCTGGAGTGCAATAGCATAATCACAGCTTACTGCAGCCTCGACCTCCCAAGCCCAACCCATCCTCCTGCCTCAGCCTCACAAGCAACTGGGACTACAGGGGCGCACCACCATGCCTGGCTAATTTTGAAATCTTTGTAGAGACAGGGTCTCTCTATGTTGCCCAGGTTGTTCTCAAACTCCTGGGCTCAAGTGACTCTCTCGCTTCAGCCTCCCAAAGTGCCGGGGTTACAGGCATGAGCCACCATGGCTAGCCTTGTTTTTATATTCATAATATTAATACAAACACACTTGTGCCTATAGAGGAATTCATTTTGCATCAGCCAACTTCTCCATGATGTGCAGGAGGCATCATGCCTACAAACCATGATATTCTGAAGGACCATGAAAATGTTTCAATTTTTTTAATCAAGAGCAATAAATGAACTTACAGGTCTAAAAATGTTTTATGATATCATTTTAATATAATCATCTTCATAGCAATGTGACTATAAAATGAAATTTTTATTAACTGTTTTATGGAGAGAAAGGCCTACTAAGGCAAAAATAGGGCCCCTGAAAGTCACCACGCAGCTCGGCCTTGTATTCCTTCTTTCCTGGGGCATCCTATCATAGAATTTAAGTATTGACAATAGGAACCCAAAGTCTGAGACAAGATGATCCTTTGAATCCCCAAGTAACTAGCCACTTACTTAAAGAACTCATGTGGATTGTATCAATGTTGTACCAGAGATATTATGCTTGAAAACAACAGTCCAGGAAGGTCAGGCTTGGCTCTACAAAAGTAGAAGGGGCAAAGTATGGTGAGGCATGCCTGTAGTTCCAGCTACTTGGGAGGCTGAGGCAGGAGGATCGCTTGAGGCCAGGAGTTCGAGACCAGCCTGGGCAACATACTGAAACATCATCTCTGAAAAAATAAAGAAAAGAAAAAAAAAAGCAGAAGGAAGGAAGGGAATTCTATGGGTAAAAAAAAAAAGCCTAAATTATCTAAAGCATTTTCTTCCAGTAAGAAGGTGATTAACATGAGCATGGTGTGCCAGGGTTTACAAAGTATTTTCATGAATATTAGAAAACTCGATCCTCATGAACAACTTGGTGTAGTACTGAAGAAACAGACTCCATTTACTCCATGAAGAATTAGACTCAGGGAAGGCAAACAGCCTTTTCCACAGTTCCCTACACTGTTACTACCTTGTGGAGGGAGGGGTAAGTTAACCAGGACCACTGACTCCAAAGCTTTTGCTTTTTGCTAGTGGCTGTAAGCACTAAAATTGGAAGTACATTTACATAAATAGTTTATGCAACCAAGCAAAATAGGCAGTGACTTGGGGGACACCCAGAGCGTAGTAGGAACAGAGTAGGTCCTTGCAGGTAGCTTTCTTCCCAGGTATACCACCAGACTGTCTGTGGTGCAGCTGGCTGGTTCCCCGCCAGCTTTCCCTCCTGACCTACGGTGTTTTAGGCAGAGGCTGGCTTTCTGGGGCAGCTGAGGAAATCTGTCCTTATCATCAACAAGGGATGCTTCTTCCTTGCAAGGACGAATTGTTCCTTGATCCAAGCAGCAGGGACACTTCCAGGCTTTCCAGGGGCACTGCTGCTTCCTCAACTTTTTCCTTGCAGTGACAGCCTGAGTGATCCGGGGCCCTTCCCAGGGTCTCATTCCAGGGATAGCAGTGCGCAAAAGGACCCTGTGATGAGGGACTCCTCTATCCCCTTCCTTCTCCACTTCATGGAAAGGAGGTCCCCAGGAGCCGACAAAATAGAGCAGTGGTCATCAAAAGTGGAGCTGCTTATATACAACTATAATTAGTCCACTTACAAAAAAGAAGAAAAAGGGTGGTGGTCTGGCACAGTGGCTTACGCTTGCGATCCTGGCATTTTGGGAGGCCGAGTAGGGAAGATCGCTTAAGGCTAGGAGTTCGAGACCGGCAACATAGAAAAACTCCCCCCCCCACCCCCCAAAAAAGGTTGGGCTGCCAATACTGACAGCGTGGGCACGCCTAGGAGCTTGTTAGAAATGCAGATTCTCGGGCTAACCTGCTACCTGCTGAACCAGAGTCTGCGAAGATGGAACCTGGCGATCTGCTTAAGAAGCTCGCCAGGCGGTTCTTAGACACTCAAGCTTGCAACCCGTAACTTTCTCAGTGACGCTGCCCCTCCCACGGAAAGGGGTGAATAATCCTTAGGAAGACAAGCAAACAGGTCTGCATCATCAATTTCTTCAGGCTGGAAAACCTGACGCAGGCGCAGTGACTATCACGCTTGGCCAAGGCCGCACGGCGCGCATGCGCACTAGAGGCCGCCCGCCGTCCCGCCCCCTTCAGGCTTTTGCCCCTTCTCGGCCTCCGCCACCGCTCCCCGCCCCGCGCATGAGCAGCGGCGGTTTTTTTTCCCATGGCGCTCTGGGGCGCGGGCGATTTGTAGGTAATGGCAGGCGTTCGGTCACTGAGGTGTAGCAGAGGATGCGCTGGCGGCTGTGAGTGCGGCGACAAGGGCAAATGCAGCGACTCCTCGCTGTTGGGCAAGAGACTCTCCGAAGACTCGAGCCGCCACCAGCTGTTGCAGAAGTGGGCGAGCATGTGGAGCTCCATGAGCGAAGACGCGTCGGTGGCCGACATGGAGAGGGCGCAGCTGGAGGAGGAGGCGGCGGCTGCGGAGGAGAGGCCGCTGGTGTTCCTGTGCTCCGGCTGCCGGCGGCCGCTGGGCGACTCGCTGAGCTGGGTGGCCAGCCAGGAGGACACCAACTGCATCCTGCTTCGCTGTCAGTTGGGTCGAGCCGGGCAGGGGGGGCGTGGGGTCGCCTTCTTCCAGGGGTGCCGCGCGTGGGCGGCCCGGGAGGAGGCGGGGGCTCCTTGGGGCTGCCCAGGGACTTTAAGAGCAAAAAGTCTGAGAGTGTGAGCTGTGGCAGGAAAAGGGGAGGAGGGTCACCCCTCCACTTTGGCTCTCGGGCGGTGGGTTCTTTTCTGGGGTCCCCGATCCCAGAAGAGCAGTGGTTGAATCAGCATCATCGTGAGCATTACTCAGAAACAAAGGGCGACAAAGAATAACACTTTTAAAGACCCTAAAAAAAGAGAAACAAATGGTCAACTAGACTGTAAGCACTTGAGGTGCAGCCAGTACTATTACTCCCCATAGAAATTAGCAGGCTGTTGGTGTATCAGCGGATGCCTCTACAGCCTCCAGTGATAGAGCCGCAGAGTTGACGGAACACAGTGCTATAGGGAAGAAAGGGAAGGAAACTTGCAATAAAAGCACCAACAACCCCATGAAAACTGGCGAGGAAGGAGGATGTAGCAAAAGAGTTCAGAAGAAGGCAGGAATTAGTTTCTAATCCTGGTTCTAGCAGTTACCTCTTACCTCTGTTGTTCCACTGTTCCCTCATTTTGATGTTTTTGCAGTATTTAGGGATAAAGTGGTTCACATATTTTTTATGAATTGGTGTAAGAATGGCTGTTGTTTTTGGATTGTGATTTTTCAAGATGAAGTTTTTTCTGTCTTTGAATGCCGTAAATGTTCCGATGGCAGTAATTCACCACCGGCTTATCGACGTTTCTGGAACGTTTTCCTTGGTGTAATACTGGGAATAAAGGAGCACACCAGTGTCCAGTAGTTAACTGAAAGTTGAGATTAACTCTTTGCACCTATCAAAATCAAACCAGGCCGAGCGCGGTGCCTCAGGCCTGTAATCCCAGCACTTTGGGAGGCCGAAGTGGGCGGATCACGAGATCCGGAGATTGAGACCATCCTTGCCAACATGGTGAATGAAACCCCATCTCTACTAAAAATACAAAAATTCCAGATCAGCCTCGCCAAAATAAAAAATTAGCCGGGCATGGTGGTGTGCGCCTGTAATCCTAGCCACTCCGGAGGCTGAGGCAGGAGAATCACTTGAACCCGGGAGGCGGAGGTTGCAGTGGGCCGAGATTGCGCCACTGCACTCCAGCCTGGAGACAGAGCGAGACAACGTCTCAAAAAAGAAAAAAAAGAAAAAAGCAGATTTTTGGTTAGGTAGGAAAAGCTCTTTGTTTGAATGAGATTCCCTTGTTTACATGTTTTTAAGGAATAACGTGTTTGATGTTACATCTTTCATTTTATTTGTTTGTTTCGATAGAGTGTATTTTTTGCCATGTGGGCTCTTTTCGTTGTTTTGCGTTACTTATAGAAAGACTGTTTTTGTTATTTAATTTTTATAACAATAGCTTTTAAATTTAAAACATAGTTCTAAAATAGTAGTTTAAAATTTAAAGAACTATACATTTTTTGATTTATCAGATTTAGATAATAGGATTTAACACCTCCCCACACCCCCCAGTAAAGACAAATAAATGAACTCGGATTCATTTCCATTCCTTCCTTACCCAATTTGAATTAGTTTAATTATTTTCATTTTGTCAAGGTTTATACATTTACATTCTGTACATTTACATTCTGTTCTGTAGCTATAACAGCCTAACTATGATTTTTTAAAATAGGATTATTTATTTAATAGGTTTTTTTTTAATAGGGTTATAGTGGGTTAACAGCCCTCTGTTGCCCAGGTTGGAGTACAGTGGCGCAATCATAGCTCACTGTATGTAACCTTGAACGCCTGCTCAAACTATCCTCCCGGCTCAGCTTCCCAAGTAGCTTGGGACTACAGATACACACTAACACCTGGCTAATCTTTAAATTTTTTGTAGAGACAGAGTCTTGCTATGTTGCTCAGGCTGATCTCAAACTCCTGGCCCCAAGCAATCCCCTGCTTCGGCCTCCTAAAGTGCTGGGAGTACAGATGTGAGTTACAGCACCCAATCCTATAAAGTTTATATAAATTGTTTTCCCAACTCCAGTACTCATTAACATAAAAAAGCTTCTTAATAGCTTTTTCATTCCTGAATTGTTTGATTAATCATTAGTGCTCCCCACGTCCACATCTCCAAGAAAATTTCAAGTTTATGTGCTAGAAAATATTTTCCTTTTTTTTTTTTTTTTTTTTTTTTTTGAGACAGAGTCTCACTGTGTTGCCCAGGCTGGAGTGCAGTGGTGCAGTCTCAGCTCACTGCAAGCTCCACCTCCCGGGTTCACGCTATTCTCCTGCCTCAGCCTCCTGAGTAGCTGGGACTGCAGGCTCCCGCCACCACACCCCGCTAATTTTTTTGTATCTTTAGTAGAGACGGGGTTTCACCATGTTAGCCAGGATGGTCTCGATCTCCTGACCTCATGATCCGCCTGCCTCGGCCTCCCAAAGTGCTGGGATTATTTTCCTGTATTTATAAGTGAATGCTAGCTTGGCTGCAGGTACAGTTCTTGGTCACGCTCTTTGCTTTTGACAGGTGCTGAGCAGCTGGTGCAAAAGCCTTGAGACTGGTTAAAGAGAATAAAGATAAGATTTAGGGAGGAAGGAAGAGATCAGAAACTGCAAGGCGTTGTAGTCTGTTCTAAAGAGTAGTAATCTGTTCTAGTGAGTACGTTATTATGCTAGCTTAGGCAGGGGAGTAATGTGACCCCGCATTTTCTTTGGAGAAAGCATTGAAGGAGGAACAAGTATGGAAGTGGGGAGGTTAGTGAAGAGCCAGGGCAGTAGTCCAGGCAAGAGGTGGTGCTGGTGGTTTGGGGGCTGGAGTGAAGTTTGTGAGGTAGAATTGATGGGATGGATCAGTGGAGTAGATACAGGGGAGCAGGATGAGGAGACAAAGAATCAAGGATGACACCCTGGTTTCTGATTTCAGCAAGCAGGTAGATGGAGTTGGAGTTTACCGAGTTAAGGTAGACTGTAGGAGGCCGTGAAATCAAGAGTCTGTTTTGGCCATTTTAGGTCAGATGTCCCTTCTTCATTTCTCTTCACCCTCTACCCTGTCCTTTAGTGTTTCCTAGAGCTGGATTCTTTGGGAATGTTTGCTGCTGCCTCTGAAGTCCAGCAGTGACCTCTGTCCAAGTCATTGTTCAAGTAAAAGATGTGTGGCTGGGATCCTGAGGACCCTCTCAGTTACTTTTAGAGAAATGGGCCCTGTGTTTGAAATCTGGAGATATATGTGTTGGCTGTTTGCATCTTCCTAGGTTTGGAACCCAATTTCACTATCTGGCAGATAATTCTTTGCAGTGTGTGATTTGAGGTTCTACTTGTTCCAAGTTTACTGTGGAATGAATTTTCCCCTCTAATTTTAGCCATTCTATTAATGTTAGTGGTTTTCAGGGAAAGGGAGGAAATAACCTTTTAAAATTTTTCTTAAATTTTTATTTAAAAATTTTTTTTTAGAGATGGAGTCTCGTTATGTTGTCCAGGCTGACCTCGAACTCCTGGCCCCAAGCCATTCTCTCACCTTGGCCTCCCAAAGGGTTGGGATGACAGGTGTGAGTCCCTGCGCCTGGTTGGAAATAACTCTTATTCTGCTATCTTTTCCCAGAAGACCCCAGTACATTTAGTTTTAAACCGCTCTTTTGTGTGTTTGACTTTGGGCTTATTTTTTGTCCTCCGAGTTCTAAAAAGTTGGATTAGAAACTCTCTGTCTGCAGGTATGTTATAACGAACTACATTAATAAATTATTGTTACTTTCTCTGTTTCTAGGTGTTTCCTGTAATGTTTCTGTGGATAAGGAACAGAAGCTATCCAAACGTGAAAAGGAAAATGGTTGGTGAGTAAAACTGTATTTATATGAATATGTTAGAGAATTTTCTTTAATAAAAATCTTTAAAAGGTCATTACTAGTAGTAAGATTACTTGGGATAAAACTTTTCATGATAGTAAAAAAATCAGTCGTTCGCATATATCAGTTCTTTTTTTTGCTTTTTCTATATCCTGTTTTAGAAAGGAATATGTTAGTTCTTGAGTGGTTGTGGTCACCTTTAGATATTGAAAAGTTAGAGTTTCTAGATTTCTAAAAGCATATGCTGACATTCCCTTTTTGGATCTTTGGGCTTGGTGCTGAAGAAAATCAAAAATAAAAATAGAAAAAGAAGGTCGGGCACGGTGGCTCACGCCTGTAATCCCAGCACTTTCGGAGGCCAAGGTGGGCAGATCACCGGGGGGTCAGGAATTCGAGACCAGCCTGGCCAACATGGCAAAACCCCGTCTCCACTAAAAATACACAAATTAGCCGGGCATGGTGGTGCGGGCCTGTAATCCCACCTACTCAAGAGGCTGAGACAGGAGAATCACTAGAACTACGGAGGTGGAGGTTGCAGTGAGCCAAGATCGCCAGTGCACTGCAGCCTGGGCAACAGAGAAAGACTCCGTCTCAAAAAAAAAAAAAAAAAAAAAAAAAAAGAAGAAAAGGAAATACCTATATTATAAAATCTCAATGTTAAAGGGTGCCTTAGGCTAATGCTGCCCAACTTTCTCATGTTATGGCACACACATAAAATGCTGCTGTCACACACACAGCCTATTGGGGTAAACAGACAAGGCTGTTTGTGGCAAGAGCAAACAACACAGGAGCTCCAGCAATCTGAAGCCCTGTGTGGCCACTTTAAGGGTAGAGGGGACAAATATCTTGCCATACCTGCCACCCATGTGCCATAGTGACGCCTGAGCAAACTGAGTGGGAAGCGCTGCCCTATATAATTGTTGCTGCAAATGTAAACTGTATCTTACACTTGCGTATGAAATAACTTTAGGTGGTACACAGTTAAACAAAAATTAATTATGTGTATATTTTAATGTGTATTAAAAATACTGGCTTTTCATTTTTAGTGATGCTAGAGTATCCTATCAAATAAAGTATATTTCAATTTAAAAAAAATTACTCTGTGCACTTATGACCAAATACCTCCTGATGACCCCTCCTCCCAATACCATCACATTAGGAGCTACCATTTCAACTTATACATGTGGTAGGGGACAGAAACATTCAATACTTAGTCGCTCCTAAAACCCTTTCGATTTCTTGAGTGATGGGGTGATAAGGGTATCTTTTGTTACCATGTTTGGTCTTAGTCCCCAGTTCTGACAGAAGAGCTTCTAAGATGCTTGGAATCTCTGGAGTGATAATAATGTCGTTTTTAATCCTAATGAGGTGACTGTGGCTGGGGGGCTTCTATGTAGCTTCAGGATTGGGGGCCAGAAGGACCAAGGCATGATTAGAGGGTTGGAAGTTTTGGCCCTACCCCAACCTCTTCTCCTACCTCCATCGAGGGCAGAGGGGCTAGAGATTATCAGCAATGGTGTAATTAATCATGCCTGTGTTATAAAACCTCCAAAAAACCCATGGGTTTTAGAGAACTTCCAGATTGGTGAATATGAGATGCCGGGAGGGTGGTGTACCTAGAAAGGTCTTGGAAGCTCTGTGTCCCCCTTCTGTAACCTTTGCCCTATGTATCTCTTCCATAAAAGTGAAAAAAAAAAAAAAAGAAAAAAAGTTTCTCCATTTAAGATAAATTAGTAATAGTACAGATGGTTTGTGGATGTGACAGAAATTGTGGTGCCGGCATGCAGGCCATAAAAATTTGGAAAACCCACCTCAGATCATTTCTCATTTGGTAGTTGAAGAAAGTTAGGCCCAGGGAGGCTAGAACTTTGCTAAGGTCACAGGACTAATTAGCAGTAAGAGCTAGGATGATGCTTGTTACCCTTCCTTACTGCCTTCGAAGTGCTCTTTCTTCTCCACTTTCTAGCTCTAGCTCTAGCCATTTTGATATCACCATCATTTTTGTCCTATTTGTGTACCAGGTACCAACTGTGCTATTACATACTAAATTTTTAAAATTAAATCAACTCAAAATTTTTATTTAAATTTGTCTTAAAAGGATTGTTTTTACTATCATAAATACATACTTGCCATAACTAGAAAGTAACTCTGAAGATAATTACAGTGAAAACAAATGTTATTAGTTCTAGCTGAGATGTTGTTGCCTGGCTGGTTCTCTGCCTGAGGTCTGTTCTGTTACTATTAAAAGATTTGCGACTATGAGACAAGTGTCAAAGACAGTCTAGCACCAAACCGAGACTTTCTTCTTTTTTCTAATCAGGATTGATAGAGAATTCACTCTCTTTGATCCAGAGTTATTAATACTGTTTGTATCACCTAAACCCATCGATTAGACTGCCTTCAGTTGTCTTGGACTTCACTAGGGTTGTGTGCTGCACACTCCCGTGTTGCTTTGGGATGCTTGTGAATTTTTTGATACCTGCCTGAGCCTTTCTGCTGATGGTCAGCAAGAGCACTGTGGGCTTTAGAAATATGTTGTGAAGGTGCCAGTGCTGTTTTCTCTGTTAAGTCTGACTTTGTCCTTTGTTGAGGATCTTAACAATCGGATTATTCCTTGTCTAACATCACCTTACGATTATTGGCACTGCCTTCTCAATGTTACTGTTCAATGAAAGGGGTGAATGCTGGCCAAATTCTTGCCAACTGTGAAAGCGGAAAGTTGCTGCCTTAATACTAGCTACCATCTCTTCATTGCTCCACAAGATGATTCTAGAAGTGTGAATGGGTTTGTTCCTATTTTTGGTGGTGTTTAGGTTGATTTTGATAACTCGGGATAAAACAGTCTTATTCATGGCTCAGTGGATTTGGGGAGTTCAAGCCTCTGGTTTCTCTGAGTGTCCTTTCTTGGCTGATGACATTAGATATTAGTTTGCAGTCTTGGTAATGGTGTGAGGCGGTCTTATAATGGTAATGAGGTTTGATATATAGCATGGAGGTTTACCTGTTCACTGTGAGTAATTTAAGTGGGATTTACCGACATGCTTTTTATTTCTCATATAAACATTTAAACAAGCTGGCTGGGTATGGTGACTCCTGCCAGTAATCTCACATTTGGGAGGCCAAGGTGGAGGATTGCTTGAGGCTAGGAGTTCGAGACCAGCCTGGGCAACATAGCGAGACTATTTCTACTATAAAACTAAAATATAGAAGCTTATAAAAGCCCGTAGACACTTAATATGTAATCAGTGGCATACTATCCAGCTAATCACATCATCAGTGAGAATTCATGACTTAATCAGATGGTGATCCATTTTGTTCTTTGTTCCATATGTTGCTGTAATAATTAACAGTGTCTCAGTATCTGTAAGTAAACAATGATGTAGTCTATAATCTGTGAGTCTTGGGTAGCTCCCTTTTGCTTGATAGCAGGAATGGATATTTAGTGATTACAAGTGTTTCACATACTGAGTAGGAGTTAGAATACTTTTGTAATAAAAATCGTTTGTGGTGTATGTTTTACTACTGTGATCACTACTAGATTTAAATCTCTAGTTATCATTTTGCTATGTGTTGGAATGGTAATTTTAGTATATTTATAGAATGGTAAATTTGGATGGGTCAGTTCAACAAGGCGTTTGGGAGACACTGGATTCTAAGCCAGGTTTTAAGGAGACATGAATAGGCTTTGGGGGAGGGTATATTCAAGTGTGTGGAACCTGAGTTGAGAGGTAACTAGAATGAAGAAACAATTACATGGGTTGTCATCTAACTTTAGAGACTTTTTTTTTATTAAGCCAAGCAGTATTACCTTCCACTAGAGCAGAGTTTGGTAAACTATGGCCCATGGGGCGGGCACCCATTTGTGAATACGAGTTTATTGGAACACAGGTTATTCAGTTAGTATTGTCTATAGGTGCTTCCGTTTTACAATGGCAGAGGTGAGTAGTGACAGACACCAGATGGCTGGCGAGGCTAAAATATTTATTCTCCACTTTGTTACATTAGTACCAGATGGAGGAATTTATATTCTAGAAAAACACCACCTCAATATTCTCTCTTGTCACTTTTTTGTATGTCCCTTGTCATTTGATACTTAAGGCATCGTGGCTGTCTTTACATTTTTATTGTAAATATCTTACTATCATTTTTTCCTATCCTTTATGTATGACCTAGTGTGGTCAGAATAGCATACTTGAGAAACTGAGGTGTTTATGGATTTTAACAGTGAGATTTTTATTATAATGAGTTGCTGCTTCGTTTCCTAAAGCAAGACATTTCTTTATTGCAGCGTCCTTGAGACTTTGTGCTGCGCGGGGTGCTCACTCAATCTTGGCTACGTGTACAGATGCACGCCCAAGAATCTTGATTACAAGAGAGACTTGTTTTGCCTCAGTGTTGAAGCCATTGAAAGGTAAGTTTGATATATAAATGTTTACCTCACAACTGGTGTTTCAGAAAGTTAAGGCACGGAATTGTCAGAACTAAATCAATACTGTTTGGTTAAATATATTTTCAAGTAATGATTTCTAACAAGCCAGTAATTTTTTTTTTTTTTGCTTTGACCTCCTTCTTTATTTGGTATTGGAAAAGTCAGACACTCTAAATTGTAGGAGAAAACACTGTGAGAAAATTTTTGGAATAAAAGTATATTCAGTTGTTTTTAAAAATTGAAAGTAGTTCAGTAGGATATTGCCCCCTGCCCCCAGCTTTTTATTTTTATTTATTTTAAAACTTATTTTTTTAAGATATGGGGTCTCACTCTGTCGCCCAGGCTGGAGTGCAGTGCTGTGGTCATAGCTTTCTGCATCCTTGAACTCCTGGGCTCCAGCGATCCTCCTGCCTCAGCCTCCCAAGTAGCTAAGACTACAGGCATATTGCCCGGGGTCTTGTGTTGCCCAGGCTGGTTTCAAACTCCTAGCCTCAGATGATCCTTCTGTCTCAGCCTCCTGAATAGCTGGGAACAAGTGCATGCCACCACACCCAGCTTGTATTTTAACCTTGTACCGTACTTCAGTTATGTTTTAGGGTCCTCTGAAAAGCAAATTGTGTCAGAAGATAAAGAGCTTTTTAATCTTGAAAGCAGAGTTGAAATAGAAAAGTCTCTAACACAGGTAATTTTATTCTGTACATTTTATATCTTTGTATGAACAGTTTGTCAGTGAAGAAGTGCTCCCCCACAAACGATAATTCTCATAACGTCATCTGTGTTGATTGCAGGAAGAGTGTGCTTATTTCATTTCAGTTGTTAGTAAAGTTGATTTTTGGGGAACTCAAAAGCTAAAGCTTAATCAACAAAATAATGAGGAAGACATGTCATGTCAAAATCAAAACTATATATTAAAACACTGCAAAGCTAGAAATACATCTTTGATTCAAATCAGTATTTTGTTTGATTCAATTCTTGTGGTATAAATAGCCTTGTTGTTGGATGTTAACATTTTCTCATTGCCAGATAGGTGAGATGGTGATGATTGTATAAAAGAGATGTAGATTATAGGTTGAGAACTACTGTTGATAGAATTATGCTTTATTTTTAAAAAATTTATGCCTCTAAATAGTTTTGTTAAACACTGAATATCTACCTTGTAATGTATGACATATCCAAAATTGCATTAAGTGTATATCTTAATTATATTTAACCATGTATAATTTTTAATTATATGTGTGTTTCTTTATTTTTTTATTTTTTAAATTCAATAGATGGAAGATGTCTTGAAAGCATTACAAATGAAGCTGTGGGAGGCCGAATCCAAATTGTCCTTTGCCACTTGTAAAAGCTGAACTCTAGTCTGTGTCCTCCATTCTGCCCCCGCCCTTCCTCCCCTTATTTGTTAAATGAAGCAACATAGTGAGACGTCGTCTCTACAAAAAAAAAAAGAAAAAAAAAATTAGCCAGGCATGCGAAACGCTGAGGTGGGAGGATCAGATGAGCTTGGGAGGTTGAGGCTGCAGTGAGCCTTGGTCATGCCACTACTGTGTTCTAGTCTGGGCAACAGAGTGAGACCTTCTCTCAAAAAAAAAACCCAAAATTGTAGAATTACTTCTATAGCTATATTTTATGATAAAGAAGTGATTGTTTCTCAAAATCGCATTTTAAAGACGTTTTATGGTACTTGTTGGAATTGGGACTTAGGAGTTTTGATTTTGATAAGAAACTGGGATAATTTTCTGAACTTTTTTTCCTCTGTATCACATTTATTTACTATTTTTAAAAACTTTGACATTTAACACTTGGGACAACATTTATTATAAATGATAAGAAAAATCTTAGAGGTTTGTCTACCCACAGTGTCATGGAATCTTCTCTGAAAACTAATCCATAAAGTTCCCTGGAGAAATTGGTCAGAATGATCTGTCAGAACCATTTGAAAACTTGCTCAAGAGCAGTTGCTTATATATAGTAGGATTTTACTTTTTCCTGCTTATGTACTACTATATGCTTAAAAAACCTGGAGGAATACTTACCAAAGAGGAGTAACCATCTCTGAGGGTGGGATTCTGGGGGAATTTTTGTTTTTTTCTGTTTTCTATAATGTGAAACTTTTGTAGTATGTATTTTTCTAATTGAAGAGAATAAAGATTAAAACAAAGTGCTTTAAGATTGATTTTTACAAACTGAATTGTATTTAACTGAGATCAGAAATCCTGGTGCTGTGAAATCCACACATTACTGAGCATGGCAGTGTGGAAGGCCTGCTCAGGAATATAAAGGTAACCCCAAATTTCCCCAGACCCCTTTGTTTCTGGGTGTGAGTGAGGTCACGGAACAGTACTCAGTGGTATGAGTAACTCAGCGTTTGCTCCGAAGTTCCCTGATTACTTGTGAGAATACTAAAGTTCTCAGAGCAAAAGGTCCTAAGTCACATTGACTGGATCATGCAGGATTCTTCTGTTCTTTCTGAGAGATTGTCGACAGCCTCAGTTAACGTTGAGTGAGTCCTTTAGGCGTTCTCTCTCGCAGGCTACTCTCCCACTAACAGACTATGGTGCTGTGGAAGCAAACGTCAACACCCGCTGGCAACAAGGCAGCATCCAGCTGCAGTAAGCTCGATGTAGTCCCAGGTGTCTGTCCTCTTAGGTGCTTTGGTGGCACCTTGTGTGAAAATGCATTCTAAACAGATGAGAGAGTATTTTAGCCACAAGACTCAGCTGACTCTCTGGTTGTGCAGGTTACAGAGTACTCCAGCAAGCATTTTCAGATTCCATTCCAAAGCCATAGGCAATTTGGCTCCCCGATTCCTTATACCCTGTTCATACTAGGGAAGGAAGGGGCTGTACAATATTTGTAGCCAGTTCACTCATCTTGAAAACTCATTTCACCAATGAAAAGTAATTTCTAATATCTTGGTACTAATTAAGATTCTGTTACAGATCAGAAGATAAATGTAGCTCATGCCTTAGTGGCTGCCTCTAGAGTGGGCCTTTGATTACCTTTCCATCTCTGCACGTGTATTCCTGTTAGGGTTCTTCACATGAAGTTAACGAGGCTCCCTTGGGCTGCAGACAGAAGCCAGCACACATTTGTATTACATGGTCTCCACTGAAGCATCTGAACGTCAATCCAGGAAATACTGTGTTTCATAAGACAGTCTTCATCTTTGGCCTCAACCTGTGGCATCCCTGAAGGGGTGGCCTTGCCATCACAGTGAGAGGGACTTCCAAGGCTGGGGTCCAGGTGGGAGTGCTGCATCCTGTCTGTGCTGCATGGTGACACTGGCAGGAGAGGGGACTTCCCCTGTTGTGGGCCACCCTGTCCTGGGCCGCTTGTTTCTCTGAAGCCTGGTGGCATGGCTTTTCTGGCTTTCTGTGAGGTCTCATCAGAACGTGTGTGTGTGTGTGTGTGTGTGTGTTTAACTTGTCCCATATATCCACCTGCTAAAACCTACTACTTGAGGCAACAAGTTTTTGTTTCTTATAATTGGAAAACCCAGTGTGTGGTCGTTTCTGGTAAATGAGCCCTGGGGAAGCACTGCCTGTGAGCAGGAGTAAGGGTCCAGAAGCAGTGTGTCCGGAATTGGTGGGTTCTTGGTCTCACTGACTTCAAGAATGAAGCCGCGGACTCTCGCAGTGAGTGTTACAGCTCTTAAGGTGGCGCGTCTGGAGTCTGTCCCTTCTGATGTTCAGATGTGTTCGGAGTTTCTTCCTTCTGGTGGGTTCGTGGTCTTGGTGGCTCAGGAGTGAAGCTGCAGACCTTCGCGGTGAGTGTTACAGCTCTTAAGGCAGCGCGTCTGGAGTTGTTCGTTCCTCCCGGTGGGCTAGTGGTCTCACTGGGCTCAGGAGTGAAGCTGCAGATCTTTGCGGTGAGTGTTACAGCTCATAAAAGCAGCGTGGACCCAAAGAGTGAGCAGTAGCAAGATTTATTGCAAAGAGCGAAAAAACAAAGCTTCCACAGTGTGGAAGGGGACCCGAGCAGGTTGCCAATGCTGGCTCGGGCAGCCTGCTTTTATTCTCTTATCTGGCCCCACCCACATCCTGCTGATTGGTAGAGCCGAGTGGCCTGTTTTGTCAGGGCGCTGATTGGTGCGTTTACAATCCCTGAGCTAGATACAAAGGTTCTCCACGTCCCCATCAGATTAGTTAGATACAGAGTTTCCACACACAGGTTCTCCAAGGCCCCACCAGAGCAGCTAGATAGAGTGTTGATTGGTGCATTCACAAACCTTGAGCTAAACACAGGGTGCTGATTGGTGTATTTACAAACCTTGAGCTAGATACAGAGTGCCGATTGGTGTATTTACAATCCTTGAGCTAGACATAAAGGTTCTCCACGTCCTTGCCAGAGCAGCTAGATACAGAGTGTTGATTGGTGCACTCACAAACCTTGAGCTAAACACAGGGTGCTGATTGGTGTATTTACAATCCCTGAGCTAGATATAAAGACTCTCCATGTCCTCACCAGAGCAGCTAGATACAGAGTGCCGATTGGTGCACTCACAAACCTTGAGCTAAACACAGGGTGCTGATTGGTGTATTTACAATCCTTGAGCTAGATATAAAGACTCTCCACGTCCCCACCAGACTCAGGAGCCCAGCTGGCTTCACCTAGTGGATCCCGCACCGGGGCTGCAGGTGGAGCTGCCTGCCCGTCCTGTGCCCTGTGCTCGCATTCCTCAGCCCTTGGGTGGTCGATGGGACTGGGCGCCATGGAGCAGGGGGTGGTGCTCGTCGGGGAGGCTCGGGCCACACAGGAGCCCATGGAGTGGGTGGGAGGCTCAGGCATGGCGGGCTGCAGGTCCTGAGCCCTGCCCCGCGGGAAGGCAGCTAAGGCCTGGCGAGAAATCCAGCACAGCGCCGGTGGGCCGGCACTGCTGGGGGACTCAGTACACCCTCCGCAGCCACTGGCCCAGGTGCTAAGTCCCCCATTGCCCGGGGCCAGCAGGGCTGGCTGGCTGCTCCAAGTGCGGGGCCCACTAAGCCCACGCCCACCCGGAACTCCAGCTGGCCCGCAAGCGCCACACGCAGCCCCAGTTCCCGCTCGTGCCTCTCCCTCCACACCTCCCTGCAAGCTGCGGGAGTGGGCTCCAGCCTTGGCCAGCCCAGAAAGGGGCTCCCACAGTGCAGTGGGGGGCTGAAGGGCTCCTCAGATGCCACCAAAGTGGGAGCCCAGGCAGGGGAGGTGCCGAGAGCAAGCGAGGGCTCTGAGGACTGCCAGCACGCTGTCACCTCTCAGCAGGAGGCGGATGTCCCAGGCCAAACCACACGGGACCCAGCAGAGGCTTCAGACAGATCTCCCCAGAAGTTACTCCTTCGGCCATTCTCATAAAGGGCACTCCCTAGTTCTTTAGGGAGAAGATAGGGAAACTGATTCCAGAACCTGGTATGCGGCCTTTAAAGATTGTTGTAACTGGATGTTTGTAGAACATTGTGCCTGTTTTTCATCCCAGAGTGTGGGTGCTGTCCTTGGCAAGTTCTCCAGTCATGCTCATACATTTCCAAGCTAAAGAGTCCACTGGAGGCACCATTCTGTGTAGCATCGATGCCTGAATGGCATGTGTCCTACCCGGATGATTCTAGTCAAGCATGGGACATTTAAAATGCTCAAGACCAGGAGAGGGACCCGTTGCAGAATCAGATCTAGGTTTTCAGTAGGAACTTCTTAAACCAAGGAGCCATGAGCAAAGCTTCCCCCAGCTTGTTTTTGAAGGAGGGTCTTGGGGGTAGCAACCAGAAATCCAGGGTCAAAGTCCCAGTTTAACTGCTTTATTAGCCATGTGATCAGGGGCAAATCATGTAATCATCTGTTTTTGCATCTGTATAATGAAAGTATAATAACCTGTCTTCCCTGCGTCAAGGATGATCAAATTAGATAATGCATATGACACTACTTTGAAAGCAGTAAAACATCATAAAAATAAAGGATAAAGATTTAGCCTTATTTAAATAGAGTCAATCTGATTCAGTCTTGTAGCCAGTCTATACATAATCTGAAATGCTATATATTTTTTCTAAACTATATAACATTTATTGGCTTTATTTTTTTCCCAGTTGTAAACATTGCACAAAATCTGAAAAATAGAAAAAAGCACAAAGAAGAAAATAAAGCACATAATCTTACAATTAATAATTACTCACATTTTGAGGTATATCCTTCTAGTCATTTTTATATGCAAATTTGGGGTCATACTGGTCACACTATTTTCACTTAAAATATTTCCTAAAAATATTTCTATATAATCGAATATTATTTTATAACCTGAGTTTTAATGATCACCTAGGATGAGAACCATATTTAAAAGCTTGTTTAAATGTGATTATACAGTATGAAATTCACACTTTTTAGTGGTTTATTTAACAACTGAGTTTACTAACCAAATAAAAGACAGGGCATGAAAGAAATCTTAGACCACTCACCTCTTTGTCTAGCTCCAGTGGTGTGCAGGGGAGAGCCAATTATGAAATTTTCAGGAATTTTGTCAGCTGGTCATTAAACTGTTGGTAGCTTGAAATTGGCCATAATGGGGATATTTACACCTGAGAAATCAGAAAGTGCTTAAAAAAAAAAAAAAAAAAGAAGGCTTCCCCGACCCCAGCTGGGTTTGCAGCATATTGCTGTGTATTCCTTTTATACTGTTTGACTTAAAGTTGAAAAGAGAAAGTGACTTCTCTTTTCAACACCCAAAAGAACAAGTCCTAACATCTTTTCGTTTAGTACGTCTAAAATGAAACTCATTTTTTTTTAAAGTTAGCCATGTCTGGAAATACGATTTTATTTATTTTGGGACAAAGTCTCACTCTGTTACCTAGGCTGGAGTGCAGTGGCACGATCTGGGCTCACTGCAACCTCTGCCTCCTGGGTTCAAGCGGTTCTTGGGCCTCAGCCTCCCAAGTAGCTGGGACTACAGGCGCGTGCCACCACGCCTGGCTAATTCTTGTATTTTTATAATAGTAGAGACAGGGTTTCACCATGTTGGCCAGGCTGGTCTCAAACTCCTGGCCTCAAGTGACCCGCCCGCCTCAGCCTGCCAAAGTGCTGGGATTACAGGCGTGAGCCACTGTGTCCAGTCTCATTCTAAGACTTTAGGGATTACAGCCACATTCTCCACCTCTCCTGGAGAAAACCCAAAATACCTGAAACAAATGACTTAAAATTTTATATAAGTAGTTGATGTTATGTACATCTATTTTGCTCTCCCCAGATAGGATAAATAACTGGGCAGTTGCTTGCCAGTGAACACCCAGAGACAATTTGTTAGCAATGACTTTTGAACTAAGGGAGAATAACTTATTTTTTGATCTAATCTGACATATTTTGGGTATTGATCATTAATTTTTTTAGTGAGAGCTGAGTTCTATCTGTAGGCTAATTCACTATTTAGGCAGCTAATCACGAGGGCACGAGTGCAGTCATGGCCAGTCTATAGAGTTGTAGTTTCTTTGGGATAGTCACACCTGTTTAAATCCCAGTGATAAGCTCGAAGGTAGAGAAGGGAGGGGAGTTTGGGATGAGGAATGGATGTGCTGGGGCCTAGAGTTTTATTGGCCTAAATGTGATTTCAAATAGAACTGGCCTCATTTCATTCAAGTTGGCTCTGTGGACCTCTACTAATTAGCTTAACAAAATTAAATGAACTCTATAACTCTTTTTTTCCCTGAACAATTACCACCATGGTTTTTAGTTCTTCTCTTATCTAATTTTAAGGCAGAGATGGACAAGGTGACCCTTCAAGGGCTCTTCAACCTTCTAATTCACGTAACCCTGAAAGGAAATGAGAAATGTTGAAAGGGGGGAAGTGAGACCATGAACCAACTGTGTGGATCTGAGGAAATGGGATAATTGAGGTCTCTCCAGGATGTCGTCACTTTCACGTTTCTCTCCATTAACCGTTGTCCACCCTTACCAGGAGCTGCGGGGCTTGTCATTTTGGGGGCTTCTTGAGAACAGTAGAAATTTTGAGAAAGTAAAACGTGTGTTTGATTGCATAACATTTTCCAAACCAAAAAGAAGAGCATGTAGCCATTTTGAGGAGAAACCTTAGGAAGCCTTCCAAGGGTTTTTCTCAAAACAGGACAGCTGCTTTTTGACTGTCACAACTGCTTCCCTAGGGATGGCTTTTCTTTTCTAAGATAGCACTTAACGATCATTTAGGAGGTGCGGAGCACTGTGCTTGGGGCTCCATGTATGTTACTACCTCATTCTCACAGAACCCTCTTCCGTAGGAAGCATCATACCCATTTTACACATGCAGAAACTGAGGCTCAGAGACTTTAAATTGCCTGAAGTCCCACTTGGCTAATAAGCAGACCTAGTGCCTTCCTTCTGTGCATGGCTGCCTTCTTCCCTCACTCTGAGCTTGTTTTTTAGCAGTAAAACACATAAAGGGACATTGCGTCAGTTAATATAGTATTAGCAATCTTAGCGTCTAGAAGGGTTTAGAAATCCTGAGCTTCTCTCTTTTTCTTCTGTAGAACACAGTGAACTCAGCATGAGTTCCTTTCCCTGCAGTTGTCCCTCCCTTGAGATTCTCTGGCTACCAGATCCCCCAGCCCCTCTTCTGCCCAGAGGTACTGTCTGGCCTCTCTTTCAAGCTCTCACCTCTCCGTGTGTCTTCTTGGCTGTGTCGTGTGCCACCTCCTTTGAGTCATTTATTTTACTTTATTGCGGTTATCATTGTTGGGCATTATATTTTACATTTGTTTGTTGGTTTAATGTCTGTCCTGCCATTGGAGTGTTAGCTCCACGAGGGCAGGGATTTTATCCATCTCATGGCCTGGGCCAAAAAGAATGCAGCCCCGTAATACGTGCTCATTCCATCTTCAATGGAACAAATGAATGTTGCTGCATCGAGCATCTGTTTACTCACATCTTCATTCTCTAACCACTCTATTGATTCTTTATCTTGACCCGCAAGCATACTTACGTCTCATCTTGGTGACAAAGAGCCCTCCCGTGGCCCAGGCACCTCGCTGAACTGCTCTCTTATTTTTAACCGCACTGACTTTGCCCACTCAACACTTCAACTCTGGGCTTTTGGTCCTCCAGGCATCTTGCTGAAACTACTCTCTTGAAGGCCGCCAGTGAGTTCCTACAAAGTGTTACTGTCTGTCTGAAATCCCTAAAATTTCCAACAATTTAAAATTGTTCTCCCCTTTAACATTTTCTTCTTGATTGCCCGCATTTCTGAGCGAGGCATAATGATGTATGCAGGGGCTGGATGCCATGGGGCCTGGGGTTTGTGGTAAAATGTCGGTAAAGTAACCACACAGCAAAAGGGATAGTATGGCCCTCATCTTAATCTCTGCTGATTATTTATGAATGGGCACGGGTGGGGGTTCATTATATCTGCACTTTTGAGTGTGTATGGTTTATTTTAGGTCGTCTCACTCTGTCGCCCAGGCTGGAGTGCAGTGGTGCCATCTCGGCTCACTGCAACCTTCGCCTCTGGGTTCAAGTGATTCTCCTGCCTCAGCCTTCCAAGTAGCTGGGAGTACAAGCATATGCCACCACGCCCGGCTAATTTTTGTGTTTTTAGTAGGGATGGGGTTTCCCATGTTGGCCAGGCTGGTCTCGAACTTATGACCTCAGGTGATCCTCCTGCCTTGGCCTCCCAAAGTGCTGGGATTATAGGCATGAGCCACTGCACCTGGCCTGTGTATTGTTTGAAAATTTTTATGAAACCAAAAACAAACAAGTTTGCTTTCATCCTTGGGCATTGATGGCGTCCGACTTGCCCAGTGGCCTCCTGCCTCCTTGCTGCTGCTTTGCCGGAGTTCACCTTCCTCCTGCTTCTCCCGGGCTCTGCCTTTGCCCTCCTTTCTCTCTCTGCAGTCTCTCTTGGCTACTTCCGCCCTGCCAGGATTTCAGTGATCATTCCTGTGTCTCTAATTCCCACAGCCCTCAATTGTCTCCCCGGGTCCCTGGTCCTGAGTTTCTAATGATCTGCCGACATCCCCTGGATATGCCCTGTGTACTCTCTGTCTCACACCTGACCCTTTTGTATATATACAGTTCTTACTTGTCCTTCAAGATCTTGCTTGAGTGCCACTTCCTCCAGGAAGCCCTTGCTGATTTCTCAGTCAGATGTCATTTCTCCCACTTCATTATTCTTAAATGACTTCAGCATGGTCTGACCTTATTACTTAGATTTTGTATTCTAGTTTTGTGGGAACTGTTCCTGGAATACTAGGGTTGTGTTTTCCAGAGATCCAACATGTTGTGGGACCTTGTACACTGGAGGCAATTCATACTTTGTAGACCAGTTATGATGGTAAATGGAAAAATCTGAAAAAAAAAAAGCTGAGAAAAATGGTTCCACCAAAGTATTCAAAATTGCTTTTCATATTTCAGAATTGACATATAAGAGTAAAAAGAAAGTAACCCAAACTGCAGTGGTGCTGTGGGGCTAGCATAAAATGTTAATCAGGTAAATAGGAACTCAAAGGAAATTTACCAAATTGAGCTCATTTACATGTGTAATTACCCATCTGTGATCATTCTACTGTTCTATTTATTCTGTCTTTCTCCTCCCACACTGGGTTAAAAATACTTTGTATTAAAGATTTTCTTCATAACCAAATACAATGAATTCTTGGGATTGGGGGTGGGGTGGGGTGTGAATGCCACTCTGACACTGGAAACAAGATGCCGGAGTGGGCCTCAGTGCGCGCTGTCTGGGTGCAAGGGAGAAGCCCGGCAGATACACATTAACGCCACCTTCAGACAGGCACATCCCAAGAGGAGACTTGGAGGCAATGGCATTGAAAACCACCTGCTGCTTTCAGTGATCAAGAAAGAAACCTGTGGCTTTCATGAATGCGGAATCCATAAGACACAGTCAGATGCCGTCCTGGAATGGTTGCTTCCTGAAGTAGGAAGGTCCAGAGTAGGCTAGGAAGGTGTCAGGGAGTGGGCTGTCTCCTCACAGGATACTCTTTCTTAGGGGGAAATGATGACCTTGAGCTGAGGTAAGGAGGCCCTTGAGCTTGAAGATGCGAAAGAAAAGTGGCTCCCCAGCCTTCTCAGTGCTTGGGTGTGGGAAAGAATTGTAACCCCTGGGAGGCCAAGGCGAGGCAGAGAATGCCCTCCAGAGGCCTGCGGTCTTGGAGCGAGGAGGCCCTGACAGAGGAGACCTGGCCAACCCTTCCCTCGAGCCCCTGGCCACTCTCAGGGTGGGCATTGCCTGAGGCTTATCAGAAATGCAGACCCTGGCTGGGCACGGTGGCTCCCACCTGAAATCCTGGCACTTTGGGAGGCCGAGGCAGGAGGATCGCTTGAGTCTAGGAGTTCGAGACTGGCCTGGGCGACATAGCAAGACCAGCAAGACTCTACGAAAAAATTAAAAAGTTAGCAGTGGTAGCGTGCACTTGCAGTCCCAGCCACCCTGGAGGCTGAAGTGAGAGGACTGCTTGAGCCTGGGAGGTCGAGGCTGCAGTGAGCTGTTATCTTACCACTGCACTCCGTCCTGGGCAACAGGCCTATCTCTAAGTAAGTAAGTAAGTAAGTAAATAAATAAATAAATAAATAAATAAATAAATAAATAAATAAAATGCAGACCCTCACGCCTCATCCAGGCCCGCTGAACCAAACCTGTGCTGCTGCAACAAGATGCTAGGTGGTCCCCAGGCACGTTCAAGTGTGACACGAGCTGACTTAGGGGACAGTTCTTCCCGGCTTTCTTGAATAAAATGGTTCTTTTATATGTTGGTGCGTTTTGGTGTGATTACTAATTTTGCTGAGTACCGTAGTCATTTTTTCAGTGTCACTGTTTGACATGCTGTAAAGTAGGTTAGTATCACTCTCAGGCTGTGAGTCGGACTTTTTGTTTTGTTTCCCCAATCAGGCCACAAGGGGCCGCATTTCACCATGTAAACATTCATCGTGTCCAGCCTGTTCACAACCACAGTGGGAAACTCAGTAGCTGCAGGAGGCCCTGTCCAACAGGAAGGTTGCCTCATTGCAACCTGACTTTATCCCTTCACTCCTGTAACCAACATTCTTAATTAAAATAAAATAATAGTCAAGGCCCCCCGTCCCCGATGCAGCCCCCATCAGACTGCTAACAGCTTTTTCGGTATTCGTCCCTAAAATTGCTTACATCTACACTTGCACAGGATTTTCCCCAAGGCACTAGCATTCTACACTGGAAGTTAATTATGTTTTCTCTTTCAGTCGTTTTCTGTTTTCATGACTCAGATTTGTTACTAAATCCCCTCCCCCAATGCTTTCTGAGTCCTTAATGCTGTGTTTGCCAGCTCAGTTTGGAGTTGCCGGCTGAGAGGTGGCAGTCTTCCGGAATAAGGACATTTCTGATCACCTTGCTAATGTGTCTGACTCACACGAGACTTGGCAGGAACCCTCTATCTGTATTAATGCTATAGATTCCTTTGGAAAGATTAAGGAACAGTGCTATCTTGTTATGGGTCAAGACATCCAAAGCACATTATTTAGACGACAACATTGTCCAAAGCTTTAAAGTGAACTCAGGCAACTACATTTTATGCCAGACTTCCATTTGCTGAAACAGATTAAAAAAATACTCGTGCATTAAGTGATTATGCAGAGGCAAAGTGGTAGTTCTGTGAGGTTCCAGCACACTGGGAGTCCTGGAGCCTTGGGGTGTGTGTCCTACGGAGCCTCCAACAACTGGAGCAATTTCACATCCCTGGCGTCCATCTCCCAGGCTAGGTTTCCTCATCTGTAGAAAGAAGGGGTTGGATTAGGATGCTCCGTAGGTTTCCTTTTAAAAGTAATCTAAAAAAGCAATCAGAAATGTTTTGTTATTTTAATTAGGTATTGATTTGAAATGGAAACCTCGATTGATAGCTGATAGAGGCTCATCTAAGGCATTTGTAATCTGATGGACATAGACAATATTCTGCCCATTAGAGAACCAAGACCACAAAAGAAGCTTAGAATAGAAGAGCCGCCCACATTTGCTGCTGCTGTGTAATGAACAGTTGTAGGTGGCACCAGGTGCATGTCTTGAAGAAATTCTTGAATCAGCTCATGGAATTCTGAACTGGATTAAAACATGGGCACGTGAACATTTTATTTAACAGCATCTCTGGCTGCCAACATTTCACCAAGAATCTTCATTATTAAAGTGCACTGGTTATTCCTTTTGCCATCATTTGAGTTACTCTCTGTGAAGAAGACAGATGTCTTGCTATAGTCATTTCACTTGCTCAAGTTCCCCTGTCCTCTCTCCTCAATCGCTATGTCCCCCTTAGCGAAGCCATAACCAGTCGAAACTTAAGTGAGTCAGCTTTGGATGTCAGCCATAGAGCAGGCGAGCCAAGTCCCGTGATGCCAGCCCCTGGACAGAGTTTCCAAGGCAACAACTGCTGTGTTTCTCTCCACTCTGAAGGAAAACCTGGGAGAATCCAGTCCTGATGTGGCTGTTAAGGGAGCCAGGGTGGGGGAAAACAATCTGTGAATGAGCAGACTTTCGTTCTAGCCTGTTTTTTTTTCCTCTGTAAGAATGAGTCTTATTCACATGCATTTTTCTGTAGCTCTGAAATGAGGATTTGAATTGAACTGTTTGAGATGGGTGGTTAAAAGAAAATATACACAGATCATCAGTCTGAGAAGCACTAGATGATCATGCAGATTAAGAAGTAATAAAGTCAGAATTCTCACAGGAACAAGAGATCATTTTTGTCACTGAGTACAAGAAAGATTAGCATGAGCCAAGACACAGAGGCCGAAAAAGGGGCAAGGGACAGTCCCCACTGAGAACAGCTTCCATCTTCAATGTTTTTCTCATCATTAGTAGGACTATAAAAATTATTGTCCAAATCAGGGCACATTCGCGAAACAGGGAATGTCTAATAATTAAGTCGGGATGACAGATGTCAATTGTCCCGGGAAAACCAGCACACGTGTCACCGTACTTTTTATGCCTCCCGGTAGAGAGCCATTGAACAAAGGTGGCCTTAGCTACCGGAGTGTGACAGCCACGAGGCTCAAGTGAGAGAGGAGGATGCCAAGTCATCCGATGAAACTGAGTCGGGTGGGAATGGAATAGAGAAATGAAAGAAATGTGGACAGGTTTGAACAGCAGCTCAGGGAAATTTGATGATAGATCAAGCAGAAATAGATTAAAAAGACTTCGAGGCAGTGGTACTCTCTGAGGGAGCACAATTTGGGGTGGCCCAGTCAATGGTTTTGTGATTTTGTCCAGTAAAGAGTAGAGTAATTCTCTTTAGGTTTGAGCAGCAATACACGAGGTTTCTGGGGAGAACAATCCCAACATAGTAGACATCAAAAAAATGTTTAATAATGAATCTTCTGTTTCCTGAAGAAATTCGCTAAAAGTAGACATCAGTAAGCTTGTGAAACACATTTATGGTTATCCTCAAAGAAGTCAACTGAGTTTACCATCCATAGCCAGTTAGGGATGAGATAAAATAGATGGAAATGGCTGAACTTTTACACTATTAAATGTACTTACCCCAGGCGTAAACACGTTTGTTCTTTTTTTTTTTTTTGGGACAGAGTCTCGCTCTGTCACCCAGGCTGGAGTGCGGTGGCACGTTCTTGGCTCTCTGCAAGCTCTGCGTCCCAGGTTTACTCCATTCTCCTGCCTCAACCTCCCGAGTAGCTAGCACTACAGGCGCACACCGCCACGCCTGGCTAATTTTTTCTGTATTTTTAGTAGAGATGGGGTTTCACCGTGTTAGCCAGGATGGTCTCGATCTACTGACCTCGTGATCCACCCTCCTCGGCCTCCCAAAGTGCTGGGATTACAGGCGTGAGCCACCGCGCCTGGCCAAGCACACATTTATTCTTTAACTAGATGGGTCTTCCTGCTGAAATAACTTTGAAACTTCAAAAAGTACCCAAGAATGCCAAGCGCGGTGGCTCACGCCCGTAATCCCAGGACTTTGGGAGGCCGAGGTGGGCAAATCACTTGAGGTCAGCAGTTCAAGACCAGCCTGGGCAACATGGGGAAACCGCATCTCTACTAAAAAAATACAAAAATTAGCCGGGCATTGTGGCACACACCTGTAATCCGAGCTACTCAGGACGCTGAGGCAGGAGAATCACTTGAACCCGGAAGGCGGAGGTTGCAGTGAGCCAAGATTACATCACCGCACTCTACCCTGAGCAATAGAGCAAGACTCCGTCTCAAGAAAAAAAAAAAGTACCCAAGAAATGTATTTTTACCGTAGAAAAATTAGAAGATTCTACAGAAAACTGAAATGAAGACAGTAAAAGTATCTACAATCCAAGTATCTCCATAAGTAACCACTATTAATATCTTAGGGTATATCCTTCCACATGATTTCCTATGCATTTTATTTATACATATAATTATAAAAAGGACAGCTTGCTGTGCATATTCTATATTACTATATTATGAATAGTTTGATATATCACCAAATATACTTTTGCAACTTTGTTTCAATGACTGCATAATATTTCACAATATTGAATAGTTCACTTAACCAAACTCTCGGCGTTATGTACTAGGCTGTTTCTAGACTTTTTTGTACTACAAACAATGTAGTTTTGAACATCTAGTGAAATCTTTGTGCCATATAATGAATGAATCTGGATTGTGTGAATTTGGTGGGAGAACTGAGGCTGTTAAATCTGGGCCCGGATTAAGATGTGGAATGAACATACAATGAGAATAAAAGAGGAGACGGATTCTAGGTCCGGCCCAGCATAGAACCCTAAGCATGTTACTTAACCTCCCTCTGGTTAGTTTTCTTATTTATAACAACATGACAAAAGTTAGACATAATTAATGAAATCTTGAACTGGTTTACTGAAAGGATTAGATATGGTAAAGGTGTGAAAAACCATTTAAAGTTATAAAGCAGTTTACTTTTTTTTTTTTTGAGACCGAGTTTCACTCTTCTTGTCCAGGCTGGAGTGCAATGACGCAATCTTGGCTCACTGCAACCTCCACCTCCCGGGTTCAAGTGATTCTCCTGCCTCAGCTTCCCAAGTAACTGGGATTACAGGTGCCTGCCACCACACCTGGCTAATTTCTTTTTGTATTTTTAGAGACAGGGTTGGCCAGGCTAGTCTTGAACTCCTGACCTCAGGTGATCCACCTGCCTCTGCCTCCCAAAGTGCTGGGATTACAGGCGTGAGCCACCACGCCTGGCCAAAGCAATTTACTTTTTCTGGGGTCGGGGGTTGGAGTCTCACTCTGTCGCCCAGGCTGGAGTGCAGTGGCATGATCTTGGCTCACTGCAACCTCCGCCTCCCAGGTTCAAGTGAGTCTCCTGCCTCAGCCTCCCAAGTAACTGGGACTACAGGCACACACCACCACACTCGGCTATTGTATTTTTAGTAGAGACAGGGTTTCACCATATTGGACAGGCTGGTCTCGAACTCCTGACCTTGTGATCCACCCACCTTGGTCTCCCAAAGTGCTGGAATTACAGGCGTGAGCCACCGCCCAGCCAGCAATTTACTTCTATAGGGATTTATGATTTTTTTTTCAAAATGCTGTTTAAAAAAAACTCTATTAAATCAACTAAAACTATTTCCAATTTTTTGACTTTCTCCAGGAATACAAATTTTTATGAACCAATTGAATGTTGAGTAATTTGGAAGCTGTGGTGCTTGAATGGGTGCTTTTGGGGAGAAGCTTCTAGGAGCGTTTTGGGCTAATCAGATAGCAGCCTGCCTTCTGAATTATGACAACCCAAAGGCAGAGGGAGCAAAGGCTTTGCAAAGGGTCCCACTTGGTGGAGGGGGAAGTAACCCTTGCTGTGTGATTGCAGTGGGGGCAGGTCGCTCACTCTCCCGCTCCCCTCCCTGGGGCTCCCATCAGCCAGGAGTCTGCTAAAGCCTGCTCTGAAAATGGAGTGATCTGGGCATGATGCTGTCCAGCCCCAGAGACAGAGGCCAGCTTGCTGTCAGAGATAAAAATGGCTGTTGAAAGTGGAGTCAGAACAAAAATATGTTAATAATGAATTCTGGGAATTTCAGCCACCCTTGGGAGCAGGCCTAATGGGGGGTGGGGGGAGGGCGATTAGGTAACATGAATGGAAAGCTTGCAGGCCAAATGAGCTCCAAAGGGACAATCCTCAGCTGGAAACTGCGCATGCCCGCTGTGTACCTGTCACTCACCAATAGGATGCAGAAGCATTGGGAGAAATGCCTCTGACCACACGCAAAGCGGCATAGAGCCTTCCTTCCCTCCCCTGCTCATCTGCAGGCCATCAGTGCACAACTCTGATGCTGGGGGTCGTGCGGGGGGGCACCATCTGCATGGTGTTCTATGGAGTGGCCCCCTAAAGCGCATCCCACCCTTCCGTCCTCGCCCAGGTGGAGAAGTCCCGAGCACAGCTCCCCTAAAGCACATCCCATCCCTCCATCCTTTCCTAGCTGGAGAGGTCCCAAGGGCAGCTCCTTCCTTAGTTCTCTAAGCCTAGGAGGGATCTGGGCATAGAGTAGATGCTCACTGTGCACTCACCAAATGGACGAGTGAGTAGCATCAGACCCCGAAGTGGGAGATCTCTGCACCACCTGTCTGCCAACGATGCAGAAATTTCACAGTCATTCTCTGGGATCCCTAAACAAAATCGTTTGTATTCTCACCCATGAAGGAAGAAATCTTGGGTTAGAAAAAAACAGATACATCTAAATTTATAAAGACAACACTTGAGTTTTCTGAAAGGCACATTGTAAAGCTGACATATATTTCTTTCCTGGTCAGGCCCCCAAACTTGAACTCAGTGTGGTAGGGGGTCAACTTAGTTAAGTGAGGGAGAAAGGAAGGGATACTTCTGACAGCGGGTATGCTGGAGCCTAGGGGATGAGAGTACACTCATTCTTCAGAAGCAGAGATGAATAAATACTACATTAAAAAATATATTTTTGCTTTGCTGTAGATATCTCCCTTGCAGTTATCCAATGCTGATCAAGTAAATGTACTAATACATACATGTCTTCTTCTTTTTCCTCCTCCTCTCCCCTTCCTCCTCCTCCTCTTCCTTCTTCTTCTTCTTTTCTTCTCCTTCTTTCTTCTCTCTTCCTCTCCCCTCCCTCCCTGCCTGCCTGCCTGCCTTCATTCATTCTTTCCTTCCTTCCTTCTTTCCTTACTCTTTCTTTTCCTCCTCCTCTTCTCTCTTCCTCCTCCTCCTCCTCCTCCTCCTCCTCCTCCTCCTCCTCCTTCTTCTTCTTCTTCTTCTTCTTCTTCTTCTTCTTCTCCTCCTCTTCCTTTTTTTGAGACAGGATCTCACTTTGTTGCCCAGACTGGAGTGCAGTGGTGTAATCTTAGTTCACTGCAGTGTCAAACTTGTGGGCTCAAGTGATCCTTTGGCCTCACCCTTCTGAGTAGCTGGGACTACAGGCACATGCCACTATGCCCAGATAATTTTTCATTTTCTTTTTGTAGAGACAGGGTCTTGCTATGTTGCCTAGGCTGGAAATTTTCTAAAACTATACTGATGAAAATCTGGAAGAAGAGGAGTGCTGCTTGTAAGATGGACTTTTAGTTGCTACTACAGTCCAAAGAGAGGACTGTAGCATCTGATCAATATGAGAGACAGAATTATATTATGGACCATAAACACAAGTGCATAAATGTTTCTGAGAGACATTACCCTGTGCTCTTAGACAGTCTCCCACCTTCGGTAATTAGAGCCTGGCAAAAGACATTAGTTTGGAGTAAATATCTAACTTTTTGGTTGCCTTCAAATATGAAGTTTGTATTTTTGTTTGGTGATTCATCTTTTCATTGTTGACAAATCATAGAGGGAGGGACATATTTTATTTGGGTTCATTCTCTTAAATGACAAGTTCAAGAAGAGATATGCACAAGTTCTCTTTGGGGGCTGACAGGGTTAAAGGTCACACCCCTATCTGAGCTTCCTAGACGCTGGCATGGGGTGCTTGGGTGGTGGGGGAGGGATACATGATAGTTTCTTAAGAGAAGGAGTGGTTAGCGATTTAAGGATTTGGGGTTAGCCAACCTGAAGAGGGAGAGTGTGGGAGAAAGGAAGAGATAATCAGAGATAGAGAGCTGGGAGGTGGGAGAGGGAAGGAGAGAGAGAAAAGGAAAGAGAGAGAGAGAGACTGGGTATTGAATTGGTACATTTAAGAGCCACAAAAATCCTCCCAAAATACTGTTTTCTCAAGGCTGCTTTCATGCAGGTGAGAGAAAGAATCACTGAGATTTTTGTGTTACCTGTTGTATTAGTCTGTTCACATGCTGCTATAAAGAACTGCCCAAGACTGGGTAAATTATAGAGGAAAAAGGTTTAATTGACTCGTAGTTCTTCAGGGCTGGGGAGGCCTCAGGAAACTTAGAATCATGGCAGAAGGGGAAGCAAACAGGTCCTTCTTCACATGGTGGCAGGAAGGAGAAGAATGAGAGCCAAGCAAAAGGGGAAGCCCATTATAAAACCATCAGATCTCATGAGAACTCACTCTATTATGAGAATAGCATGGAGGTAACCATCCCCATGATTCAATTGCCTCCCACTGGATCCCTTCCGCCACATGTAGGGATTATGGGAACTACAATTCAAGTGAGGTTTGGGTGGGGGCACAGCCAAACCATATCACCTGTTAAGAGACAGCCTTCAAGAAATCTGTTTAAAAGCCCTCCTTCCCCTCTGCCACATCCAGGGCTCACGATTCTATTGGGCTTTCTCATGCTGGGAAATAGGTGAGAGGAGGGATGGGTGCTGTCCAAGGGTTTTGCCAGAGTGGCCTGGCCAAGGGCGTCTAGATGGCTACACAGAAATGAGATTTTACACACATCTGTCCAATCCACCTATGAGAAGCAAGGCTCCTTCTGGAAGGTCTGAGAGTTCCTCAGGACAGCCTAGGGAGTCAGAGCTGGAGAAGAAAGTGGAGGCAGCTGCCCCATAAGCTGTAGGGGACAGCCAGTATTCAAGCCCTTTGGGAACTGAGAAACAACCTGGGGATGGGAGAGGGATGTGAGGTCCCATAGTCACGTGGATTGGGGCTCAGAGTCCTGGCAATCTGATCATGAGTGTGAGGGTGACCTTGCTGGGATCCCAGCTGCTCAAAAGGGAAAATGGAAATTGCTGATTACATCTACATATCTATAAAGATAACTGATTATCTTTAGGGTTTTATTTTTTAATTGGGACAGGGAGAGTTGGTTAGTATAGAATTTCTGTATTATTTAAAATCTCTTTTAGAAGTGCGTCTTTTATAATTAGGAAAAATCTAATATCAAGATTTCCAATTTGGAAAAAAAAAGGGGCAAGAATCAGGGTTGAACTAGGTTCAGATGTTGGGGGCTGGTGACACCCACACTGCTGGCTGGCTCGTGGGCTGGGCATAGTGCCACGGGAAGGAAAGTCGAGTCCCAGCTTAGGAGATAGCACTTCTGTTTCTGGCTGCTCCTTTCTCTCAGGAGGCAGCTGTGTCCTAAGCCTCGGTTTTCTCCTCTGTGAAATGGGAGTGCCAAGAATTCCTCCCTCACAGAGTGGTTGAGAGGCTTCCATGAAAACACCCTGATATATTTTGGATGTTTGTCCCCTGCAAAGCTCATGTTGCTATGTGACCCCCGATGTTGGAAGTGGGGGCTGGGGGAGGTGTTTAGGCCATGGGGGCGGATCCCTCATGAATGACTCGGTGCCCTCCCCATGATACTGAGTTTTCAGCTCTATTAGTTCACTGGAGAGCTGGTTGTTTAAAAGAGCTCCCTCTCGCCCTTCCTCCCCTTCCCCTATGTGTGGAAGCTTCCTGAGGTTCTGACCGGAAGCAGATGCCGGTGCCACGTCTCTTTTCTTTATGTGTTACTCAGCCTCGAGTATTCCTTTATAGCAACACAAAATGGACTAACACAGCCCCATAAAAATTACTTTGTAAATTGCCACGTAAACGTCAGTGGCTCTAATTCTGGAATATAATTTTGGTGTGTTTTTTCCCCTGCTGAGGCTGGAATCCATGGCTCCTCCCAGAAGTCTTCATGGTTAATTATGGCTATGTATAATAGAAACACAAACAGTGTGGATGAGTGCCTGCGCGGCATGCTCACTGCACCTGTGCTGTCTTTCCCCGCCCGGGCAGCCTGTTAGAGGGTGGAAGACAAGGAGGCACAGGCTGCATGTCTCGACTGAGGGCCCCGCATGGAGGGTTTCATGGTGGGGAAAAGCACCCCCACACTCACTCCTCTAGTCTGTAAAATGTCAGAGAATAACGCATTGCTCTCTCATTGCTCTGTGATGCTGCACTAAGAGGCCAGGGCCCCCTCCCGAGCTTGAAGCATCCACGTTGAAATACAAGATGGCAGGGCCAGATCAACCATCTTTCTCTGCCAGGGAGCCTCAGAGTCTCGATCAGCCTGGGAAGTTTAATGACAGCTATGCAAGTGCTCTTAGGTTTATTTTGGGGCCTTTCCAAAGCAACAGGGGAAAAGTAATTTCATTTTTATAAAGAAGAGAAAAATACCCTGAAAGCCCTTGCCAGTGGAGCCCTTTCTTCATTTTTCTCCCCAGCTACTTGCTTCCTGCAAAGCCCTAAGCCTTGAAAAAAAGGCAAGTTTACTGTTCCTAACAAAGGGTGGTTTATGTCCTTTTGCTACAAGACAAAAGGGGGAGGGAAGGAAGTTCAGATCTTTCTTTCTGGAGACTATGAAGTTCCGCTGGGGAAGTAGCTGCCCTGGTCTGCAGGTTAAATAAACATGGAACAGATGGGAAGAGTTAGAGGGAATTTGTGAATTCAATGAGACCAGACTATCTTGGTGTTACTGAGTGAAGCAAGGGTTCCACTGAAAGCCTGGGTTAAGCTCTCTGGCCTCATTAGGTCTGAATAGAGAAGGGTAGCGAGACGAATGAATTCCCGACACTGGTTTTGTTTACCTGTGGCTCCGACTGTGTGAACAGGCAGCGTATTTATCTATGTTTTAGTCTAAAGATGGAACATATGCCTGTGGGCTCTATTCCATTTAACAAGCTTTTATTGAGCACCTACCATATGTCTGACTCCTAGCTGAGCGCTCAGGGGGATAAGGAAGAAGTGTAGCATCCAGGACAGTGTGGAGAGAGGAAGAAGCTTGAGTGCAGATCCCTATAGTTCTACCATTTTGTGACCTTGGACTGGCTGCTTAATATCCTTGAATCTCAGTTCCTTGGTCTGTAAGATGGGGCAGTAATATCTCAGGGAGAAATTACACTGTATGAGGTGACACATGTCAATGTCACGGCTAAAGTCTTTTGGGTTGCAAGTAACAAAACCCACTTCAAACATAACCAAGAAAGGGAATTTCTTGGAAGGGTGTTGGGGTCTCTCCTGGATTTTACCAGGAAGTGTAGCCTGGGAGCCACAGGGAGGACAGAGAAGACCAGAGCCGTTCTGGGGCTCTCAGCAGCAAGGAGGGGGTATCTTCACCCCAAAGTCTCCACTAACAAAGCTCTTCCATGCAGCGATCTCTGTGCCACTCTCAGTTCCAGCTCTTCACATAGAGTCTGTTTGGTTCAGTTGGCTCTGGCCAGAGGGGCAGGCTCCCAGCCTGGAAGCCTGAGTAGGATGGGGACTGGGTGCCTATATGAATCTTCCGGGCTGCCCCAACAAGATACCACAGATTGAGGGGCTGAAACAACTGGGCTTTGTTTAGACACAGCCGTGTAGCTTGGAAGTCCAAGATCGAGGTGCGGGCAGAGTTGGTTTCTTCTGAGGCCTCTCTCCTTGGCTTGCGGGTGGCCACTTTCTCCCTGTGTCTTCACACATTTTTCCTCCATGTATGGGTCTATGTCCTAATCTCCTCTTTTTATGAGGACTGTGGTCAGATTAAGGCCTACCCTAACGGCCTCATTTTAACTTAATTACCTCTTTCATAACCCTACATCCGAATATGGTTACCTCAGGAGATCCAGGGGTTAGGACTTTAACATATGAATTTTTTGTGGCCCACAATTCAGCCCAAAACAATGTCCTCCAACTGACAGGCTTGTTAGGAAGACATTCCCAAAGGGGTCCACTCTAGCCATGTCACTAGCCTTGCAACAGGAACATGGCAGGCTCTCTTCAAATTTTGGTACTCTTTTCTTCTCTCTGCAAAGCACTAGCTCTCTGCCACTAAGGAACTCCTTTTCCCCAAGGGAGATGATGCCTGGAGCTGTGAAACAAATCCTGAGCCACGGGATGAGTGTAGACTTGAGACTCCAGAGTTTGGGATCCTGGTCCAGATCATGCCACTGCTTACCAAGTAGGTAAGAGATGTCATCGTTTGGGTCAGTTTCTCATGGATGAAATGGGGTGGGTAGGTAGAGGCAAGTGGGCCCAATGATCCCATGATTCAGTGATTCTAAATCTTGCCTTGGTTAAGGACAGAGCGCCAAAGTGAAGGGTAAATAATTGGTGTTGACGAGAGTTGCTGGGAAAGCCTTCATGCTTGCTCAAAATGGAGTGTTTCCCATAATCTGCGTTTGGGTTGGAGCCAGTCATCATCTATGACTGACTGAATTTTTTTTGGTCAGAAGCAACTCGTCTCTTTTTCTTCTGACAATAAAATAAAATAAAGTTCCGCCCTTCAGAGCCAAAGCAGCACATATTTTGGAGAGAAGTCTCAGAGAAAAGCCGTTTCTGTTCATTTCCCTCCATCATCAGCTTGTCTGCCCCAGCTCCCGCTCTGGCAGACACTGCTGGGGGCTTGGCAGAGCTGGGATTGCTGCTCTTGAGATTCTGAAGGCCAGTGACTGAAAGAGAAGGCGCTGGAAAGGGTCTGTCAGGACTCCAGTGACAAAGTGAAGGATTTAGGACAAGAGTCGGATAAGATAAAGAGAAGGAAGATGCCCTCAACTCTGAGTTCTGGAATGAAAATTTCTCAGGGAGTTCCCACAAGGACACTGTGTCCTCAGTTTCCTGGGTGCTTGGATGAATCTTGGGGCTTTTCCTTTACACATGGAACCTCTTCTTGAGATTTGAGGGGCTCCATAAATCATACCCTCTCCCCCCTGCCAGACTCCTAAACCAAGACAAAAGGAGAGGAGAATGTGCCTCGGAGGCACAGTAGTGGGTTTCCTAACAGAAACCAGAGACTCAGAGGCCAGGGAAGAAGGGGCGTACCGAAGGGCGTGTGCAGTCCCAGGTCTACACCTGGCTGGTTCTGAAAGACAAGCAGGAGCAGCAGCTGAGCTCTGCTGGCCCAGCTTCTCTTTCCAGCAAATGAGGGGTGGTGGTAGAGTTTGTACACATGTCTCTGCCCAAATCTCTTGTTGAAATGTAATCCCTAGTGTTGGAGGTAGAGCCTGGCGGGAGGTGATTTGATGATGGGGCGGATTTCTCATGAATAGTTTGGCACCATCCCCTCGATACTGTCCTCACCAGAGCGAGTCCGTTTGTGAGATCTGCTTGTTTAAAAGGGTGTAGCACCTACCCCTCCATCTCTTGCTCCTGCTCTGGGCCTGTGCCTGCTTCCCCTTTGCCTTCTAACATGATTCTGAGCTTCCTGAGGCCACTCCAGAAGCCGAGCAGATGCCAGCATCACGTTTCCTGTACAGCCTGCAGAACCGTGAGCCAATTAAACCTCTTTTCTTTACAAATTACCCAGTCTCAGGTATTTCTTTATAACAATGCAAGAATGGCCTAACACAGGTGTCCAGGGGCAGAGGGAGGCTGAGTGTCAGGTGAATGGATGTCCTGACTCATAGAAGGAAAGATCAGGAATAGGAAGAAAAGCTTTCCCACAAAACTGCCACTTACCCCAGAACAACTCACCCAGCATAGTCAGGTGTTAGGTCTTTACTGAAGGTTTGGAAGGACAGAGGGTGGGCTCACACTGCTTGACACTGATGGCTTAACCTTGAGTATTAGCCATTGGCCTCCTTGTCTTGGAAGTCCTTTGGCCCTGCCACCAAGAACTGTTCCCTGGCTGCCTCCTTCCCAGCTGCAGCTTCCTCTGGTGTTGCTAGAGCCTTCCCTCCTGGAAGGTGCTTCTCCTGAATTCCTCTTATAATGCAGAGAATTTTGACTCTTCGTCCCTCTGTTGGACATCTAAGTAACATTAAAGGGCTCAGCTTCACACACGATCACATATCTATTTCGGCATCTTGGAAGAGCGAGCAGGGATGTTGACATTTCAGGGTTTCCATTCTCTCTGCTTTATCTGTGTAGGCGGAAGGGAACACTTCAGGTATTTATCTTCCCAGTGCGATGACTGATGCCCGCTAGAAGGCAGAAGTGACACCATCAGTTTGGGTGTTCAGGAGCATTCTTTTAATTTATTGTAGGGTCCTGCCTACCATAATCCAGGAGGTGGTCTTCCAGACATTAAATAGGATCATGAAATCAATGGCGTGAGCCTTCACAAGTAAGTCAATGATCAATTAATCAATTAAGGTTTTATTGTTGAGAACGATGTGCATTATGGAACTAACAATTCTTTTTCCAAATGAAATCCAGATTTCAACTCCATTTATTGAATTGTGAACAGTCCATTTTTTCCTGCAAATTTAAATTGCTGCCTAAAGTGTTTACTGAATATGTACATTGCTCTGTTTTTGGACTTTATTTTATGTCAAGAGATCCATTTGTCTATTGCTGTACCAGGAGCATACTTTTAAAATATGGTTGCTTTATAGTTACCATATTTTGATATCTTCTATATAAAATCCTTCCATCTTTGTGCCTTTTCCAAAAAACTCTTGGCTTAATGTATGGATTTTTACTTCCCATTGGTTGGTTGGTTGGTTGGTTTCTGAGACAGGATCTCTGTTGCCCAGACTCAAGTGCAGTGGCTCAATCATAGCTCACTGCAGCCTCAACCTCCCAGGCTCAAGCAGTCCTCCCACCTCAGCCTCCCAAGTAGCTGGGATTACAGGCATGCACCCCCACACCTGGCTACTTTTTTGATTTTTTGTAAAGATGAGGTTTCACTATGTTGCCCAGGCAGATCTCAACTTCCCGGACTCAAGTGATCCTCCCACCTTGGCCTCCCAAAATGTTGTGATTACAAGCATGAGCCACCATGCCTGGCCCCCACTGATTTAGTAAAAGTCAGCTTTTTGTGGCATATTTTACAAAGGATCAAATTAGTAAAAAATGAAATGTACAATTTGATGAGTTTGACACATATACACCCTCATGTAACCACCTCACAATTATAATGTAGCATATTTACAGCACCTAAAAAAAAAAAATTCCCGTGTGCCCTTTTGGAGTCAATTTCCTCCCCAGCCCTGGCCCCGCGCAATCCACTGTGCTTTCTTCTGTCGCTATGGTTTTTCCTTTTCTAGAATATTATATGAAGGAAATCATACTGTATGTAGTCTTTTGTGTCTGACTTTCCTTCACTTAGCAGAATGCTTTTCAGATCATCCATGTTATTGCAGGAATCACTAGGTCGTACCTTTTTATTGCTGCTGGTTATCCATTGTATGGATGTATTACAATTTGTTAACCCACTGATGATGGACATCTGGGTGGTTTCCAGTTTTATAGTGTTATGACTTCTTCTTCTTTTTTATTTTTATTTTTTTGAGTCGGGGTCTCGCTGTGTCGCCCAGGCTGGAGTGCTGTGGCACGATCTCGGCTCACTGCAGTTCATTGCGGCTCACTGGCTAATTCTTGTATTTTTAGTAGAGACAGGGTTTCATCATGTTAGCCAGGCTAGTCTCGAACTTCTGACCTCAGGTAATCTGCCTGCCTTGGCCTCCCAAAGTGCTGGGATTACAGGTGTGAGCCACCGCGCCTGGCCTTGTCGTGAATAAAACTTCTAATAAGTATCTGCATACAAATTTTTGAGTGGACACAGGCTCACATTTCTCTTGGGTAAACCCCTGTGAGTAGGATTGCTGGGTCATATGGTAAGTCTGTGTTTAACTTTATAAGAAATGTTTAGATGTTCCAGTTTCTCTGCATCCTCACCGGCACTTGTTACTGTCAGGTTTTAGGTGTACAGTGGTGCTTCATGATCATTTTCATTTGCATCTGCCTAATGACTATGATAAACATCTTTTTCATATGCTTGTCACATATATATACCATTTGGTAACACACCTATTCTAGTGTTTTGACCATTTTTTAAAAACTGGGTTGTCTGATTTTCTTACTGCTGCACTTTGGTAGTTCTTTTTATATTCTAGATCCAACTCTTTTTTTAGGTATTTAAAAAATATTATCTCCCAGTCTGTAGCTTGATTTTTTATTCTCTTAACTTTTCACTGAGCAAGTTTTTGATTTTGATAAAGTCCAATTTAGCAACTTTATCTTTTTTGGTGTCATATCTACGAACTCTTTGCCTAATCCCAGATTACAAAGATTTTCTCCTGTGTTTGCTTCTAAAACGTTTAACGTTTTTCATTTAGGTTTGTGATCTATTTTGAATTTTTTTTAATAAGGTGTGAGGTTTCTGCTGAAGTTTATTTATTTTGCCTCTGGATGTCCAATAAGTCCACACCGTTTGTTGGAAAGCCATCCTTCTTCCAGTGAATCGCTTTTCACCTTTGTCAAGAATCAGTTGGTTCTGTCTGTGTGGGTCTGTTTCCAGGTGCTCTCTTTTGTTCTGCCAGTACCACACTGTCTTGGGGAGGTAGATAAATAGTTCACTCACTTGTTAGGAGTCTGGCTACACTTTTGCTGAAAGAAGTGTTTTAAAACATTACCAGTTCGACATGGCCCCACCATGTCTGAGTCTTCACTACCCCTGTCCATCCATCAGAGTCCCACAACACTGGGAGCTTCTGGAGGGCAGGGATAGGGACATTCTTTTTGATAAGCCCAGCACAGGACCTTCCACATAGCAGGTGCTCAATCATATTTGTGGGGAAAAAAATGACTAATGATTCACTGGCTAAATACTGTCTACATTCAAGAATACAGACAAGAAGTCACATTTAGAAGGAGGCTTTTAATCACAGAGTGACCATTTTACAAACAGGGAGCAGAGACATTTTTGCTGTGCTCCAGCACTCAAAAACTTTTTCTTTTTTTTTTAAGTACAGTCTAATTCAGATGAAGAAAATATACTTATGGGCTATGACCTTTTTCCCCAACCAAAATGAAATAATTATATTAAATGCCATGAAAAAAATGATGTATATTTATACCTAAGATTATCTATTTTACTCAGTAGAAGAATATGATGAGGAAACAGGCACTGGCTTTCACCTTCCGAAATGGCCATATCCAGGCATCTTTGGAAAGTGACAGGCCATGGAGCCTTATCATCCCTCCTCCTGATGTGGATTCAGGTTTATATTGGAAAATTCAATCGCTCTCAGGCTGCTTCTTGCTGCTGTAAAAATCCTTTCTGGCCGGGCGCGATGGCTCGCGCCTGTAATCCCAGCACTTTGGGAGGCTGAGGCGGGTGGATCACGAGGTCAGGAGATCGAGACCATCCTGGCTAACACAGTGAAACCCCGTCTCTACTAAAAACACACAAAAATATAGCCGGGCGTGGTGGCGGGCGCCTGTAGTCCCAGCTACTCGGGAGGCTGAGGCAGGAGAGTGGCGTGAACCCGGGAGGCGGAGCTTGCAGTGAGCCGAGATGGCGCCACTGCACTCCAGCCTGGGCGACAGAGCGAACTCCGTCTCAACAACAACAACAACAACAAAAAACCCAAAATCCTTTCTGGTATGAAATTGTCAAGAGAGCAACACAGAAGAATTTCTTTGAGTCTTCTGTGGGACAAGAAAATAGCTCGATAAGGCAGTTTTCCATAATTGTGCTCTTTATAGTGAAATGTTACCGCTTTGCCTCTGAGCTGTTAAGGGTTGACATGTGTGTCTTTTATTACACCTGCCAGGGGAGGAAAGAATGTCAGAAACCCAGCCTGAGAAGCCCTAGTTCCTTCTCTGATGTTTAATTTCTTACATCTCTGCTTCAGACAGTCTGGTCTAGCAGACAGGCAACAAGGCCGAGGTAGCTGGCTCCAAGTCTTCCTAAATTCTCAGGAACTCCATGTTCCTTCCAAGGAAAGGGAAATAGGATGTAGCCCATCACCCTGCCACACCATCTTCACTGAGACAGAATCATAAGAACGATGACACTTAAGTTACCATTTGGGGTCACATCCTTGACAGTTGGCTCTGTTGCTTTCTTGAGTTTTTTTTTTTTTTTTTTATTGTCAGCTAGACATTTTGCTTCTTCAAATAAAGCAGTACTCCACTGGAATGTTGCTCGGATTTTAATTGTGTTTTCTTTGGATGGAAAAGAATTTGAAGTTCTACTTTCGTAATAACCACACCAAATGATTTACTTAAACTGAAAGTGAACAGTCAGTTACATGTTTAGTTTTCAGTCATGACATTGTATATGAAAGTTATGAAAAAGTAAGTGCCATCTATGTTGACTCTGAAAAAATATACATATAAAAATCACTACGGTCTCTCTAGAAACGCTGAAAGCCAAATATAATCTTAACATTTAAATGTGAACTTGAGGAATAGGGCCACATTTTAACAGCTTGACAGGCTTCGGTTTCAGCTGCTTTCTTTAAAGAGAAATTTCTAAATATTTAAGCAGCATCTGTCAAGTCTCCCAGACATGAGCCATGAATGAGACTTCCTGTATTATGGGGATTGTAGTGACTGCTAGAAAAATAAACTGCAAATAAATGAATCCAAGGGAGAGGGATGCAAATACGCTCTGCAGTACGAGTTCACTGAGAAGGGAGGCTGGACTAATTTCCTTGAGTAGGTACTTTAAAAAAACCAAAACCACATCTTTTGGGCGTCAGTGTCTGTGGCAGTCCATTGCAGACACAGATGTTTGTGTACAAAGACCAGGGCATTCATGTATAAATACAAGTAAGTGTAGCAACATATATTGTACATCCAAGTCTTATTTAATCGTGACAACATTTTTGTGTGCTATTATTATCACCATCCTGTAGATGGAGAAGAAACCAAGTCTGGCTGTATCCCTTGATTTTGCCCAGGGTCACGGTCTTAGTTTGTTTTGGCTGCTATAAGAAAATACCACCAACTGGGTGGCTTATAAACAACAACTGTGAGAAATTTAGTTCTCACAGTTCTGGAGGCTGGGAAGTCCAAGAACAAGGCCCCGTAGGTTTGGCATCTGGTGGCAGCTGCTCTTGGTTCCTAGATGGCATCTTCTTGCTGGGTACTCATGTGGCGGAAGGGACAACTCTCCTCTCTTTAGCTCCTTACAAGGACACTAATCCCATTCGTGAGGGCTTCACCTTCGTGACCTAATCACCTGTCCAGAGACATTCCAGTACCACCATGTTGGGGATTAGGTTTTAACGTATGAATTTAAGGGACACAGAGGTTCAGTCCATGCATCATGTAATTGGTTGATGTTGGTTCTGCTGTCTCCAGAACCAACATTGCAGCAATGCGATGCAACGTTCGCAGCACTGTGACATTGACATCATTGTGTCCCCCACAGACCTGGACTGCGTATTTGTACGTAATTCCCAACAACTCAAATGGAATTCTGCTTTAAGGATGCCTACTTATTTATTTATAACTTCTTTTGTTTCAATAGTACCCAGAAGAAAAAGATGTCTGTGGTTCAGGAAAGGTGATCAGGAATAACCCAGCAGCCCCTTTCAGTCAACAGCAGTGTATTTTTCTTTGAAACCACCAAAGATTTTCTCCTTAGGAAAATGTCCTTGGCATGTAATTAATGTGCCAATCCCGTAGCACTTTTCTTCCTCAGAGGGCTAAATAGAGTTTGAGCTTCCTTTGTTTAAAAGCAGCAACAGAAAATACCAAACCTAAGGGTGGAACTCATGCTGAGCCCTTTTCCCGTTCTGTTTTCTTTCTCGTGGCTCTTCTGTGGTCAGAATATTATAAAAGCCTCCTATGGCTCACAGTCAGTCAAAGAATCCATTTTTCTTCCGAGGCGGCTCGCACATACCTGGTTGCGATGGCACCTTCGTGGGGAACCTTTCATGGTGAGAATCTTATAAATAACAAAGAGCAGCACAAGAAAGCTTTTGGTGATAGAAATTCTTTTCTCACTTCAGTTTTCTGCTCAACATTTCTGGGTGAAAATGATTGGGATTTTATTTTCTGTCAAACCTTATCAGTATCAGCTAGGTTCCGAGGAATTTTTAGTCCAGCTGGAAGATTGCTCCTGGGAATGAAAAATTGCATAAATGCTTTCCACTTTAAGTTCAGGTAAAATATCCTTCCCCTTGTCCCTAGCTCCTGCCTCCCCACCAGAAAACTAACCCCTAATAATAATAATACTTGGTATTTGTGCTGGGAATTAACTTCTCAAGGTCGGACGGAAAGCAAGTGTAGAGAAGTGATACCTTGGGGATGAAAAAGCTTAACTTCTTTAAAATAGTTCTTCCCCCACTATTGAAGCATGGCATTTGTATGTTAAGAAGAAAATAAGTTACTCATAATCCCATTGCACAGGTGTAAATGCTGTTAATATTTTGCTAAGATTTTTTCCCAGTACACATATATAATTTTTTTCTTACACAATTGAAATTCTAAAGACAATGTTATGTTAGGTGGAATCCGTATCTCTTATGTAAAACTAAAAGAGGTATTTTTTTTTCCCCCAAGAAACAAATCCTCACACTGTGAGGTTGGAATGATTATTTAGACACTTTGACAAACGTCGAATTGTACATTGGAACAGGAATTTCTGATGTCCTTTTTCCTCTATTCATGGTTCCCCAAAATCACCCCTCCCTCTTCTTGACAGCAGCAACAGGCAGAGGAAAGAATGCTTTTGACTTACAGAAGTCACTAGAGTGGTACAGTCACAAAGATACAAGAAGGGCTTGGGACCCACAGAGTTCTGAGGAAGGGAGGAGTGACATGGACCACACAAACAAGGGCATAGAGGTGATGGTATTGGGGGTTGATTGAGGAAGGGGCAAAGGGATAACAGAGAGGGAATGGTGATAGTGGGGAAAAGCCAGCATAGCAGAGACAGAATTTCATCTGTCCCTGTGCATCGTCTAGCACTTACAGCAGGGTGGGGTCATGGAGCAAGTTATGATTAAAGTGGGTAGAAGGAACATAAATTATTTCCAGACTGAAGTAAAGAAAAGCTGGTGTATGACCCTGTAGCTGTCTCATCCCCTGCTGTAGGAAATGGGGAGGCCTCACATTAAAAATGGTGTATCCTGGATCCCTGAGAGACTTCTTGGACTTGTAGTATGAATATGTGGAACAAACCTAAGTTGTATAAAGTCACTGAGATTTGGGGGGTTATTGTCACTGCAGCACAACCTATCCTATCCTAACTAATTTAGCCATGTGGATTCTTACAAGAAATTTGCCTTCTTTGTCTTGCTTGCGGCTAGGCATGGGCAAAGTGTTCATGTGACACAGGGGTTGGGTGAAATCTATGATGGGGCTTTAGAAAATGGCTTTTCTGCCTTAGAAGAAGAGATGAGTGTGGAGACACTGCCATTCTCCCCTCTCCTTTTGCCAGATGTTGACATATTATATAGATATGGTACTTGGGGCTATGGCAGCTTCCTTGTAACCATAAGGGGAGGCATTACTGACACAGGGATTACAGGGCAGAAAGATGGAGAGCATCTGGGTCCTTAATGACACCATAGAGCCACTGAACCAAGCCTGAAGCTTCCCTGCCTCTGTACTTCTGATTGGGTCTGTTAAGACTATCCTTAGCCTTTTAGCTACTTCTGGTTGGTTCCTCCCCTACTCACAGTCAGAGTATCCTAGCTGTCCATCTAATAGTATGTTAACAATAAAATAATTAAAATGATCATTTTTCCTAATCATCAGGAATATAATTCTACAATTTTGCAATTTGTAAAATGCTAAACTCATAAGATATATTTAGGGGCAGGGCTTCGTCCTCAAAGACTCTTATTTTATAAAAGGACTCATTAGAGTTGTTTCAAATACCAGTTACCCATGTGCATTTCAGTGATCAATTATGAAATGAAAGCATTAGGAACTATCTGTAATTTGCTTATCAACTCCAAATGAAGCTTAAATGATTTCTTTAATGTTACTAAAATTATTAAGGCTTAGCCCATTGTAAGTGTTCAGTGAAAGGCAGCCATTAGTACTATTAAGCTATGGCAATTGGCTGTACTTTTTGGACATGGACTCCACTGTGGATTCACTGGCAGGCGGACATGGGACTGTACCTGGCAGGCCAGGCTGAGTTATGCTGTGCTAACACATCAGCAACCTGGCAACCTCAGGGGCTTGCAGCAGCATCAAGGTTTGTTTCTCTCTCATGCTGCATGACCCTCTCAGGCAGGCTTGGTTCTGCCCACATCATCTGCAGTTCCAAGGCTGATGGAACAGCCTGTCTGGAACATTGCTGGTTTTGTGGCAAAGAGAAGAAAGAGACCATGAATCATGGCCTGGCCTTTATAGCTTTCTTCTGAAAGCAACACACGTCACTTCTGCCCACATCTCATTGGCTGAAGCAAGTTGATTTTTACAGGGCGGGGGTGGGGGGTGTTGCACCATGAGAGGAAAGTAGAATTTGGGGGAACAGTAATACAATCCAATGGAGGCAATGAATTGGGGTGTCTGAGACCCTCAAGTCAGCCCAGTTTCCCTAAGAAGGTATCACTGCTCTCAAACCCTTGCCTGCATTCCTGATATCTCATTGCCCTGCAAACTGTACCCCCATATCCATTCTCTTTTCACTCATAGCAATAGAACAGTCCATTGGTAGCTGGACTCATGGCTCCCAAGTTAAACCCTCCATCTGCCAGCCTCCCTTGCAGGTAGATGTGGCTGTGTATTTAACTTTTTGGTGAATGGAAATATAGCCTTAAGATGATGTGTGATCCAGGTCATGCCCTTAAAAGGAAGGGGCATATCCACCCCTTTACCTGTTCCCACTTGCTGCTGGCTGAAGTCCAGATGCAATGATGAACCACGCTGGACTCACCAGACAAGAGTGATGCTCTGGAGATGGCAAAGCAACATGAGGAGGAATCTGTACCCTCTCAAGAGCTATGCCATTGAGCTGCCATACTAGCCTGGACTTCTACATAAGACAGAAATAGATAAATAGATTTTGAATTTATTTTTTTGACCAGTGTTATTTTGGGTTTCTGTTTCATCAGTCTCACATACACATTTCCTGCCCAAGTACACTCTTTTTTTTGTTGTTGTTGAGAGGGAATCTTGCTCTGTCACCCAGGTTGGAGTGCGGTGGTGCGATCTTAGCTCACTGCAAGCTCCACCTCCCGGGTTCACGCCGTTCTCCTGCCTCAGCCTCCCGAGTAGCTGAGACCACAGGTGCTCGCCACCACGCCTGGCTAATTTTTTTGTATTTTTTTTTTTTTAGTAGAGACGGGGTTTCACCGTGTTAGCCAGGATGGTCTCGATCTCCTGATCTCGTGATCCACCCACCTCGGACTCCCAAAGTGCTGGGATTACAGGCGTGAGCCACCGTACCCGGCCCACTCTTTTTTTTATTTTAAATAAAACACAGTTGGCATTAAACAATAGCAGAGAAAAAAAGGCCAGGTTATATTTAGTAATAAAAATGCCCAACTGCGTGAGAGTTCTCTGATGCCACTTGCAGGGGGGCTCTTGAGACAGTGAGCCTGCTTCTTCTCCAGGACACTCTTCAAAGGGAAGGAGAAATGCCTTCCGAGATCAGACAGGACAGCTCCTGGAAGTAAGAGCTGTCCCTCTTTACCTTCCTCTTTTCCCATTTTATCCTGCAGATGTCCTTCCCTTAGAAAAGCTTGTTCTCCATGGTGGGTTGAGGACAGGCAGTCCAATGATGGATGATGGTGGGCAGGTCTCAAACCGTGCCTGAACGCGGTGTCTCCACAGAGAACGTGCAGGCTATACACTCGCCTTGGCCTTTGCAGGGGCCAGTGGTTAAATAGGCTTCTAGCTTCTTTGTTGATGTTTCCTTTTTTGCTGGCACAATTTCTCCCATTTGTTCGTATTTTTCCTAGTAGAGATGTCAAATAGGTTTCACCTCATGTGTCAACACTTATGTATTGGTGGTAGTGGCTGCCAGAGTCACTGTGTTGGGTTCCCTGAAGCAGAACCTCAGGCAAGGATTCAGATGCACTGGGTTTATTGAAAGGGGCTCTTTGGAGGAAGGGAGTGAGGGCAACCAGATAGGGCAGGGGAAGGAGCTATGTAGGGATGTGGTCTCAGCTGCAGCCCAATTTCAGCTTAATCCCATGCAGGCCTGTAGAGCATAAATCACACCTCAGAGTTGTACCCACTTCGAGGCAAGAGGGCTGGACTTTATTAGTCAGTTATTGGTTGCTGGCCGCCTCAGGTGAAGATCCTCCAATTCCGCTGAAGACAATTCTGTGGAGGTGGGGGCAGCTGTGAGTATCCAGTATTGGCATTCATAGCAGCCAGGAAATGGGTGCCCTTAGTGATAAAAGGGACCTGGGAGCAATACCAACAGCATCTACTCCTCTGCATTCATGCTCAGGGAATGAGTGTTGTGATCAATTAGCTATATCTGCCATGGGCATGGGTCATCTCTGTGGAGACCCATGCTGGGAGGAGAGGAGAGGAAAGAATGAAATAGGTGCTCCTCTGTCTCAAGAGCTCTGGTAAAATGTTTACTGAGGAAAGTTATGAAAATTACAGAATAAGATTTGCATTACAGCTTACTGTTAGTCCGTTCTTGTGTTGCTATAAAGGAATACCCAAGGCTGGGTAATTTATAAAGAAAAGAGGTTTTATCTTGGCTCATGGTTCTGTAGGCTGTACAGGAAGTGTGGTGCCGGCCATCTGCTGGGCTTCTAGTGAGGCCTCAGGAAGCTTCCAATCACGGCAGAGCCTGCATGTCACATGATGAGAGAGGGAGCCAGAGAGCCAAGGGGGAGGTCTCAGACTCCTTTAAACAAGCAGTTCTCACATGAACCGAGTGAGAACACACTCATCACCATGGATGCTGCTAAGCCAGTCATGAGGGGGTCCCACCTTCAACATTGGGGATTATATTTCAACAGGAGATTTGGAGGGGACAAACATCCACACCACATCATGGCCCAACCATTGCCTTATAAATTGAGATCTGGCACTACCTCTTTCCTAAGGACTCAGAAGCAGAGCTTCTGGTAAGAACCTTTGGTTGCAAGCAACAGATTTCATTCCTGGGTAACTTCAGCACGTTAGGCATTAGGACTATGGGAAGCACATTGAGGGAGCTCATGGGATCAAAGAAAGACCGTAAGGCTGAGCAGGAATTGGGGCCACTCCAGCATCCTCAGCATCAGGACTGCTTTCTAGGGTGGGGCCAGAACCCTCCGCTCCAACCACCTCTGGTCTCTCTGATTCCTTCTTTTTGATCAACTTATAATTTTAGAATAGTTTCAGTTTACTGAAAAGTTGCAAGAATATTAGAAAGAGTCCCTGTACTATTTCCCCTATTGTTAACACTGCTATGGTACATTTGTCACAAATAATGAACGGATGTTGACACATTGTTATTACCTAAATTCCACAGTTTACTCAGATTTCCTTAGTTTTTATTTAATATCATTTTTCTGCCCCAGGAGCCCATCCAGGGCACTGCATTACATTTAGTAGTCATATCTCCCGAGGCTTCTCTAGACAGAATTTCTCAGACTTTCCTTGTTTTTGATGACTGGACAGTTTTGAGGAGTATTGGTGAGGTGTTTGTAGAATATCCTTTACTTTCTGTTCCCCTTTAATTTTGGCTCAGTTTGAGTCCAGCGTCTTCCTCCTTGGATCAATTTGCCATGGCCAGGGGCAGAGTGGGAGCAGAACAAGTCCATGGTTGGGGTGGGGGTCATTGTGAACCCTAGCCATCCCATTTTGTGCCTACAACCTTGGTAATGAAATCAGGGTCCCCTGCCTGCAAGATAAGATGAAACGAATTACAGCTCCCAGGAGGATGATTCCATATGCCCACAATGGTAGCATAAGAAGTGGCACAAAATTTGATGGCCAAGGTTAAGCAATTGTAGAGAGGAAACCTGAGTAATTCTGACCAGAATCAAAGCCGTGGCTGCTACGTACTTTATTCTCTGTGCTTCAGCTTAAAACAGGAGAGTATGCCTGAAATTCCTTTTCCATTGCTTGTCATTTTGATTACAGTATCACTGCACATAGCAATTTTTTTTCCTATCAACAAAATGGCAAACCCTCAAAGTGTAGATTCTTACGATTACACGGTACAATTAATTTGCTATTTCTTTTGTTTCTCTCCCCATCCCAACCCTGAAGATTACAGAACAATTGATGTGCAAGACCTTGGTTAAAAACAACTGCTGCTGAGAAAAATTCAGAAATGCAATTCATTTCTAAATAGGTCATTTACATAGCAAAGAGCTGTGGTGCTCACTGAACTGAGCTGAACTCATTGAACTCATTGACTCATGCCTTTATTCAGAAAACAAGGAATTCATCCAGGAAAGCAATTAAACACTGGCCTATTTAAAGAAACCTGTTGCTCTTTTGTAAACTGGACAATTATTTGTTTGCCCAGAATATAGAGGTTAAGTGAATTTAGACTACTGCCTTTCCTGTTTTCAAATAGAAACAATTTCACTGTGTATGTCAAAGCTGGACCAGGTAAAATGATCATTTTCAGGTTCCCATTGATTCTCCATCTCTGCTCACTCTAATACCCTGTAGAGAGCACCTAAAATCTACTCTCTTAGCAAGCTTCCAGTATACAATATAATATTATAACTATAGTCCTCATGTTGTACATTAGGTCTCTAGGTTTTATTCATCCTGCCTATCTGCAACTTTGTCTCCTTTGACCTATATCTCTTCATTTCTTCCCTCTCCTTCCACCTTCCTGGTAACCACAGTTTTAATTCTTTGTTTCTATGCATTTGACTCTTTAAAAATTTCTTCATATAAGTGAGATCATGCAGCATTTTTCTTTCTGTGTCTGGTTAATTTCACGTAGCATGATGTCCTCCAAGTTCATGTATGTTGTCACAAAGATGAATAATATTTGTATTTTTTAAAGGCTGAATAATATTCAATTATATATATACACAAAATGAATATTATTCTGTATACAATGGAAGTTATTCAGTATACAATGGATATTATTCAGCCTTAAAAATGATGGATACTCTAAAGATATATATATCTTTATATATGTAATATAAAGATATATGTAATATAAAGATATATAATGTGTATCTATTTATGCATACCACATAGATACATATATTGTGGTAGGCACATATATTTATCTATATAGCTATATCTATAGATATATCTTTATATCTATGAATGATAAAGAAATTGTGGTATGCACATATATCTATATATCTAGATATATCTATAGATCTCTATATCTGAATATATAGATCTTCATGGTATATTTGCTCAGATCCTAGAAATATCTAGATATATAGCTATAGGTATAGATATATAGAGATAGAGATAGATATATACATACATGTACATACCACAGTTTCTTTATCCATTCATCTGTTGACAGATGCTTAGGTTGTTTCCATATCTTGGTTACTGTGAATAATGCAGCAGTGAACATGGGCATGCAGATGTCTCTACAAGATGCTGATTTCATTTCCTTTGGGAATATACCCAGCAGAGAGGTTGCTGGGTCATATGGTAACTCTTTTTTTTGTTTTGTTTTGTTTTGTTTTGAGACGGAGTCTTGCTCTTTGCCCAGGCTGGAGTGCAGTGGCGCAATCTTGGCTCACTGCAAGCTCCGCCTCCTGAGTTCACGCCATTCTCCCGCCTCAGCCTCCTGAGTAGCTGGGACTACAGGTGCCCGCCACCACGCCCGGCTAATTTTTTGTATTTTTAGTAGAGACGAGGTTTCACCGTGTTTATCAGGATGGTCTCGCTCTCCTGACCTCATGATCTGCCTGCCTCGGCCTCCCAAAGTGCTGGTATTAACTCTTATGTTTAACACTTTGAGGCATTGCTAGACTGTTTTTCAAAGTAGCTGCACTAGTTTACATTCCCACCAGCAGCATATGAGCGTTCAAATTTCTCCACATCCTTGCCAACACTTATTATCTGTCTTTTAGATTCTAGCCATCATAGTGGGTGTGACGTGATATCGCATTGTGGTTGTGACTGGCATTTCCCTGATGGCTAGTGAGGTTGGGTATCTTTTCATGTGTGTTTATTGACCATTTGTATTATCTTCATGGTTTATTTGTTCAGATCCTTTGCCAATTTGTAATAGATTATTTGTCTTTTTATTATTGAATTTTAGGAATTCTTTATATCCTAGATACAAGTCTTTATCAGATATGTGATTTGCAAATAACTTTCCCCCATTTTGTGGGTTGTCTTTTTTTTTTTTTTTTCGAGACAGGGTCTCGCTGTGTCGCCTAGGCTGGAGTGCAGTGCTGCAATCTTGGCTCACTGCAACCTCTACTTCCCAGGTTCAAGGGATTCTCTGCCTCAGCCTCCCGAGTAGCTGGGACTACAGGTGTGCACCACCATGCCTGGCTAATTTTTGTATTTTTTGTTAGAGACGGGGGTTTCACTGTGTTGGCCAGGCTGGTCTCGAACTCCTGGCCTCAAGTGGTCTGCCCACCTCAGCCTCCCAAAGTGCTAGGATTACAGACATGAGCCACTGCGCCCAGCCTGTGTGGGTTGTCTTTTCACTCTCTTGATGAAGTCCTTTAAAGCACAAAATATTTTAATTTTGATGCAATCATATATGTGTATTTTTGCTTTTGTTATTTGTGCTTTTGATGTAATATCTAAGAAACCATTGCTAATTCAAACTCACAAAGACTTACCCCTGTGTTTTCTTGTAAGAGTTTTGGTTCTTACTTGTAGGTCTTTATCCATTTTGAGTTCATTTTTGTATATGGTATGAAATAGGAGTCCAACTTCATTCTTTTGCATGATTGATACCAAGTTGTTCCAGCATAATTTGTTGAAAATAATATTCTTTTTCCATTGAATTAATTTGGCTCCCTTGTTGAAAATCAGTTGAGGGTAAATATACGGGCAGGTAGGAACACAACTGACCATTTAGTCAGATGACTCCCTTCCGTTCAGTAACTACCCCTTATTTAGTCTACGTGATGGCAGTGATAGCAATACTGTTAACAGGACAGTCCTTCATTTGGGCTTTAAGTCCCTTATTTGTCCTGGGAGCCAGGCTCTGTGTAAAATACATTATTCAGGTTATCGTATAATTTCCAAAAATGCTCTATTGTTAATCCATTTTATAGATGAGGATACTAAGACCCAGAGAGATTAAGTGACTTGCCTGAATTAGGTGATGAAGGAATGGCAGATTCTCCTGATGCTAGTCAGGAGTATAGTATATTTTGATATACTTGAAAATATGAAAATTTAGGGAGCAACCAGTTACACTGTAATATATAGAATAATTAGCCATCCAAAGATGATAATTCAGTTCTTATTTAAAAGAGAGAAAGGAAGAATCTGAGTCCTCTACCCTTTGGCAGACCTATCTGGAACTTTGGAAGTACTTGATAGCATCCATCAGGAAATGGTCAGACGACTTGAGTTTTGCATGCAGTTGTTGATGAGGTCAGATAGACTGGAGAATCAATGGAAAATTTCAGAGCATTCTTTTGTTTTACATTATTGGCTAGTTGTAAACTCTGTACTTTGTTGAAAGACACAGTAGAACCAAGTGATGAACAAGAAGGGATAACTTAATAAAGGAATGAAAGCAGAACTTTAAGAAATTGCTGATGTTTAGGAAATGAAAAGGGGCTGATAATAGCAATTAATGATTGTGAAATCTGGGCCTCTTACTGTGAGTCTTAAAATCAGTTCTAAAACAGAAGATTAAATACATATTGATCCGCTGATGGGCAAAGGTGAAGTTCAAAAGCAAAGAATTGACCAATATGTATTATGTAAATTAAGCTCTTTTCTGTGATGTGAATAAACACAAGCTGATAATTAGTGTCAGTGAGATGCTGAGTTGATTCTGTATTTGGCAAAGATGCGGGACCATGTCTGTCTGCAGTCACCTTCAGAAAGGCTGTCTTGCTGCAAAGAGATGCCATGAAACACTTAAAGTTCTTGTTGCAACTGGTCTTACTTTACTAATGCAGCGGGTAATTACAACAGGCTTTGAAGTGCAAAGCCTTCTTTCGGTTATGCGCTTATTAAAAACCACCATGCTCTCGCAAAAATCCAAGAACTCTAATGGGAAGGATTTTACAGTAAGAGGGCCACAAAACCCCAGATTGCCCTAGATCCTTGCCCTCTTGCTTGTTTGCCTGGCACCTGCTGCAGATGCAGACCATCTAACTGAACTTTAGACATAGCACTTGGTTAAAATGACTATGTCCTTGAAGAACTTTCCTGCTGACTTACCCTTAGGTGAATATTTCCATTCTCTTATTTATCTCATTTGTTTTTTTGACATATATCCAGTTAACACAGGTTTTGTAAGAATCCCAAGGGACTAAGAAACATAGTAATTAAGAAATACTTTGGGAATTTAGAGGGCAGTATTTCAAATCAGTGAGGAAAAGATACATTTAATACATAACATTAGAATTAGTGGCAGCCATTTGGAAAAAAAAACTAGATTGCTTGTGCTGAAATAAAAGAAAATAAAAGATTTAAATACTTAAAAATGAAAACTAGAAGCATATATAGGTGATTTTTTTTCATAATCCAGCTTAACAATGTTAAGTCTTCCAATCTATGAACACATTGTGTCTTTTCATCTATTTAGCCTTCCTTAATTTCTTTCAACAATATTTTATAATTTTCACTGTACGAGCCTTGCACTTTTTTTGTTAAATTTACTCCTAAGCATTTTATTCTTTTTGATTATAAATGGAATTGCTTTTTAATTTCATTCTCAGATTATTCATTGTAGTGTGTAAAAATATAATTGAGCTTTGTTTATTAATCTTTTATCCTGCAACCTTGCTGAACTCGTTTATTAGCTCTAATAGGTTGGGGTGTGTGTGCATGTGTGTGTGTATTCCTTAGGATTTTCTATATGCAAAATCATGCCATCTGCCACTAGAGAGTTTTACTTCTTCCTTTTCAATCTGGATGTCTTTTATTTCTCTTTCTTGCCTGTTGCCCTGGCTAGAATCTCCCACTAAATGTTGAATAGAAATGCAGAGAGGGGACATACTTTCCTTATTCCTGATCATAGGCAGAAAGCACTGCCTTTCACTATTAAAGGCGATATTAATAGCTGGGTGCAGTGGCTCATGCCTGTAATCCCAGCACTTTGGGAGGCCGAGGTGGGCGGATCACTAGGTCAAGAGTTCAAGACTAGCCTGACCAACATAGTGAAACCCCGTCTCAACTAAAAATACAAAAATTAGCCAGGTCTGGTGGCACATGCCTGTAATCCCAGCTACTCAGGAGACAGAGCCAGGAGAATCACTTGAACCTGGGAGGCAGAGGTTGCAGTGAGCCGTGATGGCGCCACTGCACTCCAGCCTGGGTGACAGAGAGAGACTTCATCTCATAAAACAAAACAAACAAACAAAAAAAGACGATGTTAACTTTTTTTGTAGATGCCCTTTATGAGGTTGAGGAAATTCCCTTCTATTACTAGTTTATTGAGTGTTTTTATCATGAAAGGATGTTGATTTTATCAAATGCTTTCCACGTCTACTGAGATGACCATGTGGTTTTGTCCTTTATTAATATGACATATTGCATTGCTTGATTTTTTATGTTGAATCCATATTGCATTTCTGGGATAAATCTCATTTGGTCACAGTGTACACATCTTTTCATATGTTGTTGGATTTGGTTTACTAATAGTATGTTCAGAAGTTTGCATATATGCACAATAAATATTAGTATGTAATTTTCTTCTCTTGTGATGTCTTTGATTTGGGTATCAGAGTAATACTGGCTTCATAGAATGAGTTGGGAAACGTTCTCCCTCTTCTATTTTTTGGAAGAGTTTGTGAAGAATTGACGTCAAGTATTCTTTAAAGTTTTGGTAGAATTCACCAGTGAAGCTATCTGGGCCTGACCTTTTCTTTGCAATGTTTTTCCCTACTAATTCAATCTCTGTATTTTTTATAACTCTATTCAGACTTCTGTTTCTTTTTGAGTCAGTTTAGGTTGTTTTATCTTTCTAAGAATATGTCCGTTTCATCTAGGTTATCTGATTTTTTGGTGTACAATTGCCCATTGTTTTTTGTTATAATCCTATTTTTTTTTTCTGTAAGGTCAGTAGTAACATTCCCTATATCATTTCTAATTTTAGTTATTTGAATCCTTTCTTTTTTTCTTGTTCAGTTTTGAGAAACATTTGTCAATTTTGTTGATCTTATCAACTTCTACTTTTTGGTTTTATTGATTTATTTTTATTACTTTCTATTCTCTATTTCGTTTATTTTGTCTCTAATATTTATTATTTCCTTCCTTTTTCTGCTTTGGGTTTAGTTCTTTTTCTAGTTTCTTAAGGTAGCCAGTGGTTATTCATTTAAGATCATTCTACTTTGTAAATATAGACACTTACAACTATAAATTTCCCTATAAGCACTGCTTTATTTGCATCCCATAGATATGTTGTGTTTTGTTTTCAATCTGCTCAATTTCCAACTTCTGTTGTGATTTTAGTTTTGAGCCACTGATTTTTTTAGAATTGTGTTGTTTTCCTATTTGTGAATTGTCTAAATTTTCTTCTGTGATTGATTTCTAATTTCATTTCATTATGGTTGGAGAACATATTTTGTGTATTTTTAATCAATTTAAATTTATTGAAACTTGTCTTATGGCAATATAGTTTATCCTAGAAAATATCCCATGTGTGCTTGAGAAAAATATGTATTCTGAAGTGTTCTGTAGATGTCTATTAGGTCTAGTTGGTTCATAGTACTGTTCAAGTCTTCTACTTTCTTGTTGATCTTCTGTCTAGTTTTTCTCTATATTATTGAAAGTGTGGTTGAAAGTCTCCAACTGTTATTGCTGACTTGTCTATTTATTCTTTCATATCTGCCCATTTTGTCAGTTTTTGCTTTATATATTTTGAGGCCCTGTTTTTAGGTCCTTCTATGTTTATAATTGTTGTTTCTTTCTGATAGATTGATACTTTTATCACTATAAAATGTCCTTCTTTGTCTCTAGTAACGATTTTTGTATAAAGTCCATTTTGTCTGATATTAGTATAGCCACTCTAACTCTCTTTTGTATGAATGGTATATATTTTCCTATCCTTTTATTTTCAACCTATTTATGTCATTAAGTTTAAAATGCGTCTTTTGTAGGCAGCATATAGTTGAGCATTAAAAAATGCATTTTTTATGAAAAACTTTTTTTTTTCTTTTTTTTTTATTATACTTTAAGTTTTAGGGTACATGTGCACATTGTGCAGGTTAGTTACATATGTATACATGTGCCATGCTGGTGTGCTGCACCCACTAACTCGTCATCTAGCCTTAGGTATATCTCCCAATGCTATCCCTCCCCACTCCCCCCACCCCACCACAGTCCCCAGAGTGTGATATTCCCCTTCATGTGTCCATGTGATCTCATTGTTCAATTCCCACCTATGAGTGAGAATATGCGGTGTTTGGTTTTTTGTTCTTGCGATAGTTTACTGAGAATGATGATTTCCAATTTCATCCATGTCCCTACAAAGGACATGAACTCATCATTTTTTATGGCTGCATAGTATTCCATGGTGTATATGTGCCACATTTTCTTAATCCAGTCTATCATTGTTGGACATTTGGGTTGGTTCCAAGTCTTTGCTATTGTGAATAATGCCACAATAAACATACGTGTGCATGTGTCTTTATAGCAGCATGATTTATAGTCATTTGGGTATATACCCAGTAATGGGATGGCTGGGTCAAATGGTATTTCTAGTTCTAGATCCCTGAGGAATCGCCACACTGACTTCCACAATGGTTGAACTAGTTTACAGTCCCACCAACAGTGTAAAAGTGTTCCTATTTCTCCACATCCTCTCCAGCACCTGTTGTTTCCTGACTTTTTAATGATTGCCATTCTAACTGGTGTGAGATGATATCTCATAGTGGTTTTGATTTGCATTTCTCTGATGGCCAGTGATGATGAGCATTTTTTCATGTGTTTTTTGGCTGCATAAATGTCTTCTTTTGAGAAGTGTCTGTTCATGTCCTTCGCCCACTTTTTGATGGGGTTGTTTGTTTTTTTCTTGTAAATTTGTTTGAGTTCATTGTAGATTCTGGATATTAGCCCTTTGTCAGATGAGTAGGTTGCGAAAATTTTCTCCCATGTTGTAGGTTGCCTGTTCGCTCTGATAGTAGTTTCTTTTGCTGTGCAGAAGCTCTTGAGTTTAATTAGATCCCATTTGTCAATTTTGTCTTTTGTTGCCATTGCTTTTGGTGTTTTGGACATGAAGTCCTTGCCCATGCCTATGTCCTGAATGGTAATGCCTAGGTTTTCTTCTAGGGTTTTTATGGTTTTAGGTCTAACGTTTAAATCTTTAATCCATCTTGAATTGATTTTTGTATAAGGTGTAAGGAAGGGATCCAGTTTCAGCTTTCTACATATGGCTAGCCAGTTTTCCCAGCACCATTTATTAAATAGGGAATCCTTTCCCCACTGCTTGTTTTTCTCAGGTTTGTCAAAGATCAGATAGTTGTAGGTATGCGGCGTTATTTCTGAGGGCTCTGTTCTGTTCCATTGATCTATATCTCTGTTTTGGTACCAGTACCATGCTGTTTTGGTTACTGTAGCCTTGTAGTATAGTTTGAAGTCAGGTAGTGTGATGCCTCCAGCTTTGTTCTTTTGGCTTAGGGTTGACTTGGCGATGCAGGCTCTTTTTTGGTTCCATATGAACTTTAAAGTAGTTTTTTCCAATTCTGTGAAGAAAGTCATTGGTAGCTTGATGGGGATGGCATTGAATCTGTAAATTACCTTGGGCAGTATGGCCATTTTCACGATATTGATTCTTCCTACCCATGAGCATGGAATGTTCTTCCATTTGTTTGTATCCTCTTTTATTTCCTTGAGTAGTGGTTTGTAGTTCTCCTTGAAGAGGTCCTTCACATCCCTTGTAAGTTGGATTCCTAGGTATTTTATTCTCTTTGAAGCAATTGTGAATGGGAGTTCACTCATGATTTGGCTCTCTGTTTGTCTGTTGCTGGTGTATAAGAATGCTTGTGATTTTTTTACATTGATTTTGTATCCTGAGACTTTGCTGAAGTTGCTTATCAGCTTAAGGAGATTTTGGGCTGAGACGATGGGGTTTTCTAGATAAACAGTCATGTCGTCTGCAAACAGGGACAATTTGACTTCCTCTTTTCCTAATTGAATACCTTTTATTTCCTTCTCCTGCCTGATTGCCCTGGCCAGAACTTCCAACACTATGTTGAATAGGAGCGGTGAGAGAGGGCATCCCTGTCTTGTGCCAGTTTTCAAAGGGAATGCTTCCAGTTTTTGCCCATTCAGTATGATATTGGCTGTGGGTTTGTCATAGATAGCTCTTATTATTTTGAAATATGTCCCATCAATACCTAATTTATTGAGAGTTTTTAGCATGAAGGGAAGTTGAATTTTATTGAAGGGCTTTTCTGCATCTATTGAGATAATCATCTGGTTTTTGTCATTAGTTCTGTTTATGTGATGGATTACATTTATTGATTTGTGTATGTTGAACCAGCCTTGCATCCGAGGGATGAAGCCAACTTGATTGTAGTGGGTAAGTTTTTAATATACTACTGGATTTGGTTGACCATTATTTTGTTGAGGATTTTTGCATTGATGTTCATCAGGGATATTGGCCTGAAATTTTCTTTTTTTGTTGTGTCTCTGTCAGGTTTTGGTATCAGGATGATGCTGGCCTCATAAAATGAGTTAGGGAGGAGTTCCTCTTTTTCTATTGTTTGGAATAGTTTCAGAAGGAATGGTACCAGCTCCTCTTTTACCTCAGGTAGAATTTGGCTGTGAATCCATCTGGTCTTGGCCTTTTTTTGGTTGGTAAGCTATTAATCACTGCCTCAATTTCAGAAGTTGTTATTGGTCTATTCAGGGATTCGACTTCTTCCTGGTTTAGTCTTGGGAGGGTGTATGTGCCCAGGAATTTATCCATTTCTTCTAGATTTTCTGGTTTATTTGTGTAGATGTGTTTATAGTATTCTCTGATGGTAGTTTGTATTTCTGTGGGATCAGTGGTGATATCCCCTTAGTCATTTTTTATTGTGTCTATTTGATTCTTCTCTCTTTTCTTCTTTATTGCTCTGGCTGGCGTTCCATCTATTTTGTTAATCTTTTCAGAAAACCAGCTCCTGGATTCATTGATTTTTTTTTAAGGGTTTTTTGTGTCTCTATCTCCTTCAGTTCTGCTCTGATCTTAATTATTTCTTGTCTTCTGCTAGCTTTTGAATTTGTTTGTTCTTACTTCTCTAGTTCTTTTAATCATGATGTTAGGGTGTCAGTTCTTGATCTTTCCCATGTTCTCATGTGGGCATTTAGTGCTATAAATTTCCCTCTAAACACTGCTTTAGCTGTGTCCTAGAGATTCTGGTATGTTGTGTCTTGGTTCTCATTGATTTCAAAGAACTTCTTTATATCTGCGTTAATTTTGTTATTTACCCAGTAGTCATTCAGGAGCAGGTTGCTCAGTTCCCTTGTAGTTGTGAGGTTTTGAGTGAGTTTCTTTCTTTCTTTCTTTTTTTTTTTTTTTTTTTTGAGACGGAGTCTTGTTCTGTCACCCAGGCTGGAGTGCAGTAGCGCAATCTCAGCTCACTGCAAGCAAGCTCCGCCTGCCAGGTTCACACTGTTCTCCTCCTTTAGCCTCCCAAGTAGATGGGACTACAGGTGCCCACCACCACACCTGGCTAATTTTTTTGTATTTTTATTAGAGACAGGTTTCACCATGTTAGCCAGGATGGTCTTGATCTCCTGACCTCGTGACCCGCCCGCCTTGGCCTCCCAAAGTGTTGGGATTACAGGCATGAGCCACCACGCCTGGCTGGTTTTGAGTGAGTTTCTTAATCCTGATTTCTAATTTGATTGCACTGTGGTCTGAGAGACTGTTTTTTATGATTCTTGTTCTTTTGCATTTGCTGAGGAGAGTTTTACTTCCAATTATGTGGTTAATTGTAGAGTAAGTGCTATGTCGTGCTGAGATCAATGTATATTCTGTTGATTTGGTGTGGAGAGTTCTGTAGATTTCTATTAGGTCCTTTTGGTCCAGAGCTGAGTTCAAGTCCTGAATATCCTTGTTAATTTTCTGTCTCGTTGATCTGTCTAATATTGTTAGTGGGGTGCTAAAGTCTCCCACTGTTATTGTTTGGGAGTCTAAGTCTCTTTGTAGGTCTCTAAAAACTTGCTTTGTGAATCTGGGTTCTCCTGTATTGGGTGCATATATATTTAGATCATTAGCTTTTCTTGTTGCATTGATCCCTTTACCATTATGTAATGCCCTTTTTTGTCTTTTTTGATCTTTGTTGGTTTAAAGTCTGTTTTATCAAAGACTAGGATTGCAACCCCTGCTTTTTTTTTTCTTTCCATTTGCTTGGTAAATATTCCTCCATCCCTTAGTTTTGAGCCTATATGTGTCTTTGCACGTGAGATGTGTCTCCTGAATACAGCACACCAATGGGTCTTGACTCTTTATCCAATTTGCCAGTCTGAGTCTTTTAATTGGGACGTTTAGCCCATTTACATTTAAGGTTAATATTGTTATGTGTGAATTTGATTCTGTCATTATGATGCTAGCTTTTTTTTTCTTTTTTGGAGTCTTGCTTGTTGTCCAGGCTGGAGTGCAGTGGCATGATCTTGGCTCACTGCAACCTCCACCTCCTGGGTTCAAGCAGTTCTCTGCCTCAGCCTCCTGAGTAGCTGAGATTACAGGTGCCCTCCACCACATCTAGCTAATCTTTTTTTTTTTTTTTTTTGTATTATTCGTAGAGATAGGGTTTTGCCATCTTGGCCAGGTTGGTCTTGAACTCCTGACCTCGTGATCCACCCGCCTCGGCCTCCCAAAATGCTGGGATTACAGGTGTGAGCCACCACACCTGGACCACTAGTTGTTTATTTTGCCCATTAGTTGATGGAGTTTCTTCATAGTGTTGATGGTCTTTACATTTTGGTATGTTTTTGCAGTGGCTGGTACCGGTTTTTCCTTTCCATATTTAGTGCTTCCTTCAGGAGCTCTGGTAAGGCAGGCCTGGTGGTGACAAAATCCCTCAGCATTTGCTTGTCTATAAAGGATTTTATTTCTCCTTTACTTATGAAGCTTAGTTTGGCTGGATACAAAATTCTGGGTTGAAAATTCTTTTCTTTAAGAATGTTGAATATTGGCCCCCATTCTCTTCTGGCTTGTAGGGTTTCTTTAGAGAGATCTCCTGTTGGTCTGATGGGTTTCCCTTTCTGGGTAACTTGACCTTTCTTTCTGGTTGCCCTTAACATTTTTTCCTCATTTCAACCTTGGTGAATCTGTTGATTATGTGTCTTCGGGTTGCTCTTCTCGAGGAGTATCTTTCTGGTTTTCTCTGTATTTCCTGAATTTGAATGTTGGCCTATCTTGCTAGGTCGGGGAAGTTCTCTTGGATAATTTCCTGAAGTATGTTTTCCAACTTGGTTCCATTCTCCCCATCACTTTCAGGTACACCAATCAAACGTAGGTTTGGTCTTTTCACATAGTCCCATATTTCTTGGAGGCTTTGTTTGTTTCTTTTCATTATTTTTTCTCTAATCTTGTCTTCACACTTTATTTCATTAAATTGATCTTCAATCTCTGATATCCTTTCTTCTGCTTGATCGATTCAGCTATTGATACTTGTTTAGGCTTCACAAAGTTCTTGTGCTGTGTTTTTCAGCTCCATCATGTCATTTATGTTCTTCTCTAAACTGGTTATTCTAGTTAGCAAGTCCTGTAACCTTTTATCAAGGTTCTTAGCTTCCTTGGATTGGGTTAGAAGATGCTCTTTTAGCTCGGAGGAGTTTGTTATCACCCACTTTCTGAAGCCTGCTTCTGTCAATTTGTCAAACTCATTCTCCATCTAGTTTTGTTCCTTTGCTGGTGAGGAGTTGTGATCTTTTGGAGGAGAAGAAGTATTCTGGCTTTTGGAATTTTCAGCTTTTTTGTGCTGGTTTTTCCTCATCTTCATGGATTTATCTACCTTTGATCTTTGATGTTGGTGACCTTCGGATGGGGTTTTTGCGTGGGCGTCCTTTTTGTTGATGTTGATGCTATTGCTTTCTGATTGTTAGTTTTCCTTCTAACAGTCAGGACCCTCTTCTGCAGGTCTGGTGGAGTTTGCAGGAGGTCCACTCCAGATCCTGTTTGCCAGGGTATCACCAGTGGAGGCTGCAGAACAGCAAAGATTGCTGCTTGCTCCTTCCTCTGGAAGCTTCGTCCCAGAGGGACACCCTCCAGATGCCAGCTGGAGCTCTCCTGTATGAGGTGTCTGTTGACCCCTGCTGGGAGGTGTCTCACAGTCAGGAGGCATAGGAGTCAGGGACCCATTTGAGGAGGCAGCCTGTCCCTTAGCAGAGCTGAAGTGCTGTGTTGGGAAATCCACTGCTCTCTTCAGAGTCAGCAGGCAGGAACGTTTAAGTCTGCTGAAGATGCACCCACAGCCGCCCCTTCCCCCAGGTGGTCTGTCCCAGGGAGATGGGAGTTTTATCTATAAGCACCTGACTGGGGCTGCTACCTTTCTTTCAGAGATGCCCTGCCCAGAGAGGAAGAATCTAGAGAGGCAGTCTGGCTACAGTGGTTTTGCCGTGCTGTGGTGGGCTCTGCCCAGTTCGAACTTCCCTAAGGCTTTGTTTACACTGTGAGGGGGAAATCACCTACTCAAGCCTCAGTAATGGTGGATGCCCCTTCCCTCACCAAGCTTGAGCATCCCAGGTTGACTTCAGACTGCTGTGCTGGCAGAGAGGATTTCACACCAGTGGATCTTAGCTCGTTGGGCTCTGTGGGGGTGGGATCCTCTGGGAAAGACCGCTTAGCTCCCTGGCTTCAGCCCTCTTTCCAGGGAGTGAACCGTTCTGTCTTGCTGGCATTCCAGGCACCACTGGGGTATGAAAAAAGACTTCTGCAGCTATCTCTGTGTCTGCGCAAATGGCTGCCCAGTTTTGTTCTTGAAACCCAGGGCCCTGGTGGTATGGCACCCAAGGGAATCTTCTGGTCTGCAGGTTGTGAAGACCGTGGGAAAAGCATAGTATCTGGGCTGGATAGCACCATCTCTCACAGCACAGTCCCTCATGGCTTCTCTTGGCTAGGGGAGGGACTTCCCCAATCCCTTGCACTTCCCGGGTGAGGCAACACCCCACCCTGCTTTTGCTCACCCTCTGTGGGCTGCACCCACTGTGTAACCAGTCCCAAGGAGATGAACCGGGTATCTCAGTTGGAAATGCAGAAATCATCTGCCTTCTGTGTTAGTCTCACTGGGTGCTGCAGACTGGAACTGTTCCTATTCGGCCATCTTGCTAGCCCCCGAATAATGCATTTTTAAGAATTAGTTCTGCCAATCTGTTTCTTTTGGTTGGAATGTGAATCCATTTATGTTTAATGTAATTGCTGATAAGATTTTTTTTTTTTTTTTTGAGACAGAGTCTCACTCTGTCACCCAGGCTAGAGTGCAATGACACGATCTCAGCTCATTGCAACCTCTGCCTCCCGGGTTCGAGCAATTTTCTTGCCTCAGCCTCCCTAGAAGCTGGGATTACAGGTGCGCACTACCATACCCAGCTAATGTTTTTTGTATTTTTAATAGAGACGGGGTTTCACCATGTTGGCCAGGCTGGTCTTGAACTCCTGACATCAGGTGATCCACTAGCCTCAGCTTCCCAAAGTGGCTGATAAGATTTATTTCTACCATTTCGATATTAGTTTTCTGTAAGTCTTATATCTTTTTTTGTTCTTTTATTCCTCCACTATTCCCTTCTTTTATGTTAAGCAGCCATGTTCTAGTGTACCAACTTAGTTCCTTTGTTCCTTCTTTTACTGTATGTTTTTTAGTTTTTTCGTATTTGTTGCCCTAGGGATTACATTTAACATCTTAATTTATGACAAGCTAGGATTCATAACAACCTAACTTAAAAAGGCATACAAAACTCTTTTTATTATAGCTCTATTTCCTCTCTGCTCCTTTGTGCTTTTATTATCCAAATTGCATATTTATATTATGTTTACTTGTTAACACAGGCTTATAATTATTGCTTCATGCAGTTGTCTTTTAAATCTGGAGAAAAAAGAGTAAAACACAAAGAAGAATACATTTATTCTGTCTTTCATACTTACTACGTAGTTATCTTCACCAGTGCTTTTTATTTCTTCATGTGGTTGCTTCTTCATGAGTTACTATTTTGTGTCTTATCACTTCAGCTGGAAGGATTCCCTTTAGTATTTCTTGTAGTTTAGGTGCAAGTGACAGATTCTTTCATTATTTGTTTATCTTTTTTTTTTTTTTTTTTTTTTTGAGATGGAGTCTCACTCTGTTGCCTAGGCTAGAATGCAGTGGCCCGATCTTGGCTCACTGCAAGCTCCGCCTCCTGGGTTCATGCCATTTTCCTGCCTCAGCCTCCCAAGTAGCTGGGACTACAGGCGCCCAACACCATGCCCGGCTAATTTTTTATATTTTTAGTAGAGACGGGATTTCACCATGTTAGCCAGGATGGTATCGATCTCCTGACCTTGTGATCCGCCCGCCTCAGCCTCCCAAAGTGCTGGGATTACAGGTGTGAGCCACTGCACCCAGCTTATTTGTTTATCTTGATGTCTTAATTTCACCTTCATGTTTAAGGATAGTTTTGCTGAATGTAAAATTATTGGTTGATAGTGTTTTTTTTTCCTTCAGAATTTTGAATATGTCACCCTTTGCCTTCCCGATTCCATGGATTCTGATGAGAAAGTTAACATTCTTGAGGATCCCTTATACATGATGGATCTCTACTGTCTTGCTGCTCTCAAGATTCTCTTTTTATCTTTTGACAGTTGGATCATGATGAGTCTCTGTGTGAGTCTCTTTGAGTTTATCCTACCTGAAGGTTGTTGAGCTAGTTGGATGTGTGGGTAAATGTATTTTATCCAATTTGGAAAGTTTTCAGCCATTACTTCTTCAACTATTCTTTCTGATCCTTTCTCTCTCTTCACTACTTTTGGAATTCCAATTATGTATTTGTTGGTCTTTTATGCTCTGTTAAATTTTCTTCCTTCTTTTTTCTTTCTGTAAGTCAGACTGAATAATCTCAATCAACTTATTTTCAAGTATGTTGTTTCTTTCTTCTGCCAGCTCAAGTCTGCTGTTGAGTGAATTTTTTTTCATTTCAGTTTTTGTACTTTCCACTCTAGAATTTCTATTTGGGTCGTTTTTATTCTTTTTGTCTCTTTATTGGTATTCTCTATATAGTGAAACATCATTTTCATACTTTAGTTCTTTAGATGTGTCTTCAGTTCTTTAAACATATTTAAAATAGGTGGTTTAAAGTCCTTGTCTAGTATGTCTAATATCTAGTTTTTCCTTTGGAACAGTTTTTCTTGACTGATTCTTTCAGCCTGTATGGGTCATACTTTTTGTTTCTTTGTATGTCTCATAATTTTTTATTGTTATTAAAAACTGGAATTTTTACATAATATAATATGACAACTCTGGAAATCAGATCTTCACCCCTCTCCAGGGTTTGTTCTTGCTGTTTGTTTTGTAAATGTTTGTTCAGTGATTTTTCTGAACTAATTATGTAAAGTCTGTCTTCTTTGTCATAGGTGGCCCCTGAAGGCTCTGCTCATTTGGCTTAGTGGTACACTAATAATTAGTCAAATATTTCTTAAGTACGTGGAACCAATAAGTCTCCCAATTTTTGCTGAGAGGTTCTGTATGTGTATTGGGGGCCCACCTTTAACATTCAGTCAAGAAGTTAAAAACTCTGCCTTAGCCTTTACTTCCTGCTTCCACAGAGCTTCAAAGTCAGCCAGCCCTTCTCAGGTCTTTCTTGGGCATGATATAGCTCTGGGCATGCCTACTGTCCTATGCATATATGTGGCATTTTAGATTAACAGGAATATATCAGAGCTTTTAAAAGCTCTCTTTGAACAAGTCATTCTCCAGCTTTTCCTTTTAAGCTCTTTGGTTGGCCTATTATTTGCCCCAACTGCTATCTACTGCCTCAGGCAGTCAAGATGCTTTGTTTTAGACAAATATCCTCTGAAGAAAAGGCTTTTTGCACTGGAAGAGCTCTGAGTCACATCACATAAAGACAGCATTGTTGGTGGGGTCTTCCAGGAAAGTAGACAGGTGGAATGATGACAGTTCTCTGGAAATGGAACTTTGAGGGGGCTCCAGAACTGTTCTTCTCCTTCCAGTGGCTGTCAGACTAGGTTTTTGAGATTTTTCACTGCGATTGTGGGCTGTTGGTTTTCCAGAGTACTGCAAATCTGGGGGTACGGGTAAGGGATGGGAATAGGCAAATTAAAATACCACAAAGCTTTCTATTTTTTTACCAAGATTCAGCCATTGTTACTGAATAAATGCACCTCAGATTGTTGCAAGCCTTTGGTTAATTTCTAAATTTCTGAAAAATTTGATTCTGACTTTTTTTTGGTTAGTGTTTTTGTTGCTTTTATGGAGGAGAGGAGTTTTAGAGGTCTTTAGTCCACCACATCCACTAACATCCCCCACATCTTCTTATGGTGATGGCACCACAGAGTGTTAGAAATTCATCTTAGAATGTTAGACCTTTTTGTTATGATCTAAATTTTTGTATTCTAGCCTGCAAACTTTTTGTTTTCATAGAATGACAAATAGTGGGAAAAACCTCCCACCAAAATAATTTTTACTAAAATGTGCCTCTCAGTTTTTGGTTCAGGTACTCTAGGTCACTGTAATCATAGAACCAGATTATCCCATACCAGAGAAACAAGTGACTAATGACTAATTGGAATAATCCAGGGAGGCTCCTCCTGATCCTCTCCAGGACAAAATTATGAGTAAGAGGGCAAGAAAGAAAGGCAGCGGCTATCTTTGTGTTTCAACAAAAAGAAGATACCTATGTTCAGCCTGCCTCTGCTTGTCCTCTAGAGCTCCCTCTGAGATGGATACCAGCTTGTCATCTGATTTCAGCTGGGGTGAGATATCCTGACCGTCCCTGGCTTCCCTAGTGAACATCAGCACATGGAGATAAGCACTTACCTCGCGTTCCTACCCCTTGGCCTACCAGGGCTGTTTTCTGGGAAATCAGCCTTGCTGGGAAGCCACAATCTTTTCTGTTTAGCAATAGCCAGTGGAGATGCTTTTAACAGTGGGTCACAGCCGGAGATCTCTCCCAAATGTTTCCCCACAGTGCTACCCCTGTAAATTTTGGTGGAAAAACAATTTGGCTCAGACAAGGTGAGTGCAGGGGGAAAGGAGGGGTGAGAGGGAGAGAGGGCAAGCCTGAGCTGGCTGCTGGCTGGCCCTTGCTGTGACCCTGATTTGCAGTGTGTCTTTTGGAGGCTTTTAAATCACGTTAGTCTCTGTCTGTCCCTGGCTTAATGAACAGTGTCAGAACAGCCAAGCACTCTCCTGCTTAGCCTCACCAGGTGGCCTGAGCCCACAAGATGTCAACATTCACAGGCCCTGGGTGCAGCTTGGCTTGCTTATGTCCCCGTCCCATTGCCCTCCCTCTCACAGAGTCCTGAGTTTGTCCCCTTGGCTCCGGGAGACTCAGCCTGGAGTGTTCTCTGGGGCAGCTAGACCCTGTCCAGCCAGTGGTCTTGACTCACACTGGACTTACCTGGGGGAATCCCACCCTGACCCAGTTAAACCAGAGGCTCCGGGGCTGGGGCTTGTGATCACTGGGCAGGTGAGTCATTTCTTAGCTTGGCACAGTGAGTGAGTGGCAGGGCAAGGGCCGGGCTGCAGGTATCCTGTCCCTCAGCCCAGAGCTCCTTGTGCTGTAGGTAACATTGCTATTGTCATTGCTGTTATTTCTGTATCCTTGTTTTCCAATCTGGACTCCAGAGACTGTCAAGGGTTTATTTTGAAATATGGTAATGGGAGTTGTGTGCTTCTTTTCAAGATTTTTAAAAGTTTAATGGAAATTATGCCTTAATCTGTGATTAGAACATATAGGCTACTACTTACTAAATGTAGATGGTTAAGAAGACAAAAAGCTTTTAAAACCCAAGAGCTCATGGAAGAAAAATAATAACAAGATCACTAGTCAACCATACATATGTATAAAAGTTTGGAAAGCGCAGCACCAAACCTTCCTGACTGGGACCCTTGCAACCCGTCTGCATCCCAGCTCTCGCCTCTCCAAGGTTCTTGCCAAAGGAAGTGACTTTGTCAGAATTTTCTAGGTCCAATGCACTCTCTAGATGAGACCCCACCAACTGCCAAGATGTGGAGCTCTGAATCAACCTCCTGAGGAATGTGGTGGATCCTCTCATGTCCCATCTGAGAATGGGGGTTTCTGGCCTCCAAGGTGGACCTGATAGCTATGTTCCTCAGAGAAGAGAGGTGGGGTGTGGGGTCAAGGGCGTGGGCACCATGGGAGTGAGGGACCACAGCCTTTAACACAGCAATCCCTCCACTGGGGAGCACTGGCTGGTGGATGTCAGAGTGTCTACTCTGGTTTCCTAGGGGACAGGGGAAATGGAATGAAGAGAGAACAGGAGTGTTTCCTCCCATACCCCCTGTGGTAGACTGAATAATGAACCCCCAAAGATATTCAGTCCTAGAATTCCCAGAATCTGTTCATTATCCCGGTTTACCCAAGATCCCAATGTAACCACAAGGATCTTGATAAGAGGGAGTCAGGAGGGTCAGAGTCAGAGAGGAGATGTGAGCACAGAAGCAGAGGTCAGGGTGATGTGGCCACAAGCCAAGGAATGCAAGGAGCCTCTTGTCCCATAGAGATTCCAGAAGGAACAAGACTTGCTGACACCTTGACATTAACCTCATGAGACTGATTTTGGACTTCTGACCCTGAGAACGTTAGAAGAGTTCCTGGTAATAGTCTTTATAATGCTGTTTATAGCTAATTTCTTTTTCAGTCAAAAAATTAACACTTGAATATGATCCACACGTTGAAAGGTAGAAAAGGGTACAGAGTGCAGAAAGACTCTCTTCTCCCATCTCCCAGCCACTGGTTTCTCCTCCCTAGAAGGAACTGTAGTTAATCAGTTTATTGTGGATATTTCCAGAGGTATTCCGTGCATAAACAAGCATATATGTACATAAAGTACACTTTGTCCAAAGAGTAGCATATTATACACAGTATTTTGCACTTTCTTTTTTTACTTTATATTATCATGGAGTGAATTCTATGTCAGAACGTACAGTGCTGATTCTTCTTTTTAATAACAGTGTTAATTTCCTTTTGTCTATCTATGTGTTGTCATTCATACAATCAGCCATTTAGTGACGGACATTTGGGTTGTTTCCAATCTCTTTCCAAATAATATTTCAGTGAATATCTCGGTAATGTTATATTTTGTATATGTATAAACCTATCTACAGGATTAAACCCCAGAAGGGGGATGGCCAAAGGGTATGTGCATTTTTTTAAAATTTGGTTAGATATGGCTGAGTTGCCCACCTTAAAGGTTGTACCAATTCACACTCCCAGCAACAATGTTTGAAAGTAGTTGCTCCCCAGCCCCAGTTATCTGATCTGGTCTTTTCTACAAGCTTGATAATTGTATTAGCCTGTTCTCATGCTACTAATAAAGATATACCCGAGACTGGGTAATTTATAAAGGAAAGAGGTTTAATGGACTCACAGTTCCACATGGCTGGGGAGGCCTCACAATCATGGAGGAAGACAAAGGAAGAGCAAAGGGACTTCTTACACTGTGATGAGCAAGAGAGCTTGTGCAGGGGAAACTCCCACTTATAAAACCGTCAACTCTCATTAGACTTTTTCACTACCTTGAGAACAGTATGAGGGAAACTGCCCCCATGATTCAATTATCTCCACCTGGCCCCCACCTTGACATGTGGGGATTATTATAATTCAAGGTGAGATTTGGGTGGGGACACAGCCAAACCATATCAATAGGTGAAAGCCTGGGGACCTGATGCACTCTTGAAACAGCAGCTGGAGAAGGATCACCAGCATCCAAACCCAGAAGGGCCCCTGTCCTGTGTCCTCAGTCACGGCACACCTGAGCAGCACCCCTACTTCCCCCTTCAGTTTCAGCCCTCCTGGAGGTGCAGGTGTGAGAGTCTGACTTCTCCAGCTCCTTCTTTGACAGCATTCTTCATGGCTGGATAAAATGTAGACCCTTGCAGCTGAGAATGCAAAGTCTAGGGCATTCAGGGACAGGATGGAGGCAGTGAGCTGCTACAGGTTCCTGCCAACCACGAGAAGTAGGAGGACGGAGGCATGACTGCGTTTTCAGGACACATTAAAGTCATGCCTTCTGATTGTGCTGCATTTGACACTCTTCAAATTCTCCTGGTAATCTGAGTAACAACTTTACGTAAGAGGAAGCCACCCAGTTATTCAAATAAAAAGCATACTGGGTTGCCTTGATGTAAACCTCTCCTCTCTGACTTAACTCACCTCTGTCCTGCCTCTCTCCACCAGGTTTATTTCACGAGTAGCATCATCAGCCCATAGTCACTGCTGGTAAAAAGGCATTATTAATTTTAGACTTTCTGTCATACCAAAAACTTCTTATTTATCATGTAGTCCCTCAAATGCATTCATTGCATCAAAATCAGAGTGCCAGGGGAGAGATAGGGTATGGGCCTGGGGAGAGGCCTGAGAGGGGAGAAAATGGAGTCTTGGGTTTTAGATATTTAGTCTCTGAAAAATGCAGTGATTCTCTCAATGCAGATGGGAACAAAATTATGTAATTTGGGCTGTGCCCTTTGTATGCAGCATTCTGGTCATTTTCTTTTCATTCTATTTTTGCTATTGCAGCTTGCATGATTATGAAGTCCATCATGGAAATGTCTGGCCTAATGGTCAGTGAGAGGAACCAGAAACTACCAATGAGAAGTTTCTAATCTCTAGTTCAAAACAGAGCCTCTCCTAAGACTTCCATCATGGGTTGCATGCCTAGGATTTCTCTCAGATTGTAACTCAGTGGTGGCAGGGAGGACACTGAGCTAATCTGTCTTTTGGGATCTTGGAAACAGAATCATAAGGAGGTGATAGCCATCTCCCGAAACAGCCTATCATTAGGAGATGGTGTCTGAGGTGGCAGTTAAGTAATACAGCTGGCAGGGGATGCATGTCATTTCCCGATTGAAATTCAGAAAGAGAAAGAAGAGAGAGGCATGATTTGGTGGAACAGTTACATGTTTCCCCTTTCCTCCTTTCTCCAATTAATAATCCTGCCCAGTCAGGGATGATGGCTCACGCCTGTAATCCCAGAACTTTGGGAGGCCAAGGTGGGTGGATCACCTGAGGTCAGGAGTTCGAGACCAGCCTGACCAACATGTTGAAACCCCATCTCTACTAAAAATATAAAAATTAGCCAGGCATGGTGACACATGCCTGTAATCTCAGCTACATGGGAGGCTGAGACAGGAGAATTGCTTGAACCCGGGAGGCAAATGTTGCAATGAGCTCATGTCGCGCCACTGCCCTCCAGCCTGGGCGACAGAGCAAGACTCCATCTCAAGGAAAAAAAGAAAAAATCTTGCCTATTGGTTGGCTTTTGTGGACTGGTGACTGGCTTGGCACAGGGCTATCAAGATGACCTGAGAGTTATTTCGGAGGCAGACTCAGGAAAGTATTTTTTTTCCAGAATTTATTTTATTAATGGAAGAGAAGAAAATGGGCTGAGTAGGAGATGAGGATAAACCCCACACTCATGGTTTGGTCAGAAGGAAGGCAAGAATGGTGATGTGATAAAAAGGCAGCAGATTGCATATGAATTTAAAAGTCACCTTTATAGGAATAGAAGTCCATCCACCTTTTAATGCCTCTATTAACAATGAGTGGGTTACACTATTTGTCTTCTCCCTTACAGTTATGAAACTGTTAACGCCCCGAGTTGTCAGCACAAACATTCCTGCTCCCCCGACACTGTTCCAAGTGAACAATGAATTTAATTTTCAAGGGACCTTTGTGCTCATGACATCATAAAGTCAATGTTCAATATGCAGATGGGGGGCAATGGGGAGGAGGCACATTAAAATACACTGATCCCATCTGATGCACACCGTCAGCCTGAAGCCCTTCTCGACTGTTGAAAATGCATGAGGACACTTGAGGCAACTCACAAAATCAGCACAAATGGCTGCTAGAGATGAAGAGTTTAGCCTCTCTAGGTATCCAAGTGTGCAAATCAAGTAATTTCCAATACTGATGAGCTATAAGGGTAATAATAGTATTATTAATAATGACAACACCATGGTGCCTACTATAAGCTAGGGCCTTTTAAAATACGGTTGTACAAATAACAACTCATTTAATCCTCACAATAATTCTGTGAGATGGAGATTATTATTATTCCCATTGTAAGCATGAAGAAACAGGCAAGAAAAGGTTAAGTAACTTGCCTAAGATCACACAGCTAAGAAGTGAGTGCCAGCACCTCCCTATGAAGCCATTCAGCAGAGACTTTGCAGAGAAGCTATTTGGGGAAAGCATCACTGTCACTGGTAGTGAAAGGAGCACTTGATTCAGAGTCCAACAACTCTGTTCATCCTGCTGCATTCTTGGCCTTGAGCATGTTATACAACTTCTCTGAGTTTTGATTTCTGTATTAGTCCATTCTCCTGCTGCTATAAAGACATACCCAAGACTAGGTAATTTGTAAAGGAAAGAGGTTTAATTGACTCACAGTTCCACAGGGTTGCGGAGGCCTCAGGAAACTTACCATCATGGTGGAAGGGGAAGCAGACACGTCCTTCTGCATGTAGTGGCAGGAAGTAGAAGAATGAGCAAAAGTGGGGAAAGCCCCTTAAAAAACCATCGGATCTCATGAGAACTCACTCACTATGATGAGAACAGCAGCACTAGGGTAACCGCCCCCATGATTCAATTACCTCCCAGTGGGCCCCTCCCATCACACATGAGGATTATGGGGACTACAATTCAAGGTGAGATTTGGGTGGGAACACAGCAAAACCATATCAATTTCTTTACCTGAACAATGGGGATAGTGTTCTTATGTTGGTGCAAAAGTTATTGCAGTTTTTGCCAGTTTTAATGTCAAAACCTGCAGTTACTTTTGCACCAACCTAATGCTTCACAGATAATTGAAAAGATTAAACATAATAATTTGGGCTTGTGGAAACCCTTTGCTAACTCTAGAATCTTAGGTAAGATGGTAGAGCCAAGGTTCAGCCCCCTGCTTTTCTGGGACTGTGTTCATTAAGCAAGTGAGCCTTTGTACTTGAGGAAAAAAGATCTCAAAGGGTCCATTTAACCTGTCGAAATCACTAGACTAAATAAACTTTGGCAAATTGTTTCTAAAATGCTTTAACATGTGCTAAGCTTTTTGCAAGAGCAGTTTCCATCTATTTCTAGGAATGTATCCAGTTTTAACATGCCATGATTCTGATTTTTTTTTTTCAGAATTTATTATTATCTGGGGGATTCCATTAAAAGTAAGTAACTCTTAAAGCCACACCATAACAAATGAATTTTCTTTTAGGTGACTTCCTTACATAAATAAAATGCCTCCTTCTAGATAGAGAGCTACTGCGAGAACTTTGCTTTCAAGCAACTGCTTTTTGATCTCAGGAGAGAGTTTGACTAGTGATTATACCATTTCTAGCCATTTTAAACAAAGGAGGTTTGCCCACTGTTTGGTGCAGTCTTCTCCTTTGGGAGGGACACCTGGTGATGAGAAATGCAAGGACCTGGCTCCGCCTACTCAGTGAACACTCCATGTAGTTATCATTTATGTGCCACCTGCTATCAATAAGGCTTGGAGGTGACATAGGATGACATCCACATTTATGCTGAGTAGTTAAAGAGAAACTAGAAGGCCAAAGCTCCTGTAAATTGGTGGTTCTCAAATTTTGGAGGCCACAGCACTTTTGAGAACCTGATAAAGGCTAAGGAGATACTCTTTCCCGAAAAATGCACTGTATTAGTCCATTCTCATATTGCTATAAAGAAATAGCTTGGACTGGGTAATTTATAAAGAAAAGAGGTTTAATTGGCTCATGGTTCTGTAGGCTGTATAGGAAGCATGGTGTTGGCATCTGCTCAGCTTCTGGGAAAGCCTCAGGAAACTTACAATCATGGTGGAAGGTGAAGGGGGAGCAGGCACCTCATATGGCCAAAGCAGAAGCAAGGGCAAGAGAGGGGGGAGGTCTCATATTTTTAAACAACCAGATCTCATGAGAACTCACTCATTGTCCTGAGATCAGAGCCAAGGGGATGGTTCTAAACCATTCATTAGAAATCCACCCCCATGGTCCAGTCACCTCCCACCAGGCCCTACCTTCAACACTGGGGATTAGAATTCGACAAGAGATTTGGTGGGGACACAGATCCAAACCATGTTATTCACATTCACATGTCCACAGAAATGTTTGTCTGCAGTTTGTGGAGTCCCCAAGTTAAGAGTCTCAGAGAGAGAGAGAGAGACGAAAGGCAGATGAGGAAGCAGGAGAAAAGAAGTACACTAAAGCTTGACTAATGAGACCTGTGTGTTTATGCCTACATTTGGTGCTGGACTTTGAGGTCCATGCAGGACTGGCTACATATTTTGCAGGACCCAGTGCCAAATGAAAATGCAGCGTGCCTTGTTCAAACATCATTAAGGATTTCCAGACAGCAATACCAAGCATTAAACATTAAACCAAGCTTGAGCATAGGCCCCTATGCCATTGCACAGATCCCTTGCCCATGAAGTAGACCCCGGGCCCAGGAGGCCAAGAGGTCCACTGGACTCTCTGGTCTGTTTTTGAAAGCGCAGCCTTGTAAAATGTAATATCCTGCATTAATAGATGTTTGGTGAACTTGGTATTATAATTTTTAAAGTTTCAACAAGACCTTTATATTTATGGTGGATAACCCAAAAAAAAAAGAAAAAGAAAAGAAGAAACCAAAAAATTCCAACAAACCAATCTGTTTCCCCATTTATGCCAGTGTTGAACTGTTAGCAAGAGAGGCTGCAGCCCCTCCACCGTAGACAGCTGCAGGCAGATTAGCAGAAAATGCATGATATGGCAACATGCCAGATATCCTGGCAAGCGGCTGTACCAGGCCAGCTGGACTGCAGTACCTGAGGTGCAGTACCTTTAAAATCTGATGCTTATGAAAGTGACCCCTTTCTCAGTTTTATATTTATCAGGGTATCACATGTGCATGGTATAAAAAAATTTAACATTTCCCAACGACTTATGTAAAAAACATCTGCCCTTGACCCACCATCGTCTCCCCTCATCCTTCTTTTCAGGACTTTCAACCCTGAGCTGTTTCTTTTGGTATTTATCATTATCTTTCTAGACGAGATGCTTATCTGCAATTTTTGCATTTATCCATTTTCCTCATTATCTGTTGACTTCCTGAAGCAGATATTTGTTACTTGTAGAAGCTCAACATTTTTTGAACACGCCTCGTATTCTGGTAATTTCCTGAGTTCCCAAGATAGAAGTCATAAAAAAATGTGTCATTACATTACAGCTGGGGCGCAGGCGTGGAATTTAGACTTCATCAATCAGATGCCCCTTATTAAGATTTTGATCCCAAAGTAAGCCCATGAGGAAAGGGGCGTGCAGGGGAAGGAATCTTCTGGCAGCCGTGGTGGGTGGCTCACAGTTTGGCGTTTGTGAAACTGAACGGGTAGAGCCTCTGGTATATGGTCCCAGGCATCAGTGGTGTGATGTATCAGGTGTAGTGTGGGTGCTGGGCACTAGAGACAGCGGGGCATTCACAGAGCAGCCCGCAGTGTGGCTGGGCATTGTTCCTTAAGATGCTGGAGAGTGACCTGATCTCCTTTAATAACCTCATTTCCTGCTTTCATTAGTCAGGGAAAGTCTGCTGTTTGCAGTTCAGAGCCTTGACTTTCACACTTGGTAGATGAAGCTGCGGCTCTCTCATCCTTCTGCCCATCTCCCGTTACGGTGCCATCATCATTTTTTGTTAAATCAGTCTTCAGTGTTTACATTATTACAACCATGTAAATGTTATTTAGTGCTGAACCAAGTTGTGTATTATGTGTAACAGGATGTTAAAATAGGATGCTTTTTCCCTCCATTTAAGCTAAAACTCCAAGACAAAAGAGGCTGATGAATCCCACATTTCAAAGTGAGGAAAGAGGCCGCCAAGCAGGACTTGCAATGGAGAATCCAATAATGAGATTTTGCTCTTAACTGACCACCCGGCTCCAGTCTATACAAAGAGACTGTAGAAGTCTAGGGAGTTGGAGATTAGATGAGTCCTTTTGGAGAGAGCTGTCAGAGTAATCCCCCCTCACCCAATATACACCCTAACACACATGGAAGGGATGGAAAATACTTTTCCTTCACCCCCAGCCTAGGGAAAGGGGTTTCCAGGGGTCCCTGATGCAAGTCTCCAAGAGCCTGTGGAGACCTATTAGGTGGTGCCTGAATCACACTTAAAAAAATCTAAAAGTGAGACTGAGTCAGATGGGACCACATGAGAGGGGTCATCTGAATTCTGAGTTTGGCCTGGAGGACCTGGTGACTACAGTGGATGGGGGGACCACTGGATTCCCAGGAGCTGAAGGGAAAACAAGGAGTGGCCAGCCAGGGAAAGGCATTGGCCAGTATCAAGAGAATTGCAGGTGAGAAAAACCCCAAGAACGACTGGAATGGGGGGGGTCTCTCAAACCCCCCTATCCAGCCCAGAAGCAGCTTGGCCATCTTATGGCAAATCTGACCTTTCTTGCTCCCTTGAACCTTACCTCTCCTTTCTCCCATCCTGAAGGGGCCAGCAACCTTGCTTAACAAGCTGAGAGTAGAAAGCAGAAAACGCAAGGCTGAGCTGCCAACCCCCTCAGGCAGCCAACCGGCCCAGAATGGGACAGTCAGAGAAGGTGGAGCTCTAAATTTAAGTAAAATACATATCATTAGGTAGATCTGGAGATTTTAACACTGAAACAAGTCATTTTTTCTTATTTTAGATGGCCAAGAAGCTTTTAAATTACTTAATAAAGACCCTCTCCACCCCCAAAACACACACAGAGATCATTGGATTTGTCTTAGATTTTATTCAAATGGTGAGGCTGTGCAGGCTGGATTTAAGTAGGGGTGGGGGAAAAATGAAAATGGGGTTTGTTTTCATTGCAGGTGCTCTATCTGCAATATGATCCCAGAAACTAGGAATGAGGGAGCAGGGAGAATGAGACAGATAAGAAGGATGAATTCGCCTGTAGTCCCAGCACTTTGGGAGGCCGAGCGGGCAGATCACAAGGTCAGGAGTTTGAGACCACCCTGGCTAACACGGTGAAACCCCGTCTCTACTAAAAATACAAAAAATTAGCCGGGCGTGGTGGCAGGCGCCTGTAGTCCCAGCTACTCAGGAGGCTGAGGCAGGAGAGTGGTGTGAACTCGGGAGGCGGAGCTTGCAGTGAGCCGAGATCGAGCCACTGCACTCCAGCCTGGGAGACAGAGTGAGACTCTGTCTCAAAAAAAAAAAAAAAAAAAAAAAAAGGACAAGTTCTTATAAGGATGTAATTAGTAAAGTCACTGAGGTAGGCAAAGGCAATCTTGCCAGGACTTTGGTGGAGAATGGAGAATACTTCCTAGAATTGGCCATCCAATGAATGGGAGGCTATGCCATTTATCCTTCAACTCCAGTTCTTCATTGTTGATAGTTATAGTCTAGGGTTGCTGTTGTTTTAAATTACATGTTTGTTTGTTTGAGCCAGAGTCTTGCTCTGTCGCCCAGGCTAGAGTGCGGTGGCGTGATCTTGGCTCACTGCAGCCTCTGCCTTCTAAGCCCAAGCGATTCTCCTGCCTCAACCTCCCGAGTTGCTGGGACAATAGGCACCTGCCACCATGCCTGGCTAATTTTTGTATTTTTGATAGAGACAGGGTTTCACCATGTTGGCTAGGCTGGTCTCCTGACCTCAGGTGATCCACCCACCTGAGGTGGGATTACAGGCATGAACCACTGTGTCTGGCCTAAATTACATGTCAAGTTGCAACATTCAGTGTAGCAATTACATGTTTCTATTTCCTTTCTTGTACCTTTGGATTTTTTCCCCAGAGTTAATAATTGCTTCCTTTTTTTCTTTTTTCTTTTTTTTCTGAGATGGAATCTCATTCTGTCACCCAGGCTGGAGTGCGGTGGCGGGATCTTGGCTCACTGCAACCTCTGCTGCCCAGGTTCAAGTGATTCTCCTGCCTCAGCCTCCTGAGTAGCTGGGATTACAGGCGCCTGCCACGGTGCCTGGCTAATTTTTGTAGTTTTAGTAGCAATGGGGTTTCATGATCTTGGCCAGGCTGGTCTTGAACTGTGGACCTCATGATCCACCCACCTCAGCCTCCCAAAGTGCTGGGATTGCAGGCGTGAGCCACTGTGCCTGGCCTTCCTTTTTTTCATTTGCTTCATTTTCTATGAACCCCTCTAATTGCTCCATCAGCAGCTTGTTATTTTACAAATGTGCAATATGTCTGTCGATTCATTTGATTCATATCCTCTTCCTGCTGACCTCTCTTCTAGGGCTTCTCTACACCTTCAGCTGGACTAGTTGTTCTTGTCCTGCCCTTTACTTCCTTCCTGAGACATTCTTGTGCTCCTCTCTCTTACAGGATTGAATCCATGAGTCTAATGATTGGGCCTTGTCTTCCATTTATAAGCTCACCCATTCTTCAAAAAATTTGCTGGGCTGGGCACAGTGGCTCACATCTGTAATCCCAGCACTTTGGGAGGCTGAGGTCAGCAGATTACTTGAGCCCAGGAGTCCAAGACCAGCCTGGGCAACATAGTGAAACCTTGTCTCTACAAAAAAATACAAAAAATTAGCTGGGCATGGTGGCATGTTCCTGTAGTCCCAGCTACTCAGGAGGCTGAAGTGGGAGGATCACTTGAGCCCAGAAATTAGAGGCAGTAAGCTGTGATCATGCCACTGCACTCCAGCCTGGGTGACAGAGTGAGACCCTATCTCAAAAAAAAAAAAAAAAAAAAAAAAGCATTTAAAAAATGTTTTATCCCACTTGATTGATAGTTTAGCTAGATATAGATTGCTAGGTGGGAAATGTGTTTTTATGCAGAATTTTAAAAGTAACACTACCTTTTTTTTTTTTTTAAGCTCCCAAGGATGGTATTGAGAAGTAAGGTACCATTCTGAGTTTCACCCCTTAGCATGTAAACTGATTCCTCCCATCACTCTCTAAAAACTGTAATATCTTTTCTTTATCTCTGGGGTTCTGAGATTTCATCATGACTTGTACTAAGCTCTTAGTGACCCTTTCATTTTAGAAACTAATTTTCTTAAGTTTTAGGGTAAATGTCTTGCATTTCTTTAGATAATAATTTTTTCTTCTTTATTTTTTCTATTCCTTCTTTCTGGAGTTCCTCTTAGGATAATTGACCTTATGGAGCAATCCTCATTTTTTTTTTCTCTTTTCTGTTTTATATTTCTAGTCTCTGTTCTACTTTCTGGAAGAGTTTCTTAATGTTTTCTTTCATCTTTATTTGGGGGGTACTTTTAAAATTTTCTATTACATTACAAATTTTTAAGAAAACAGTATGGTGATTTCTCAAAAATTTAAAAATAGAATTACCATATTACCCAGCAGTTCCACTTCTGGGCATATACCCCAAATAATTGAAAGCAGGGTCTTAAAGAAATATTTGTATAGTCAAGTTCATAGCAGCATTATTCACGATAGCCAAAAGGTAGAAACAACCAAAGTGTCCATCAGTGGGTGAATGGATAAGCAAACTGTGGTATATACATATGATGGAATATTAATTCAGCCTTAAAAGGAAGAAAATTCTGACACATGCTACAACGTGGGTGAACCTTGAAGACATTGTACTAAGTGATATAAGTGTGTCATAAAAAGACAAATTCTGTCTGATTTCACTTAGGTAAAGTCTCCAGAGTAGTTAACTTTATAGACATAGAAAGTTGAATGGTTTTTGCCAAGGGGGGATGTGGAATGGGGAATTATTGTTTAATCAGTACAAAGTTTCAGCTTTGCAAGATGAAAAGCGTTCTGGAGATAGAAGGTGGTGGTGATGGTTGCACAACAATATGAATGTACTTGATACCCTCGAACACTTAGAAATGGTTAAGATGGTACATTTTATGTTATGTGTATTTTGATTACAGAAATTTCCAAGAGCTCTTTGCTATTTTCTAATTGTTTTACATAGCATCTTGTGCTTGTTTCATGAATTCAAACTCTTATCTTTCATAGTAATGATTTTTTTTCCTTTGAAGTTTAAAACAAATTTCTAGAACTCAGAGCTCTTTTTTTCTTTTCTTTTCTGTTTTTTTTCTTTTTTTGAGGCAAGGTCACAGTCTGTCACCCAGGTTGGAGTTCAGTGGCACAGTCACGGCTCACTGCAGCCTCAACCTCCAGGCTCAGGTGATCCTCCCACCTCAGCCTCCCAAGTAGTTGGGACTACAGGCATGCATCACCACGCCCAGCTAATTTTTTAATTGTTTGTAGAGACAACGTCTCGCCATGTTTCCCAGGTTGGTCTTAAACTCCTAGGTTCAAGTGATCCACATTCCTTGGTCTCCTAAAGTGCTGAGATTACAGGCATGAGCCATTGCACCTGGCCTCAGGGTTTCTTTATTCCTGATTTGTATGTTTGGGTATATGCCTTTAATTTTGATGGCCTTCCTTGAATATCAGCTAATACTCGGCTTTCTATTTATATTTAAGAAAGGTAACGCAAAGTTGAAAGGACATTTCCTGTGTTGCAAGGATTTTTTTAAAAAATTTTTTTAGTTTAAATTTTATTTATTTATTTAGAGACAGGGTCTCGCTCTGTCACCCAGGCTGGAGTGCAATGGCATGATCATAGCTCCACTGCAACCTTGAACTCCTAGGCTCAAGTGATTCTCCTGCCTCAGCCTCCCAAGTAGCCGGGACTACAGGTGCATGCCAGGGTAATTTTTAAATTTTATGTAGAAACAGGGGCTCACTATATTGCTCAGGCTGGTCTCAAACTCCTGGTTTCAGGTGATCTTCCCGCCTCGGCCTCCCAAAGTGTTGGGATTATAGGCATGAGCTACTGTGCCCAGCCTGCAAGGAACTTTTTGATGGGTAGATGTCATTGTAGCCTTGGGGGACAACTGGGGATCCCAAAATGTCAATACTGGAGGTCTTTATTTTGGGGCTTTTAAAATCTCAAGAGAAAAGTTTATTAAATTGCCTTCCGAAGTTCTGAGGGTAAGTGGGGGACGAATATAAGGATTCCACCAGTCTGTAAACAGACTTTCAGTGTATTTTGTTTTTTTTCCACCTGGTTCCTCTATTTATCCTCTGTCTCGGGGTCGGCTCCGATGTTGGAGGTGGGGCCTGGTGGGAAGTGTTTTGGTCATAGGGGCGGATCCCCATGAGTGGCTAGTGCCCTCCCAGCAGCAATGAGTTCATGTGAGCTCTGCTTATTAAAAATAATCTGATACCTGTCCCCTCTCTTTCTTTCTCCCTCTCTCACCATGACTGCTCTTCCTTCACCTTCCGCCACAATTGTAAACTTCCTGAGGCCTCACCAGGAGCAGATGCTGGCGCCATGTCTCCTGCACAGCCCACAGAACTATAAGCCAAAATATACCTCTTTTCTTTATAAATTACCCAGCCTCAGGTATTCCTTTATAGCAAGGCAAAAGGGACTGAGAGGCACAGGTAGGTTGACTTCGTCATCCTCTGGTTCTCCTGCCTCCTGAGGGTTATCAAAAGATAATTAGGAGAGTTTTAAGCAGTAGATAATTAGGAGTGCTCTAAGTGTACAGTAACCTGAGTTTTGAACATTTTTCAGAATAAGGAGCATGGTTGAGGAATAGAACTACATCACATCTCCTTAATTTTTAAAGAAAAAGCCTTGGGCGGGGCACGGTGGCTCACGCCTGTAATCCAAGCACTTTGGGAGGCCAAGGCAGGCGAATCACGAGGTCAGGAGATCGAGACCATCCTGGCTAACACAGTGAAACTCTGTCTCTACTAAAAAAAAATACAAAAAAATTAGCCGAGCATGGTGGCAGATGCCTGTAGTCCCAGCTACTCGGGAGGCTGAGGCAGGAGAATGGCATGAACCCAGGAGGTGGAGCTTGCAGTGAGCCAAGATTGCACCTCTGCACTCCAGCCTGGGCAACAGAGTGAGACTCCGTCTCAAAAAAAAAAAAAAAAGAAAAAGCCTTGATATAAAGTATTCTGTTCCATTAACAGAGCTGGCTTCAGAAGCTAGTGAGAGCTTGAGTCTTGGGACCAGGTACAACCCAACCCACAATTGATCTAGAATGTTCCACACTTTATGAAGACACACTTGTTCTCTTGGGCCAGGGGTCAGCAAACTACTCCCCATGAGCCAAACTGGACCCAGCGCCTGTTTTTGCAAATAAAGTTTTATTGGAATATGGCCATGCCTACTTGTTTACATTATGTCTGTGGCTGCTTTTGCGCTACAGTGATATAGTTGACTAGTTGCGACAGAAGCTGTATGACCTGCAAAGCCTACGTATTTATTGTCTGGACCTTTACAGGAAAAGCTTGCTGACCTCAGCCTCAGGCAACTGCCGAGTATCCCACTCAAATCTGCCTCTTCAGGAAAACTTTAGCCCAGCCCTATTCCCGCCTTGCTGCAAACCCCAATCCAATCGATTCCAATTCTTGAAACACACTTTTGTAACCTTAATGTGCATATGAATCAACTGGCAGTCAGTGCTTAGAAATATAGGTTCTGACTCAGTGCCTCTGGGATGGTGCCCAAGACTGTATTTCTTTTTTTGTTTGTTTGTTTGTGTTTGTTTTTGTTTTTTTGAGACAGAGTCTCGCTCTGTTGCCCAGGCTGGAGTGCAGTAGTGATTTCAGCTCACTGCAACCTCCGCCTCCTGGATTCAAGGGATTCTCCTGCCTCAGCCTCCAGAGAAGCTGGGATTACAGGTGCGTGTCACCATGCCTGGCTAATTTTTGTATTTTTAGTAGAGGCGGGGTTTTACCAGGTTGGCCAGGCTGGTCTCGAACTCCTGACCTCAGGTGATCTGCCTGCCTCCCCCTCTCAAAGTGCTGGGATTACAGGCATGAGCCACCACGCCCGGCCCCAAGACTGTATTTCTAACAAGCTGCTAGGGCATTCTGTGGTCTGAGGCCACCCTCTTTTTTAGTTCCTTTTCTTTTTTTTAAATTTTTTTTTCTGTTTTCAAGGCAAAATATTTTATGATTTTTTTCAACCCAAGTGTAACAGGATTCAAATGGAAGAAGTAAGAGGGAGCATGTAAGCAAAGGTAGCCCCAACTCCCACTCCAGTTGGTCCTGAATAATGAAGGCAAGTCAATCCTTTTCCACAGCACGACGGTATAAATCAGGGCTCCTGTCTTGGAAATCTATTCCACACCCTACCCTAAAATACCTAAACCTGTTAAAAGCGCAGATATAGGCTTTTACAAACATTTGTTAAATATGCAAATCCATATAAAATATGTTCCCGTTGGGAATTTTTTCCATACCATGAGAAAAACGCCTACTTTAGCCTGACCCCATGCCCGCCTTGCTGCAAATCCCAATCCAATCCATTCCAATTCCTGAAACACACTTTTGTGACCTTAATGTGCATATGAATCAACTGGCAATCAGTGCTTAGAAATACACGTTCTGACTCAGTGCCTCTGGGATGGTGCCCACGACTGTATTTCTTTCTTTCTTTCTTTTTTTTTTTTTTTAGACAGAGCCTCACTCTGTTGCCCAGGCCCATGCCATACCATGGGGTCCACTGGTTAAAACTCCTTATCATCTCAGGCTAATAACATATGGACTAAAGCCACCTTTTCAATTCCCAGTAAATTCTTCTGTAACAAGCATCACTGTTCCAAGAATCTCTCAACTACATTCAAAGCTGGGTCTTCGGCCCCTTTGCCCTCTGGGGCCTCCAAAGCCTTTGGGAGACAGTGCCACTTGGGGCAGCAGCCAGGGCCTCCTCAGGGACAGCCCCTCACTCTTCCACTGTGAGTATCCCTGCTGGGCTCCTCTGGAGCAGAAGCCATGGGCAGAACCGGGCAGACTGCCTAGTGCTTCGGGCCCGGGGCAACAGCACCCGAGGGGAGGCGGTGGCAGCATGGACCCTGCCTTCTCTGCACTAACAGGTCCCAGCTCTCTGCTGGCCAGTGTGCCCAGGTCTCTGCCAAAAGAGTCGCTGGTAAATTCTTATTCTCATTTTTGATACACACCCGGGAAGGAACACACTTTGAGGAACAAGTGTCTAGAAGTCTTTTTCAGGAAAAGCAATTTCTTTTTTAAAATTTATTTTAATTTTATTTTTATTCTCATTCAATGCCTTTGATAGAAAAGCAACTTCTCATCAGTGTAGCTCACTCTTTGGCACTGCCTGGCAAAACTGCCCCTTCCCAGGCCCTCTTTCCTTCCCTTCCCATATGTGCACATGCACGTGCACACCCTCCTAAATACAGAAATCACAGCCTCCCTTTGTTGATGAATTCTGGTCTTTGATCTGAGAAGCAACTTCAAGAGTTAAAGAGCTGTGAAGCCCACAGCAGGAGAGATGCCAGAACTCTAATTAGGCTCCGTTTTTATATTTAGTTTGCTATTAGATAATGCTTGACACCTGTTCACTAGACAGATCTGTTTTTAATCTCTTATATTTCACTTTCTTGGATGTGTGGTTGCACAGACATGTTGCACTGCATGAGTAATAGAATAAAAGCCAAATAAAATAGCCATTTCTTTGGAATTAGATGCACAAGGCACTAAAAACAACTGAAGCCTGTTTGGGGCCAACCATGAAGTGCTGGTGGAGAAAACAGCTCTGTGTCTGGAATGAGCCCTCCTAGAATTCAGGTGTGGATTCTTTTATCTTTCCTTGATTTAAAGCTCTAATGGGTCTTTGAAACATGCTTCCCACCCTCAAAATGAAAAGGGAGGAAGTTACAAGGAAACTTTTCCTCTGCTGTGCTTTCATCAGAGAGCAGGCAGACGGTCTCTACAGAAATGATCTAAATAGTTCTAATTTTGATTTGATTATTTCATTAGTGCATAGTTGCTCAAAATATTCAGTTTCAGCCTCAGGGATCCTGAGACCTTTTCCCAGATGCTACAAGTGAACCAGAAATATTGAATCCATTAAAAAACCTTTCTTCTTGGATCCTTGGGTTCATTATCTGCTTGGCATGGCTGGAACCGGTGGTCAGATGCGGAGATTCAAATCCATGTATCATGCAAGAACTATAGATGGGCAGTGAATGTCTAAATGTCAGCCCCACGTGGGTGGGTAGGAAATAGGTAGCAAAACCTCAGACAGCTACAGCTCTGGGGATAATAAATGTGATAGCATGACATAAGGAACTACCAAAGGGTAATGTCTTTTTGACCTAATAAGGACAGACATTGTGAAGAAGGTGCTTGGCTTCAAAATTTCCTTCTTTCCAGAAGCTATCCCGAGGGATCGGAACTGAACTTCAGAACTACTTGGTAGGTTATACTCAGTTTATGGGACTATGTATTTACCATGTAATAAACCCGTATCAGTTCATTTCGTACAATAGGTTCTGTTATTCTCAATAGGTCTTTATTTTTTTTTAATCCTGCTGTCCTGAGATTAAAATATTAATGACAGGCTTGTACATTGGGAAAAATGTAAACTTTCTGTGTGTGTATACTGCATCTTATACAAACACGTGTGAACCATGGACTTTAGGTTTAGACTGTGTGTTAGGGCACCCCAGAGAAACAGAATCAATAGGATGCCTATCTTTCTATCAATCTACCTAACTACCTGTCAATCAATTATCTATCTATCCGACCTATCTCTCTATTAATCATCAATCTATCTCTAAGGGAATTTATTATAAGACATTAGCTTGGCCAGGCGTGGTGGCTCATGCCTGTAATCCCAGCACTTTGGGAGGCCAAGGCGGGCGGATCATTTGAGGTCAGGAGATCAAGACCAGCCTGGCCAACGTGGCAAAACCCCATCTCTACAAAAATACAAAAATTAGCTGGGCACAGTGGCATGCACCTGTAGTCCCAACTACTTGGGATGCTGAGGCAGGTGAATTGCTTGAATCTGGGAGGTTGCAGTGAGCCGAGATTGTGCCACTGCACTCCAGCCTGGGCAACAGAGAGAGACTCTGCCTCAAAAAAAAAAAAAAAAAAAGACATTAGCTCACTCAGTTATGGGAGTTGAGAAGCCCCAAGATCTGCAGGCAGCAAGCTGGGAACCAGGAGAGCTGAGACCTAAGTCCTAAGACCTAAGAGGTGGTAGAGCTGATGGTGTGAGTTCCAGTCTGAGTTTCAGTCTAAAGACTGGAGAGGACCAAATGTCTCAGCTTGAAGATAGGCAGGGAGAGAGAGCAAATTCTCCTTTATTCCGCCTTTTTTTCCATTCAGTCCTTCAACAGGTTGGACGAGGCCCACCCACACGGAGGTGGCAATCTGCTTTACTCAGTGTACCAGTTCAAATGGTAATCCCCTCCAGAACACTCTCACAGACATGCCCAGATAGCGTTTTACCAAATATCTGGACACCCCCATGGCCCAGTCAAGCTGACACATAAAAGTAACCATCACAGACAGACAAGAATTTTTTTTTTTTTTAAGATGGAGTCTCACTCTGTTGCCCAGGCTGGAGTGCAGTGGAACAATCTCAGCTCACTGCAACCTCCTCCAACCAGGTTCAAGCGATCCTCCCACCTCAGCCTCCTGAGTAGCTGGGACTACATGCATGTGTCACCATGCCCAGCTAATTTTTGTATTTTTAGTAGAGACAAGGCTTCACCATGTTGGCCAGGCTGGTCTCGAACTCCTGACCTCAAGGTATCCACCTGCCTCTGCCTCCCAAAGGGCTGGGATTACAGGTGTGAGCCACTGTGCCTTGCCCAGATAGACTAGAATTTTGAGGCACCTGCTTCCCACCTCCATTCCTCTAAGCTGCTCTGGAGCACGGAGCTCATAATTAAAAATAAATAAACACACTCACAATATCCCCTGTGCAAAGAGAGGATCTACGTTAAGAAATTTGTCAGAAAGTTCCAGAAAGGACCCTGATTGGTCTGGTCCAGGTCAAGTGCCTATCCCTGGAAAACTCACTAGGTCTCCAGGGAGGGGCTTCCAACTGGCTAGCATGGGGCACCAGCCAGCCCCCGTGGTGAGGGAAGAAGAGCTCCTGCCTTGGGACATGGAAGCCACTGGAATTTAAAGGCCTCAGAATTCAGGAGGTGTGCGAACTTGGTCTGAGAACTTGCATTTTAATTTCAACTATCCCTCTAACTGAAATCGAGGATTTTCTTGAATGACGCACATAGGCCACATAGCTCAGTAATATGAATAGTGCCTGTGACTTTGAAACCAATAGACACCAAAGACATATTTTGTATCACATTACAGTTAAGACAGGCATCTCAAAATATTTCTTGAGCTCTTCAGCATGTTAAAAGTACAGTCATGATGAGGCCTGCCATATGACAGATTCAAATCTTTTTGATAACTGTCTTTTCGTAGAATTGGTGCATTTTGTAACCCTCTGCTTTTTACTTTATGAATTTTATTATTTTATTTTATTTTATTTAAAACTCTTAAATGGGTTTAGGGTTACAAGTGCAATTGTGTTATGTGAATATGTTATGGACTGGAGAGGCCTGGGCTTTTAGCGCAGGATCACCCGAACACGGTACATTGTAGCTAACAGATGGTGTTTCATCCCTCACCCCCTTCCCACCCTCCCACCTTTGGAATTTGCAATGTGTGTTATTCCACTCTGTATGTCTGTGTGTAGCCATTGTTTAGCTCCCACTTGTAAGTGAGAAGTTGCAGTTTTTGGCTTTCTGTTTCTGAGTCATTGCACTAGGAATAACGGCCTCCTGTTCCATCCATGTTGCTGCAAGACATGATTTCATTCTTTTTTATGGCTGAGTAGTATTCCATGGTGTCTATATCTATATCTTTTTTTTTTTAATTCGAGACGGAGTTTTGCTCTTGTTGCCCAGGCTGGAGTGCAATGGCACGATCTTGGCTCACCGAAACCTCTGCCTCCCAGGTTCAAGCGATTCTCCTGCCTCAGCCTCCCGAGTAGCTGGGATAACAGGCATGCACCACCACACCTGGCTAATTTCGTATTTTTAGTAGAGACAGGGTTTCTGCATGTTGGCCAGGCTGGTCTTGAACTCCCAACCTCAGGTAATCCGCCCCACTCAGCTTCCCAAAGTACTGGGATTATAGGCGTGAGCCACCATGCCTGGCCTATATCTATATCTATCTATCTACTATATATATATATCATACATATGGAATATATATATATGCAATATTTTTTATCCAATTATTGATGAATTCTTAGATTGGTTCTATGACTTTGCCATTGGGAATAGTGCTGTGATAAACAAAAGTACAGAAGGACCTACTCATGAAGACAATGGTTGTTTTCCCATTTTCCACACAGGTTCAGGGCTTGCGTGGAAAGGCACACGTGTGGGTCCTCCAACTTCCAGGGAGTCTAGAAATATTGGTGCCCAAATTTCAGTTTGGGTGACTGAGATTCCCCATTCCACAGCCTCATCATTTCAGAACTGGGGCTCTCAGCTGGGGGTTTCCCACTTGACAATGTCTGGAGACATTTTTGGTTATCAGCTGGCAAGGGGGTACCACTGGCCTCTCGTGGGTACAGGTGAGGGATGTTCTAAACATCCCACAATCATAGGACAGCCCCCTACCCTACAACAAAAAATGAGCAGACTGCAAATACCAGTAGAGCCAATGCTGAGAAGCCATTTCAGAGTTTTATGCCAAAATTGTCACCAAATCTTTCTTAGTTTGTTTATTGGTCATTTGCAGAAGTACACATTAAAACGTCAGAAAAATAAAACCAAAGCATGACAAATCTGCTGTGCAAAAAAAAAAAGAAATAGTTTAACAGATTATAGTTGACAGTAGTGGACCTCTTAAATAAAACACATTTCTTAGAGAAATAGAATGGCTGCTGATTGAGGGCAAAAATGAAACAGAAACCATTAGTTTCTACAGATTTATTTTCTTAAAATTATTTACGCAATTCCAGAGCTCATTATGGTTTTAGCTCGATTAGATCGATCGATCTATCCATCTATCTATCTATCTATCTATCTATCTATCTATCTATCTACCTATCTATCTATCATCAACCTATTATATCAAGCACAGATTGCTTGAACTTTGGTAAAATGGAACGAGGTAATTTCTCTTTGGGCTGAAACGTGCGAGTTTCTGTTTCCACTGCTGACCCAGGATCTAGCTGTGCATATCTGATTGTAATCTGCCACGTGGGAAGAACCCACGAACACAGTCCTTTGTCCATGAACTCTTAAGGATGTGGGAGGCCTTTTCTCCTTGCAGTTAAGGACAGGACTGTCCCTGGGAAACAGCATCAGGAGCCCCAGGCCTGGCCTCCTCATGCCCTCACCTCTTGCTGCGCTGCCTGTCCCTGGTAGTGGCTTAGGGGACAGAGCGCAAGGGAATTGCTTCAGCTCATGTTAAAATAAAACAAAATGAAATGAAAATGTGAGGCAGATTCTGGGCATGGAACCTTTGCTGTCTTCCCTCATTTTTCATGATCAAAAAACCAAAGTGTTGACCGTCTGTTTTCCCGTGTGTCCACAGGCAGCCTTTGATGTTGATTTTAATCTGATTTAATCAGGCAAACAAGAGATGGGGATAACGGTCAACCTCAAGCTGGGGATGCAGTTATCTGTTTAGTGACATCTTATAGCTCCTAGAAGCAGCTCTCACAAAGACCGCCAGAGCTTCTTAGGTGGGCCACATGGGTGACTGCTCCCACCTTGCAAGAGGTTGCTCCTACGAGAGGGTTATTCAGCCACGCTTGGTTGTTTGGATTAAAAGAGGAAGGAGGAGTTTGGAGGCACCTGAGATGTAGAGGGGGAAGTGGGGAGAAGTGAAGCGTTGATATTCCTGCCATGATTCCCCCTGCTCCCTGCTAATGGGCAGCACGATGCCTCTTGGAGGGCAGGGTCAGGGCAAGAGGCTGAGGGAGGTGAATCCACGAGAGACCATGTGAGACTGTAGCATAACCAGATGATGGAGTTGGAAAGGGGGCTAGTCTCTGACCCCCCCTACAACTTCAGTGTGGCTTTGGTGGCCTGGGGGTCCTGGGCTCCCCAGCAGAATTTGCCAAGCTCCTGGAGTGTGGGGAGTGGGGGACAGATACAAAGGAGTACCCATATGGAGGCCAGGAAGGAGACCTCAGTGACATTGTTCCTGAGCAGAGGGGAGACGCAGCCACGCGAGGAGACCCCAGGGCAGGGTTGGAGTGGGGCTGCAGTTCTGCAGTCGGGTTGGAGGGCCTGGTGTGAGGGTCCCTGTGATGGCATTTGCAAAATACATCCACAGGGCAAATGCCAGACTGCTTGTCCTGTCCTGGGGCTGCCTATGGGAACAGAGGGGACTCCACTGGAACAGTGAGTGGGGTGCATCTGGGCACAGGAGTCTACTGAGTCCAGAAAGAGGATACAAGCTCAATTCAATCAGCACCATGATTGATGGCATCAGGACTTGGTGAGATATCTTCCCTTCCTTCCAATGGGTTTTATTCTACTCTGTCTCCAAACATTTGTGTCACCTTTGTTTGAAGGAGAAAGAGCATGGGTAAAAGGGGGTAAGGGGAGATAATTTTCTTTCTTTCTTTCTTTTTCTTTCTTCTTTCTTTCCTTCTTTCTCTTTTTTTGAGATGAAGTTTCACTCTTGTTGCCCAGGCTGGAGTGCAATGGCACAATCTTGGCTCACTGCAACCTCCACCTCCCGGGTTGAAGCGATTCTGCTGCCTCAGCCTCCCAAGTAGCTGGAATTACAGGCACCCGCCACAACGCTCTGCTAATTTTTTGTATTTGTAGTAGAGACAGGGTTTCACCGTGTTGGCCAGGCTGGTCTTGAACTCCTGACCTCAGGTGACCCACCCGCCTTGACCTCCCAAAGTGCTGGGATTACAGCCGTGAGCCACCATGCCTGACCAATTTTGTTTTTGTTTTTGTTTTTGTTTTCTTTTTTAAGGGAAAGGGTCTTGCTCTGTCACCTAGGGCTGGAATGGGTCATAACTCACTGTAGCCTTGAACTCCCGGGCTCAAATGATCCTTCCGCCTCAGCCTCTTTAGTAGCTAGGACTACAGGCTTGCACCACAATGCCTGGCTAAGTTTTTAAACTTTTTTGTAGAAATCGGGTCTTGCTATGTTTCTCAGGCTGGTCTTGAACTCTTGGGCTCAAGCAATCCTCCCACCTCAGCCTCCCAAGTGGTTGGGATTATAGGTGTGAGCCACCATGCCCAGCCAAGGGCAGAACTTTTATGCTGAAAATTTGAGGTGGATTTCGGGCTTTGGGATACAGTAAATTTCTGTGCTTTCATAGAGAAAAGATATTGTGGGGGCACTGGGAATTTATGGTGCGCTTTACGTTGTCCATTCATGCATTTATCCCCTGGACATTTATTTGTTGAGCACTTATTATATGCCAGGTGCTGACTGGAAGTGCAGCCATGAACAAGAGATGGCTACGGCTCTCCAAGAACAGATAGCCTGGAGGGCTGAACTCAGGTTACACATTCAAAATATAATCCACCTGGTTCCTTCTTTCTGCACATCTTTTGTTTCAATTTCAGGGAAAGCCGTGTGCCTCACAGGATGTGGGCACAGGTGGGGGAATGTATGTATGACACAGCTGACTCCATTTTGCATATTCAATACAACTGGCGGTGGCAGACATACATCGAAGTGTCCAGGAGCAGGAGGAGGTAGAATTAATGAATGCGGACTTTCCAGGTTGGGCTGAACTTTCGTTGGTCTAAAGATTACTGAAAACTATTCTCATAGCTTCTCTGCCTATTTATCACCCACATGCAGTGAGGCCACAGCAAACAGTCACATGCCATCTGCTCCTCAGTCCCCGTTGTTAGATCCCACGGTTGGCTCACTTGACAGGAGCTGCAGGACCTGGCCCTCTTCTGAGACAGTGTGCTTCATCGCTATGGAAGCTTAGAAAATTAAACATATGTGGGTTTAATATGTGGGTGTCTTGTTTAGTGTTTTTAAAAAATGTGTTCTTATTGCTGGAGACCACAGGCTTGTATGAACTCCCAGCAATGGTCTGTGAAATTTTGTGGGTAAATGGGCATATGCATTTTGAGGGAACTGGGTACTTCATCAGATTCTCAGGGGTGTCTATCAGGAATGCTCACTACCAATTCTCAAAACACAGACAAAGGTTTGGAACCATCTAATCATCGAGCATCTTCCATTTTTCATTTTTCTCTGTAGAACAGAGGTGGGTGGCACCTTTAGCTACCAGAGGGGTTGTGCAATACCATTGCATGCAGCTAGTATAATCATGCCACGAGAAGGGAAGCAGGAAAAAGAAGAAAAGAGAGAGAGAGAGACAGTGAGATGATGCTGCAGTTGCTGTTTGCATTTAGGAGAGGAAGAAGGTGAAAATAAAGTAGTGGAAAAAATCAATTTCACTATCTCATGGCCCTTGGGGGCTATTTGAAAATAACAGAGTTTTCTGTGGCACATGGTTACCTTCTTCTGTAATTTTCACATTTGCTGATGGATCCTTAGACCTTTGTAGACCAAGACTCATAATGTCAAGGGCTGGGTGGAGGAGAAAGTGAGGGTTGTTCCTTGTGTGAGTATTTGTTGGGTAACTGCTCAGGGCTGGGTCCTGCGCTGGGAGCACAAACAGGAAAAGACGTTGCTCCAGGTATCCCAGAGTCGGTGCAGAGAGAAATACACCCAGATAACTAAGAATGGTGTGGAAGGGCAGTGACAGGGTGGATGCAGAGGATGGCAGGAAGCAAAAGAAAGGTGTCTCCCACCTGAGGTGATCTAGGAGGACTGCCTGCAGGTGACAGTATTGGAGCTCAGTCCTAAAGGACACAGGTGAGTCAAGGGAGCTGAGTTTTGGGGTGGGAAAGACAGAGAGCACTGCATGATAAAACGTAAAGGGATGGGAGAAACAGCAAGGTGCGGAATCAGGATCATGGCAAAGTACAAAGCATGAGGCATGGCTGGGAGTGGTGGCTCACGCCTGTCATCCCAGCACTTTGGTAGACCAAGGCAGGTGGATTGCTTGAACCCACGAATTTGAGCCCAGCCTGGGCAACATGGCGAAACCCCTTCTTGACAAAAATTATAAAAATTTACCAGGTGTGGTGGTGCATACCTGTGGTCCCAGCTACTCTGGAGGCTGAGATGGGAGGATCACCTGAGGCTGGGAGGTCAAGGCTGCAGTGAGCCATGCTCATGCCACTGCACTCCAGCCTGAGTGACAGAGTGAGACTCTGTTTCAAAACTTACATAAATAAAATAAAAAATAAAATAAAGTGAAGTATGAGACAGGGAGTTCCCAGATACAAGGCAGGGGAGTTGGGCAAGGACCACATCGTGAAGGGCCTTGAATACCAATTCCTGTCTCCCTTCTGATGCACCTGCACATGGAGTCATGGCGGTGTCCGCACACCGCCTGCTTTTCCATGGCCGCTTCCCCTCTTCCATGAGGAAGCTGAGGGAGTTTGTCCAGAAATGCCACTGTGGGTTGTATTTTAAGGGGGTCCTATAGACAGCCCAACCACAGAGAAACACAACCTTGAGAAAATTTCTGTTTCCTTCTTTGAACACATCTTGGCCTTTATAAAAATCGTTTGATTGGGAACTGATATCCATTGATTTGGTGGCCTCTTCTGGGAGACAATTCTCCATGGGTCTCTTGTGTTTTTGCACATCTGTCAACAGAGGCACTCACTGCCTCGTTCTCCATTCTCTTTTCATGGGTGTTTGTCCAGTGGACACCCCATCTCTGATCATCTCAGGCTACAGGAGATGCCTTTCTTTGTGCTTCCTGTCATCCTCTGTGCCCAGCCTGTCACTGCCCTTCCACACCATTCTTAGTTATCTGCATGTATTTCTCTCCACACCAGTCACTGGGATACCTGGAGCAACGTCTTTTCCTCTTTCTGCTCCCAGCAAAGGACCCAGCCCTGAGCACTTACCCAACAAATATTCACTAAGGGAATAACCCTCATTTTCTCTTCCACCCAGCGCTTGATGTCATGGGTCTGAGTTTACAAGGGACTAAAGACAGAGTTAGTGTCTTTCTCCAGTGCAAAAATGGGGCATGTTTACTGCCCACTGTGAAAGATTTGGGTTCCCTAGCTCCAGGGTCCCTCTCTTGCAATGTAACTTGCCATGTGTGCAGGTGTCATCTGGCCTTCTTTGTGTCACTCTGTGGGAAATGAGCTTGGAGAATCCATACAAAAGCTGATATTCTGGCTACTGCCAATGCTGTGAGTAGTAAAGTCCTTTGTCTCTGACCCTGGTGTCTTGTGTGTTCTGCCAACATGCATGAAACTGTGGCTGGCTGTCTTCGTCAGCTTGGGCTGCCAATGCAGAATACCACAGATTGGGTGGCTTAAACAACAGACATTTACTTTTCTCAGCTCTGGAGGCTGGAAGTCCAAGATCAAGGTCCCAGAATGGTTCGTTCCTGGTGAGGGCCCTTTTCTTGGCTTGCAGATGGCCACCTTCTTGCTGTGTCTTCGCATGATGGAGAGAGAGAGAAAGGGACAGAGAGAGAGAGAGAGACAGAAAGGGAGCTCTTTGGTCTCTCTTCTTGTGAAGACCCTGATCTCATCATGGGGGCCCGACCCTCATGACCTCATCTAAACCTAAGCACCTCCCAAAGGCCCCACATCCAAAAACTATCACACTGGGGGTTGGGAATTTCACATACGAATTTTGGGGCATTCAGTCCATAATGCCAGCTAACCTGTTAGCATGCAAATAGGGTAAAACCTCAGATCCTTTATAATTCTGGGCAACTTCCTGAAATCCTCTGAGGAAGAAGGGATTTCTTCGTCATCTCCCACCCCCTAGCACTTTATGCTTCTTCCTATTAGAGTCCAGATCCTATTATGCAGATTTATTATGCGAGGGCTCACCTTCTTGTCTGTCAGCTTTGGCCTTAAAGGGATGGACTAACATCCCTAGAACACATCCTTTTATGGGGCACAGAGTGGATGCTCAGAAAATGTATGTCAGATCCATTGAGGCAGAAACCATGCATATTGTTTCTAGAAAGAGGTGGTAATGAAGAGGTGAATTTCCCCCATCCCTCTGGACCCAAGATGACTAACTGGTTTCATGCAGCTGAACCCCAAACCCAAGGTCACCTGGTAAAAACTCCACTCACTCCACTTTCTGCAGACCTTGGTGCGGAATCATCCACAATCAGTCTGCCACCCTCCTGGCCCTTGAATTGACTTCAAAATGTGACACTGGCAGGAGGCAAATGTCCTAAGTTCAAGCTACAGGAAAATAAAAATAAGTAAATAAGAATTCAACACCAGATGGCCTGAAAGGACAGAACTGGAGTGGAGGATTAACTGGCTGGTAGTAAAAGCTGTCATTACAGAGTGTCATCGTTGGCGGGTTATTTATTAGCCCTTCCCTTTAGATACCAAATGTCAAATGTGTTAATGTGCAGAAACCAAGCCTTCCCCTCCCAGCTGCACCGGTGTCAGGCTGCCAGCTCCATTGTCCCCTTCGCAGGACCTGCCAGGAGTTTAGCATTCATATGTCATGTTATGCAGACCATATTGCACTTAAAAAAAGGCCAGATGAGGCCAACTCAGCCTAATAATAATCTGCCTGTCAATCATTCAGCTGCATTGTGCGGGAAACTGCTTTTCCCCGAACCTTTGTTCTCGGTTAGAATGGGCTCTCTCTGAGCTCCTTGCACCAGCCAGGAGCATATGGTTTACTTCGCCAACCATTGCCTTGAATCAAAGAGGTATTTCTACCCATTCAGTGCTCATGGAGGCTTAGGGGAGGGCAAAATAACTGTAATGAGAACAATTTTGCTCGTGTGAATGGTACTTTGTTTAAAGACTGGCCTTATTGCTCTTAATTTCTTTCTCTCTCTCACTCTTGCGCTCTCTCTTTCACACAGCTGCCCCCAACAAGCTAGTTGTAGATGTATCGCCCTCTTCTTTATTTTATCTGCAACTGAAGCATAAACTTTAACCTCAAGTAACAAAATACCATATTACATAATCAAAAGCAAAGGTGACCCTGATGTCAGAGTTTGGAGATCGTTCCCACTGTTAACTAAGTTGAGCTAACAAGTGTTTCCTGAGCACCTACCTTGGACACAGCATCCATGCTACTAGGGTACTAGGGAGAAGAAAAGAACATAAGGCCTAGCCTTAAGGAGCCTGCAGGCTCATGGGCAAGGCAAAGCTAGCATGCCTGTGCTCTGTGTTTGCTGTCTTCTTCTATTTTACTCACTATTCAAGGCAAAGTTATTTGGTACAGGATAGACACGTCGTCAGAGAACAGAGTCTCTGAAAATCTCTCAAGTCGTTATGATCATTTCTCCATCTGTCAGGTAGAGTTACTGTCCAAGGCCACAATCAAAGTGTTAGGAGTTAAAAAGGACCATGCCAATGTTGCCGTGATGCCATAATTTGGACCTTCACATTGTCTAGGGCTGAGATGAGAAGGTGGGAAGCCGCCTGTGCATTGTCAGCAGCAAAATTAAACAGTCACCCAGAGCTTACCTTGAGCAAGACCCTGGGCAGGTGCTGTGGAGGGGAAGCATGATAATGAGGCTGAAGGGAATGAACCTGTCCTCAGGTGTAACTTACCAGGGAGCCAAAACGTAAACAGGTGAGACCCCTGCACTAGAATGCAGGATGAAGTTACCGGAAATACGATGTGGCGGTGCATGGTTGCCAAGTGATGAGTCTAGCCAGGAACTGTGAGTTCAGAGGGAGGGGAGGTGGCAGGGGCCCAGGGAGGACCTTCACATTCAGGTGATATTGGACTTTAGGAGGGTCTTGAAGGTGGGTAAGAACTAGACAGAGCGAGAGGGGAAGGTGCTCCTGGGAGGGAGGAATGAGAGGTGCCAGACCCAGAGGCAGCAAAGTTCCAGGGTTGTTGGTGTGTAAAAGGACTCTATCAAGAGCTCCTCTCTTCCCTGGGGTTCTACACTAATTGAGAATGAATCAAAAGGAATATGGCACCTGGGAGTCCAAAACCATGATCACTTTTATTACTGAGAAGTCTGATATTGGAGGATGCATGCCACATTGACAGGGAAGGGGGCTCCTGACAGCATCACAGGTAGCCTGGGAGCACCACAGACCTCCCCATGGGAGCACCACAGGCCTCCCTGTGGGAGCACTACCTCTGGAAGCATGGCCTGGAGGAGCCCAATGGGCTGCTCAGCTCCCAGGGTAAAGAGGGAAGAGAAAAATGCTGGGCTGGGAGTGCTCCGTTTTTTCTCCCAAACTAACCAATCAGTTAAGTCCCTCCTGGGGAGGAGTGAGTGAGGGGGAGGAGGACCAGGGTGTTTATAGAAACTGCCCCAGGTGGAAACCAGCTGTGGGGGAGGTGGGATCCCCATTAGTAAGTGTGCAGGGAGCAGTGGAGAGACCCGTCTGAAGGGGTAAGGTTAAATGGGGGCTATGTGAAGAGTCCCTTGATTGACAGAGAGGGGCTGGGGTACTTACATCGTAGGCAATGGGAGCCATGGAAAATTCTGGGAAATGCTTTAAGCAGCCTTTGAGGGAGATGAATCTATGACAGACCTGTGAAGTGGATATCCTGGGAGAAGGGACAGTAAGAGAAAGTCTGGTGGGAGCCGACCCTGAGCTTAGGCTGTAAGTGCCCAAGCTAGGGAGTTGGCTGCGGTGGCCGGGAGCCACAGAGGAGGCAGAATCACCAGGACCCTGTGGCTGGTTGTGAGGGACAAGGAGAGAGTGGCAATGAGTAGTTGAGGTTTTGTGCCCAGAGGACTCAGTGCATGATGCTACAGGGACAGCAACTAAGGTGTCAGCGGAGGGAGCCCAACCTGTAGTGGGCGGGGATGAGCGCGCATTTGTGCATCTCCAGCATGAAGTGCAAGTGGGACATCTGTTGGTCGTATGAGACTGGGACACAGGAGGGGGTTGTGCAACTGAAAAGGGATGCAGGAAGCCGAAGGAGGTGGGGAGGTGTCACATATCACGGATATCAGGTCAGATGAGTGCAGACTGGAAACCATTAAGGGTGATAATTGGGATGTCTCAGATGACCTTTCCACAGCCCATGTAAGAACAGAGATTGTGAAAAAATTTCAAATGGCCTATTTCCTAAAGGAGGAGCCCATGTAACCTGGGTCTGGCATTTTCTATTCAGTTTGGTGGCAGAATTATAAGTGATTCAGAAGGTGGCATTTGGACATGCTATTTGTCGCCTCCTCTTTTATCTTCTCAGTATGGAAGTGAGATCCTGGTTTGTTGCTTCTCCTGATGATGTCTTTGAAAATGCCCTGCTGTGCAGCCTCACCCTGTGAGTAGGCGGCCAAACAAGCAAGTCGCGTCTGGAGGGCAGTAACAGAATCTACATAATTTCCTGAGCGGGGATGATAAGCAGATGATATCCCAGTCATGCCCAGGTGGCAGTTGTGATGCTGGGGGCTTTCTGAAGTGGCTGTTTTGACACAGCCACTTTAACAGGAGTCAGGGAGAGGGTGAGGCTGAATGGGTGTAGACAGAGTGGGGGTTTAGAAATTGACTCGGAAATCCCTGAGACTCATATATAACTTGGTATTTTGAAAAACGCAGATGAATGTCCTTCCCTTAAATACAGCCCCTTTAAGGATGGTATCAACAGATCGTGTGTGTGCTGCCCAAGTCTAAAACATGTTTGATATTGTCTGCGAGGAACTGCATTCAGGTGTGGTGCACTTTCTCCAGTAACCTTAGTGGTGACCACTTCCTTCCATAAAGGGTAGATGTGGGTTTTGGACAACAGCAAAGAGCCATTCAGAGGCAAATCTCTATACATGGTTTTTGAGACTTGAAGTGAACTGTGTCATTGTGATGGATCTGCAAATATTGTTTTGGATCTGAAACAAGGTGTGTCAGCAGCTGGGATACAGTTTCCTTCTGAGACTCCTTCACTGGCTCTGAAAAGCAGTTTCTAAGGAGAAGGGCCAAAAATGACCACACCATGTCAGTGAGGACAGCTACTCCCAAGGAGGGGGTTGTTTGGAAAGGGACACTTCTCACTCAGATGAGAGGACCTGGATGGTTCTGAGAAGTCATTCATATGAGTTTGTGCTAATGAATCATTACATATTATACTTATTGTATATGAGAAAAGACAGGTGCAAAATCCATTATGGTTTTGGGAAATTATCATGATGTTTTCAGTATATAGCTGTTGGCAAAAGCAATTGCACATTTGCTTGATGACATATTACCAAAACAGGCTACACAGCTATGGTTGTCTAGGTACTTTGTGTATGTGTGTATTCAATGGATGCTTGCCTCATGGTGAGGAATTTAACAGTTGTAGTGTTAATAGCAGAAGTCCGTGATAGGCACTAATTTATAATTTTATTGAAATATGACATTGGTTCAATGGACTAAGAAGTTGGTGTGTGTGAGTACAAGTGTGTGGGGCAGGATGGGCAGGGGAATAGATACTAAGACAGGACCAGCTCCTGCCCCAGAATCCATTTTTCTAATTCTTGCTTTTCTATAATATCATCTTTCATACTTATAAACCCTTTGATCATTGTGAAAAACTAATCCCCAGAAGAAATGGGGCTGGAGTGCTATTTCGCCATTTGGGAATCTAAGAAAATTTTGGAGCTTCCCCTTCAAGAAAGTCAAGGGTCTACTAACGTGTACGTCTTTGCCTGTTTCTCCCTCTTTCAAACATACAGTAACTACAGGAGTGCATTCCCTTTGCTAGAACAGAATAATAAAATTGGAAGAGATCTTGGAGATCATTGACTTTTATTTTGGTGACAGGAAACTAGGCCTCTGTGAAGTCACTTGCCCCACCCAGCTTCACACTGTGGGTTTCTGCTGAAGCTGGAATCCAGGCCTGTGGATTCCCAGGCATTTTTTATTGCACCGTGTTCTTATGTGAATCTCTTGGCACCCTAGGGCTGTCTGCTTTAGTAGCTCCAGCTGTGGAAAGCTATGTGTGGACCCCACTTATGACGAGCCCACCCGAGGCTCACCTGCCACTGCAGGCAGGAATGTGGCTGAGCAGCCGGGAATGATGAAATGGATATTGTCTACAGAGCAGAAAAGGAGGGAGAACCTGCTTTCCGTACAGTTTTAAAAAGAGCCATGTGCAGTTGGCCTCATTTAAAAACCAGCCCTTTTGTGTGTGTTTGTGGGGGGGATGCTGTTCATAGGTACTCTCTTAGAAACTTAAAATGGGAACATTCCTGAATCAGTATTTCCTGCCAGATAAATTGTGAAATGTAGACCACGGGAATCAAGTGCATGGTGCCTCTGCTATTGCTCCCTATCTAGAGCCATGGCAGACATTGCCAATGGATCACAGTTCACTGTTCTTTTCAGATGAGCACAAGGGTGACCATGGAATCCTCAGCAGACAACCACTATCAATCAGAATTGATGGATAAGATGCCAGTCCTGATTTGCGGTTTGCTCCAAGGAAGCTGGTCATAGGCTATAATTTGAAATAGCAATAATGATGGTGATAAGAATAACAACTAATATTTACTGAGTCCTCACTATGCATCAGACCCTTGCTAAGCATTTTACTGTTATTATCCCATTTATTTTCATGGCAACTTTATAAACAGGTATGAATATTCTCATTTTACAAACAAGGAACCAGAGGCAGGGAGAGGGTAAGTGGTCAGTGTAAGATCATGGACTCGTAGGTAGAAGACCTCAGCTTAGCTACCTTCTGAGGTCATGCTTAATCACTCTGCCCCCTTTGCTGCCTCTTGACACTGACAAGAATGATGGGCAAACACATGTCTCAGATCCAGATGTGCACAGAGATCTCCCAGGCCTTTCACTGCCCTCATTCCTGTTTCTTTGTCCCTTCTTTGCTTGGCCTCCTCTGCCCTGCCATCTATCATTGAGGCCAGATGTCTCTCTACCCTTTGGCTCCAGGACCTGGTGTTCCCATTATCTGGGCACTGTGTCCCAGCAGCAGCAGGCGGGGCAGTTTCCCTGGCTCAAGAGTCAGTGCTATTTCTGACCTTATCTCCAAGACCCATGCTGGTAAGCAGTGTGGGTGGTAGAAGCCTCATTTCTCCTTCTCACTGGCATGTGCTCTCACTCAAACTAAGATAGAGTCATTATTCCCCATGTATTAGTGAGGGTTCCCCAGAGAAACAGAACCAACAGAGCATATTAATGTCTATATCTGTATCTACAAAGAGATTTATTATAAGTCATTGGCTCATGCGATTATGGAGGCTGAAGAGTCCTACGATCTACTACCTGCAAGCTGGAGACCCAGGAAAGCCAGGGATACAGTGCAAAAGCCTAAGAACTGGAGAGTGTGGTGTAGGTTCCGGTCTGACTCTGAAGGCCTGAAAACCAGGAGTGCTGAGGGCAGGAAAAGATTGATGTTCCAGCTCAGGCAGTCAGGCAGAATTAATTCAACCTTTCTCTGCTTTTTTGTTCTACTCAGGCCTTCAGTGATTTGAATGATGCCTACTCACACTGGGGAGGGCCATCTGCTTGATTCTATATGCCAGTTCACATGTTACCATCTCCTGGAAACAACCTTCCAGACACACCCAGAAATAATGTCTAACCAGCTATCTGGGCATCCCATGGCCCAATCAAGTTGACCCAAAAATTAACCATCACATTCCCTTCTCCCAGTCAGCCACTGGGAGGAATTGACAGATCTCAGCTCACTCTTCAGAAAGTGTTATAGACCCCTGCTCTAAGATCCAATGTTCAGAAGAGACTGAACTAGTGCAAATGTGTTATTCACTACCCATCAGCAGGTCAGAGGGGAGTAGTTCACTGGATAGGCTCGTAGGGAGAAGCTCCTTAAGAATTAAACTCTGATAACACCATGTGTTGGCAAGGATATGGAGGACCAGGATTCCACCATATGCTGTGGTTGGTAGTGCAGTTGGTAAACCACTATGGTGAGGTCTTTGGTGATATCTAGGAAAGTGAACAATGTGCACACTCTATGATCAACCAACTTCACTCATTGGCATTTTTCCTGGAGAAACTGACACATGTGCACAAGAACGTGTATTGCAGCTGTGATAGTGAAAATTAGAAACAACAATGCATTCACAAGATCATGGAGAAGAGGGCTGTGAGAGAGAGGGACTGTGGAGGTTTGGTGGGGAAGGGAAAAGGATGGTCAACTATAGACGGAAAGCAGGGTGGGTTGCAGAGGGAAGCCTTGGGAAATGAAAGTGGCATAATGGGGTCTGGCAGCAGAGACCTTAGGAGCTGGGCTGCTGTCCTGTTTTTTGGATGAAGAGAGCTTTGGCTTCAGTAGAAGCAGAGTTCCAGCTTGGGTGACTTCTGAAATTGATCCACAGAAGACCATGCTGTATTTTCAATGTAGGTTCACCTGTCTGAAAGCGAAGAACTGGCCTAGGTGAGTCTGTATATGAAGTTCCTTGAGGAGGGAACATGTCTCAATAATTCCCCCCAATACATTTTGCTTACTTTGCTGAATTTAGGGCTTTCTGAAGTCTTCACCTTGATAAGCCAGTTCTGGGTTTCTTTGAAACACACCCGTGTTCAATAGGCTATTGGCTGTGTCCGCTCTATTGTGGAATCTCTGGTACGGTATTCTACCTGTGTTCCTGAAGAAAGAGCTGTCAGAAAGCCTAGGCTAAGGACTAACCTTGGAAATTAGGAGGTGTAGATTTCATTCGTAACTCCATTACTGGAACATTGTATGCAGAGTTTCATGAGAACATCCCAACCTCCACCCCATTCACACTCCTCTTTGTTGTTGTTGTTTTTTATCCCACATTCCTTAGTGAGTGACATTGTCTGAACTCGAGAAAGTCATTTGACCCAACAATGGGCTACTCCTCATTTATCTAATAGAAACCCTTAAGCTTGTATTTCCTTTTCAATAAAATTGGTGATATTGATGTCTGGAGAGAAACTCTCAGTACATAGCAGCTAAAACACTGATAAAATAGATGAAAAATGAATGCATGGGTGATCTGGCAGTAAAGCGAGGGAAATCCTTCAAGGTTAGGTGTGAATCTAGAAGGGCACATCAGTGCTGCAACTGGCGGTTACCCTGGGGTCATCTGCAGGCTCCTGGAAGACTAGAGTGTAGATGTGTGTATATGTGCATTTGTGTGCTTGTGTGTGTGTGTGCATGTGTGCATGAAGGGGGACATAGGAGGTGATCTTGGCCCACACAAAGTGTGAAGTTGAATCAGAGACCATTCACCTCCACTAAACCTGGGACTTCTCCCAAAGACAGCCAAGAATCCCAAGAAGGAAGCCTGTCTCACAGAAGTAAAAAGTGAAGATTCTTGGTGATCTTGGCCTTCGCTTTGAGTACAGGGGGAAAGAGAAAGTCTAGAGAGTTCCTAATTTCAAGTTCTTGTGTGGGTTGGGAACTGAAATCCAGTAACATCACACTGAGATACATATTCCAGATACTGGAATCAGCAAAGAGAAATATAAGATATATATATTTTATATATTTAAAAAAATAAAAGAGAGTATTGAAAATAAAACTAAGGGACAAGACACTATTATAAAGAACTGGGAAGATTAATAAAATTCTAACATTCTAAATATAAACAATATAATACTTGGGATTAGGAACTCAAATGGTTGGGTTAAACAGCAGATGAAGCAGCTGAAGCAGCTGAAGATAGATGCTGAGAAATTACTGAAAGTGCAGCAGAGAGAAATAAAGGATAAAAGAAGAAAGATAAGAGACACAGAGGGCAGATCGAAAAGGTTTTACATGAGTTTAATCAAAAGGAGAGACTAGACAGAATGGCGGAGAGGCAATATTTGAAGAGATAATGGCTTAGGATTTTCCCTCAGTGATGAAAGATATGAATTAATAGACTCAACAAGCTCAATGTATTCCAAATAGGATAAGGAAAGAGTACCTTGTACTTAGTCAAAGACCAAGACAAAGAAGATTTTAAAAGAGAAAAGATAGATGACCTATTAAGTGATGACAGATTGATAGCTGACTTCTCAAAATCATCAAGACAACATTAAGATACTCTGTCTTCAAAATGCTAAAGAAATAATTGTAAACCTAGAATTGGAGAGCTAGCTTGAGATAGTTTAGTAAGTAGACATTTATTAGTAACTTTAAAAAATATAATTCAGGAAGAAAAGAAATGAATCCAGAAGAAAGTCTGAAATGCAAGAAAAAATAGAGAAAAACAAAAATGTAAATATGTGAATAAACCTAAGAAAACAATGACTATATAAAAATGACAACGACAGCAATAATGTCTAATTTCTTCTATGAAAATGTCTTGGCTTTTTTTGGTCTCTCTGCATTTCCATGTAAATTTTAGAACAGTTTTTTTAATTTCCAGGAATAAAAAAAAATTGCTGGAAATGAGTTGCTGTGGCTCATGCCTATAATCCCAGCACTCTGAGAGACGGAGATGTGAGGAGTGCTTGAGCCCAGGAGTTTGAGATCAGCCTGGGCAACATAGTGAGACCTTGTCTCTCCAAAAAATAAACAAAATTAGCCTAGTATAGTGGCATGCTCATGTGATCTCAGCTAGCTACTCAGGATGCTGAGGAGGGAAGCTCTCTTGAGCCCTGGAGGTCAAGGCTGTAGTGAGCCATGACTGTGCCACTCTACTCCAGCCTGGGTATCTGAACGAGATACTGTCTCAAAAAAAAAGAAAAGAAAACAAAAGAAAAAAAAAGCCAGGATTTTTATTGGGATTACATTGAATCTATAGATCAATTTGGAGATAACTGACATCTGCATAATATTGACTCTTTCCATTCATGAACATCATCTCTCTCTTTACTTACTAATAATTACTAATTAATAATATAATATTAGCAATATTAGTTTTGTAGTTTCTGTATAGAAAAATTTTCTTTGGGTTTATTCCCACGATTCTGATTTTCCGTGCTATTGTAAATGCTGTTTTTAAAATTTCATTTTCTAATTGTTCATTCCTTATATATAAAATACAATTGATTTTTAAATTGACCTTATATCCAATGACCTTGCTAAAATTACTCAACTGTCTGCAAGTTCTTCAGAGTTTTATACATACAATTATGTTGTGATTATGTTGTGTGGGAATAATGACGTTTCATTTCTTACTTTCCAATACTTGCATTTTTTCCTGCCTTTTTTCAATGGCTGGAACTTCTAGTACAATATAGTTACAGTGAAAGCAGGGATTCTTGTTTTATTCTTGATCTCAGATGGAAAGTTTTCAGTAATGCATCATCAGTATCATATTTGATGTAGGTGTTTTTCTTAAAGATACTATTATTAGATTGAGAAAGTTATTTTCTATTCCTAGTTTGCTAAAGGTTTTACCATGAATAGAGATGAAATTTTATTGGATGCTTTTCTGCATTTATTAAGATGGTCTTATAATTTAACTTATTTATTATGTTAATATGGTAAACTCATTAACTGAGTTTTAATTTTTAAACAGGCATCGTCTATCTGGAATAAACCCACTTGATCACGAAGGATTCTCCTTTTTATTTATCACTGGATCTGACTTGCTACTATTTTATTTAGGATTTTTGCATCTGCTTTCATGAGAGAGATTTTCCTGAAATTTTTTTTCTCTCTCTTTCTTACTGTCTTTTATTACCCCCAGCTCAACCCATGGAATGTAATTTTCTCTTCTTGTAATGTCTTCATCACGCTTTGGTACCCATATTATTTCATCCTCATAAAATGGTTTTGTATGAATACTCTGTTTTTCTATTCTCTGGGATAGTTTTGTGTAGTATCTGTGCTATTTCTTCTTTCACTTTTTTTTTCACTTGATTTTTGAAGAATCAAGTTTTGCCTTGTTGATATTCAGTTGTTATACGCTTTTCTTCTATGTTGTTAATTTTTGCTCTTTTCTTTATTATTACCTTCCTTCCACTTTCTCTTGTTTTATGTTCCTGCTGTTTTCTAACTTCTTGAGATGGATCTTTAGACAACTGATTTTTCAGCCTTTCTTATTTTCTAATACGTACACTTTTAAAGCTATAAATTCCCCCTCTTTACAGCATTAGCTGTAACTCACAAGTTTTGATAGGTCATGTTTACATTATCATTCATTTAAAATGGAATTTTTTAAATTAAACAATATAGCTTACAAATATTTGAAGATTTCCTAGGGATTTTTAGCTAAAGTTGTGCACCACATAATAACATTTTGGTCAATGATAGTTTGCATATACAGTGATGGTTCTATAAGATTATAATGGAGCTGAAAAAACCCTATCACCTAGTGATGTCATATCCGTTGTAACATCATAGCTCAATGAACTATGTGCTGCTGTAAGCAAACCTATCATGCTGCCAGTTGTATAAAAGTATAGCACATACAATTACGTATAGTACATAATACTCGATAATGATAATAAACAACTATGTTATTAGTTTATGTATTTAGTATATTATACTTTTTAGTTATTTTAGAGTGTACTCATTCTACTTATTTAAAAAGTTAACTGTAAAACAGCCTCAGGCATGTCCTTCGGGAGGTATTCCAGAAGACAGCATTGTTATCATAGACAGCTCCATGCATGTTATTGTGTGGAGACCTGCCAGTGGGGTGAAATGTGGAGGCGGAAGACTGTGGGATTAAGGATCCTACTCTGTGTAGGCCTAGGCTCATGTATGTGTTTGTGTCTTAGTTTTTAACAAAAAAGTTTAAAAATAAAAAAATTAAAACAGAAAGGCATATGGAATAAGAATATAAAGAAAAAAAATTTTTGTATAGCTGTAAAATGTGTTGTTTTGTTTTTGTTTTTGTTTTTTTTGAGATGGAGTCTCTCACTATCACCTGGGCTGGAGTGCAATGGTGTGATCTTGGCTCACTGAAACCTCCATCTCCCAGGTTCAAGTGATTCTCCTGCTTCAGCCTTCTAAGTAGTAGCTGGGATTACAGGCACCCACCATCACGCCCAGCTACTTTTTTTTTTTCAGTAGAGACCGGGTTTCACTATGTTGGGCAGGCTGGTTTAGAACTCCTGACCTCATGATCCACCCACCTCGACCTCCCAAAGTGCTGGGATTACAGGAGTGAGCCATTGTGCCCAGCCGGTGTGTTTGTGTTTTAAACTAAGTGTTATTACAAAAGAGCCAAAAAGTTAAAAAAAAAATTAAAAAGTTTATAAAGTAAAAAAGTTACAGTAAGCTAAGGTTTATTCTTGAAGAAATAAAATATATTTTTATAAATTTGTGTGACCTAAGTGTACAATGTTTGTAAAGTCTACAGTAGCGTACAAGAATGTCTGAGACCTTCACATTCACTCCCCACTCAGAGTGACTTCTAGTTCTGCAAGCTCCGTTCAGGCATGGTAAGTGCCATATATGGATGTACCATTTTGATATTTTTAATATCATTTTTTACTGTATCTTTATATGTTTGGGTATGTTTAAATACACAAATACTTACCATTGTGTTACAACTGCCTAAAATATTCAGTCTGGTAACCTGCTATATAGGTTAGTAGCCTGGGAGCAATAGTCTATACCATATAGCCTAGGTGTGTAGTAGGTTATACTATCTAGGTTTGTGTAAGTACACTCTATGATGTTTGCTCAATAACAAACTTGTCCAACTACATATTTGTCAGAATGTATCCCTGTTGTTAAGCAATGCATGACTGTATTTATTTCTAGCTTAATTCCATAGTGTTTAGAAAATTTACTCTGAGTGATTTCAGTTCTCTTATATTTGAGACTTGTGTTATGACCAGGATATGGTCTGTTTTAATAAATATCTTATGTGTCCTTGAGAAGGGAATGTATATTCTATGTCATTGAATATTATGTTCCCAGTATGTCATACACTTGTGAAGTTGGCTAATCATGTTCAAGTTTTCATCATTCTTACTGTCATTTTTCTGCTTGTCTTATTAGTTACTGAGGATGGTGTGTTAATGACTCTTACTGTGATTGTGGATTTGTTTACTATTTCTTTTAGCTCTTTCAATTTTGTTTTGTATATTTTGAAGCTGTGTTATTAAACACATGCAAGTTTTGTTGTATCTTCCTGGGAAATTGACCACTTATTCATTGAGAAATGTTCATCTTTTTATTTTAAGTTCCGGGGTACATGTGCAGGATGTGCAGGTTTGCTACATAGGTAAACATATGCCATGGGTAGTGTTCATCTATAGCTCTAGCAGTGCTTCTTGTCTTAAAGTCTACCTTGTTTGAGAGCTATGTCAGCATTCTTTTGATTAGTGCTTGCATAGTATATATTTTTCATTATTTTACTTTCAACTTTCTTCTATACAGAGCATCTTATAAGCAGCATGCATGTTTTAAAAACGCAGTCTGACAATTTTTGGTATTAAAAATTACTTAAAAAGGCTGGGTGCTGTTGCTCCCACTACTTTGGGAGGCTGAGGCGGGCGGATCATGAGGTCAGGAGATCGAGATGAGCCCGACCAACATGGTGAAACCCCGTCTCTACTAAAAATACAAAAATTAACTGGGCATGGTGGCGGGCACCTGTAGTCCCAGCTACTCTGGAGGCTGAAGTAGGAGAATCGCTTGAACCCGGGAGGTGGAAGTTGCAGTGAGCCAAGATCGTGCCACCGCACTCCAGCCTGGTAACAGAGTGAGACTCCGTCTCAAAAAAAAAAAAAAAAAAAAAAAAAAAACTTAAAAAGTAATATTTTATTGACATATAATGCACATACAGTAAAATTTACTACTTCACAGTATAAAATTCAGTGGTTTTAGTATATCCACAGAGTTTTGCAATCATCACAACTATTTAATTTTAGATCATTTTCATTGCTACTCCCAAAAGAAACCCCATATCCGTTAGCAGTCATTCTTCATTACCCCCATCCCCTAGCCCCTAGTAAACACTGATGTATTTTTTCTGTTTCTGTGGATTTGCCTGTTCTGGGTATTTCCTATAAAAGGAATCATACAATATATCTTTGTGACTGGCTTCTTCCACTTATTGTTTTTAAGGTTCATCATCAGTACTTCATTTTACTGCCAAATCACATTCCAGAGTATGTATATACCATCTTTTGTTTATTCATCCATTGATGGACATTTGGGTTGTTTCCACTTTTTGGCTATTATAAAAAATGTTGCTAGGAACATTCAAATACAAGTTTTTGTGTGAAAATATATTTTCATTTCTCTTGGGTATATTTGTAGGAGTGAAACTGCTGGGTCATACAATAACTCTATGCTTAACATTTTGAGGAACTGCCAAACAGTGTTCCAAAGTTACTGCACCATTTTATAATCCTACCAGCATTGCATGAGGATTCCAAATTCTCCACATTCCTGCCCCCATTTGTTATGGTCGATTTTGATTCTAGCTATTCTAATAAGTGGTATCTTATTGTGGTTTTGATTTGCACTTCCTTAATGACTAGTGATACTGAGCATTCATTCCTATGATGGTTGCTTCCTTTCTATGAGTTGCCTTTTCATTTTCTTGATTGTCTTCTTTGAAGCACCAAAGACTTTAATTTTGATGAAGTATGATTTATCTTTTTTTTGTTATGCTTTGGTGTCATAATCAAGAAAGTACTGCCTGACCTAAAGTCACAAAGATTTACCCCAACAGTTTTCTCCTAACAGTTTCATAGTTTTATAGGTTTAGCTCCCACATTTAGGTTGATGATCCATTTTGAGTTAATTTTGGCTATGGTGTGAGGTTGGAATCTAACTTCTGTTGTCTTTATATGGATAACCAGTTGTCCCAACACCATTTGTTGAAAAGACAATTTCCCTATTGGATTGTGTTAGACTCTTGTCAAAAATAAATTTGCCATAAATATGAAGGTTTATTTTTGAACTCCCAATTCTATTCCATTGATATTTTGGTCTATCCTTATGCCAGTATCATGCTGTTTTATTGTTAAGTTTTGAGGCTGGGATTTGTAAGTGCTCCAACTTTGTTCTTTTTAAAGATTGTTTTGATTATTCTTGGTCCTTTGCATTTCCATATGAATTTTAGGATCATCTTGTTAGTCTCTGTTAAAAAAAAAAAAGGAAAGGAAAAAGAAAAGGAAAAAAAACGCATCTGGGATTTTGATAGCAATTCCTTTGAAGCTATACATCAATTTGGTTTTTAAAAATTGTATATTCTTAGGGTGTACAACATGATGTTTTGATATACATAGTGAAGTGTTACTATAGTCAAATGGAATATTATTCACAGTTTCTTTATCCATTCATCTGTTGACAGACACTTAGGATGTTACCATATCTTGGCTATTGTGAATAATGCTGCAATGAACACGGAAGCACGGATATCTCTATGAAGCACTGATTTTGTTTCCTTTGGGTATATGCCCAGAAAAAGGATTATTGTATCCTATGATAGATCTATTTTTAATTTTTAGAAGAATCTACATACTATTTTCCATGAAGGTTGCAGCAATTTATATTCCTATCAACAGAGTACAAGGGTTTCATTTTCTCTACACCCTCACCAACACTTGTTATCATGTGTCTTTTTGATAATAGCCATCCTAAAAGGTGTGAGGTGATATCTCCTTGTGGCTTTAATTTGTACTTCTCTGTTGATTAGTGAAATTGAGTGCCTTTTCATATACCTTTTGGCCATTTTTATGTCTTCTTCAGAGAAATGGCTATTCAAGTCCTTTGCCCATTTTAAAATAAGCTTGTTTTCTTGCTACTAAGTTCCATAGACCAATATAGGGGAGTCTTGTCCTTCTGGCAGTATGAAGTTTTCTGATCCATGAACATGGGATGGTATCTTTGCATGTTTTTAGGTCTTCTCTTATTTGTTTCAACAATGTTTTCTAGTTCTCAGTTTGCAAATCTTGTACAATCATGTGCCGTATAACAATGTTTCAGTCAATTGTGGACTGGATGTATGACAGTGATCCCATAAGATTATAATACTGTATATTTACTGTAGCTTTTCTGTGTTTAGAGGGTTAGATACACAAGTACTTATAATTGTATTAAAATTGCCTACAGTATTCAGTCAAGTAATGTGCTATATAGGTTTGTAGCCTAGGAGCAATAGGCTATACCATATAGCCTAGTTGTGTAGCAGGCTACACCATCTAGGTTTGTGTAAGTACACTCTATGATGTGCATACAATGATGAAATTGTCTTAAAGACATTTCTCAGAATGTGTCCCTGTCATTAAGTGAAACATAACTGTACTTGTTTTGTTAAATTTGTTTCTAAGTATTTTATTCTTTTTGGTGCTATTATAGATAGAATTGTTTATAAAATGTTTTTCAAACAGTTTATTGTCAGTGTATAGAACTACAATTGAATTTTGTATATTGATCTTGTAGACTATCTTGTTGAATTCAACTTTGATGAATTCATTTATTAGTTCTGACAGTTTTATTTGCAGATTCATTAGGATCTTTTTATACAGAAGATCATACCATCTGCTAATGGAGATATTTAATTCTTCCTTTTCAATCTGGATACATTTTATTTCATTTTCTTGCCTAATGGCACTACCTAAACCCTCCAGTATAATGTTGGATAGAAGAGGCAAGAATGGACATCCTTGTCTTCTTCCTGACCTTAAGGGAAAGCATTCAGTCTTTCGTCATTAAGTATAATGATAACTGTAGGTTTTTTCCTAGATGCCCTTTATCAGGCTGAAGAAGTTTCTTTCTATTCTTAGTTTGTAGGGTGTTTTATTATAAAAAGATGTTGGATTTTGTCGAATGCTTTTTCTGTATCTATTGAGATGATCATATGTTTCCCCCCTCAGCTTTATTCTATGAATATTGTATATTATGTTGATTGATTTTTGGGTATTAAACTAACCTTACATTCCTGGGATGAATCCCACTTGGTCTTGATGTATAATCCTTTTATATGCTGCTTGATTTCGTTCACTAGTATTTTATTGACATTATTCTATATCTATTCTATAATATAGAATAACCTATATTCCTTTTGGGACTCACATTATGTGTATGTTGGTAGGCTTGATGTTGTCCTACAAGTCTATGAGGCTATGTTAGTTTTTCTTAATTTTTTCCCCTTTCTATTCCTTATGTCCTTCCAATGGATATATCTTCAGTCTTTCTATTTTTTTCTTCTGCCATCTCAAATCTTCTATTCAGCCCCTCTACTGAAATTTTCAATTTAGTTATTCTACTTTTCTACTCCAGAATTTCCATTTCTTATATTTTCTATATAAATATAACATCACAAGCAGCTGTGATGTTAATTAATTGGCACTGATGGTGTTTTACAAATGCCCACTGAGTGGGCTCTCAGTCTGGTCAAATAAAGAAGGGCCTTATGAATGGGGATTTTCTGTAGTATTCCAAAGTACCACATTTTCTTTATCTAATCCATCAGTGATGAGCACCTAGGTTGATTCCATGTGTTTTCTATTTGAATAGTGCTGTGATAAAAATATGAGTGTAGGTGTCTTTTTGGTAGAATAGTTTATTTTTCTTTGGGTATATACCCAGTAATTTTCTTTTTGGTGAGATGTTTCTCTAAGTCTTTGGATACAGTTTCTTTTAGTTCTTTGAACATATTTATAATAGTTTGTTTAAAGTATTTGTCTAGCAAGTTCAATATCTGGGCTTATTCAGGGATAGTTTCTGTTGACTGTTTTTCCTATATATAGGCTATATTTTCCTATTTATTTTCATATCTTATACTTTTTTGTGAATACTGGACATTAAAAATAATAGAATGCAGCCACTCTGGAAGTCAGATTCTTCCTTGCTCTTCAAGTTTTGTTGTTGTTTTTTATTGTTGTTGTTGTTTGTTTTTCTAGTGACTTTCCTGGGCTTATTCCGTGAAGTTTTATTCTTTGTTGTGTGTGGCCACTAAAGCTTCTACTTGACTAACTTAATGTTCATATGATTATTAGACAGAGGTTTCCTCAAATGCCTTGAACCAGTATAGCTCTCATTTTAAGTTGAGGGGCTCTGTGTGTGTGTGTCGGGGTATATCTTCAGTGTTCAGTGGCTTACAATTCTGCCTTTGCCTTCATTTCCTGCTTGTACAAAGCCTCAAGGTTAGACACCGGTAAGAGATTAGGGTTTTCTCAGATATTTCCTGGGCATGCATGAAATCCTAGCCATGCTCATGGCCTTTTAGATTTTTCAAAGTTCCCTATGGACATCTCGTTTTCCATATTTTCCTTTTGAGTTTTCTGCCAGCCTCTCATTTGGCCCAACTAGTTTTGCCACTTGAGGCAGCTGTGATGTTAATTAATTGGCACTGATGATTTTGACAAATGCCCACTGAGTGAGCTCTGAGTCAGGTCAAATAAAGAGGGGCTTTATGAATGGGGCTTTTCCAGGGAGTTGCTAGAAGGGCCATATAGTGACAACTCTCTGGGAATGAGTTTTTTTAGAGGGTTTCAAATCTGTTATGCCCCTTCCAGTGGCTGCTAGACTGCTGTTCTTCACAGCTGCCGTGCTTGTGAGGCTGCTGGTTTTTAAGCTGAAAGGTAGGGGTGGGGGTGGGACCAGGGCAAGTTAAAAAACCACAAAGATTGTTATCCTTACTAAGATTCAGCTATTTTTCTTGAATAAATGCACCTCATATTGGTTAGCCTTTGGTTAATTTCCAGAGTTCTGACATAGGTGATTTTGACCAATTCTGCTTCTGTTGTTCTCTGCGCTTTTATGGAGGAGTGGAATTTTGGAGGGCCCCATCAATCCAGAAGTGCCTTACCAATCTTTGATTTTTAATTGAAGTATGTAGATTGTTTACACTGATTAAATTACTGACATATTCAGGTACATATCCATCATCCTACTAGTTATACTCTGTTTGCTGCTTATTTCTTATTTTCCTTTTTTCCTCATTTTATGCTTTAAAAGGATTGTGTTTTAGTGTTTTTCCCAATGCTAGCTTATTAGTTACATGCATATTTTTTCACTACTCTTTCAGTGATCACTTTAAATATCACAACTGTCATTTTAAAGACTACTATTAATTAGTACCTTTGCCCTTCCCAGATTAATGCTAGGGCCTTACAACACTTTGACTTGATTTCCCTCTTTTCTACCCTTTACAATGCATTTTTATTTTACAATATAAGAAACTGTACCACATATTATTATTATTTCATCTAGTCAATATAAAATTTAGTTTCAGCAATATATTTACCATTCCTGTTCCCTTTAATTCCTTCATACATTTCTGTCTGTCTAAATAAGTCCATTTTTAACATAAGTCTCCTGGTAGACATTAGAAAAACTCCTTCATTTCTTTCTCATTTTTATTGGATGTTATTTCTGGATGTAGATTTCTCTGTTGACATTTATTTTCTTTTAGTACTTTGAAGATGACATATGTTTTTGTCTGCTTGGGCTGGGATAACAGAATATCACAAACTGAGTGGCTTAAACAACAGACATTTAATTCTCATAGTTCTGAAGGCCAGCAAGTATGAGATCAAGATGCAAGCCAATGTGGTTCCTGGTTGGAGCCCTCTTTTTCGCTTGCAGATGGCTGCCTTTTTTGCTGTCTCCTCATGTGGTAGAGAGAGATTGATCATCTCTATTACATCTCTTCATATAAGGGAAGCATAAGAGATATATATGAGGGCCATTTGTGAGGGCTCCACTTTCATGACCTAATTACCTCCCAAAGACCCCACCTCCAAACATCATTCATTGGGAACTAGGGCTTCACCATGAGAATTTTGGGGGGACACAATCGTTCAGTCCATAACAACGTCCTATTGTCTTCTGTATCCATTATTTTTGCTGAGATGTCAGTCTTATGTTTTCTCCTTGGAAAATAATATATATATTTTTCTCAGGCAGTTAAACAGACTTTTTTCCTTGTCTTTGGCTTCTGACAGTTTAATATTATGTGAGAAGGTATGATTTTCTTTGCTTGCTTTGCTTAGAGTTTGTAATACTTTTTGAATCTGTGGTTTGATGTCTTTAATTCATTTGGAAAAATCCTTGACCATTATTTCTGCATATATTGTTACAATTACATGGATGTTAAGTCTTTCACTGTGTGGTACATGTCTCTTATGCTGTTTTTGGTTTTTTTATTCATTTTGCTCTCTATGCCCCAGTAAGGATATTTTCTGCTGACCTATCTTGCAGCTCACCAATCTTCATTTTTGCTATGTTTAATCTACTATTAACCTCATGTTATGTTTTTAATTTCAGTTTTGTAATTTCTAGTTTTATAATTTCCATTGTGTTTAAAAAATAAATTCCAATTATCTGGGTGAAAACTTCATCTGGTAATCTAGTTTCTCAACATATTAATTACAGTTATTTTAAAATCTATATCAGATAATTTCAGCATATGGGAACCTGTAAGTCTATTCTCTAGTTGTTCTTTTGGTCCTGTTTTTTGGTATGTCTGATAATTTTCAATTGAAGGCTGGATGTTGTACATAATAAATTATAGAGCTCTGGATCATATTATCTACCTCCAGAGAAGATTCACCCTATACTCTGGCAGACAACAGAAGAGAAGAACATCTCAATACAGTCAGGGATTGAGAAAAGTCAAGACTAATTTGTGGTCTTCATTAAGCTCAGTTTGAGAACTTGGAAATTTCTTTAAATTTTTTTTCTTTTAGATTCAGGGGATAAATGTGCAGGTTTATTACATGGTAATAAATGCTAAGCATTATATCATGCTGAGGTTTGAATTACTCTCGAGCCCATCATCCAAATAGTGAACTACTAACCAACAGGTAGTTTTTCAGCCCTTGCCTCTCCTTGATCACTCAGTCAAGGTAGTAATTGGAAGTTTTCTCCACTGTAAAGTTACCCTTTCTCCCTTCCATATTCTCTTCTTTGGAAGCAAGTCATAAAGATCCACCCAGGTTCAAGCACAGGGAGGTAGCACTAGACTCCATCTCTCGAAGGGGAGTATCTACATAATTATTTCGAATTCTTTTTTAAGAAAGCTATATCTTTTCTCCCTTATTTACATATTTATTTAATTATATGAATAAATTTATATCAGTATGGACTCATGTATAATTATTTTATGCTTTGGATTGCAATTTAGCATCATGTTACTTAGTTAATTAATTAATTAATTTAGTACTCAATTTGTTCCAGCTTTGGCCACTGGGAACTCTTTCAGTTTGGCTGTCATGTCCTTTTGACCTGCCTCCATCCTTCTGTTTTTTGAGCACTTCCTTTCTTGATACTACACAATACTCCAGGCTCATTTTGCATTTTCCCTGTCCCAGCCCTAGAATCAAACATTTCTCCAGTGCTCTGGTTTCTTTTGTCAGAGAATGGTATTTAGAAGCCAATATCTGGTGTTGGTGTGCTTGCTGCTAACTGGATTATGTGATACATTTGTAATACAATTTATCACTGTCTGCATTACCTCCTGAGATTCCATGACCTCCTGGTTGATTTTTAACATTTTTGCCTACATTGAACTTCATTCTTTGTGAGATACATTGCAATGGCATTTGAAAATGCATAGAAGCATGTATCCATCACCATAGTACATGTAGAACACTACATTCACCTAAAAATTGTCCTGTGCGTCTCTTTTGTAGTTGTCCACCCTGCCCCTCACCCCCTGGCAACTCTGATCTGTTTTCTGCATTTAGTTCCCGTCCTAGCATCTCTACCTGGTTTGTAGACCTTGGAGTGCTCAGGGATGACCAAGATGGGGTTTTAATATCAGCTTTGCAGGAGTGAGAAGGTGATAATGCCTGTTCACTAGATTGTAAGTTATTGGTCTTGTTTATCATTGTGTCTGTAGAATAGCAGTTAGCATGAAGTAGGTAGACACTAAAAAGATATTTTTTAATGCAAAAAATCCCAACAAGGGCCCAGTGTAATGTAGACATGTGACCATTAAAAGTGTGCTTATTCACCTCTTAGCATCTCCTTTCTTCCATGGAGCTCTCATCATTCAAACGTGTCAGATTTGGTAAAATACTAGTTAGGCTGAGTCTTTCTTGCCCCCACTCAGTCATCTTTGTATGAATCCCATGGTTTTGGGGTTTTTTTCTTTTCTTTTTTTTCCTTTCCCTTTTCTTTCCTTTTTTTTTTTAAACCAGTTTTTAGCTGGTGTTCATGAAGAACAGTGAGACCTAGAACTGTGTCACTAATTAAAGGAAATCCTAAGAAAGTGCCTTTCTTTACAGAGCTGTGTCATGCCATCCTTTGGGCCCTCTGCTGGAAAAGTAGAATCAAGTCTCAAATAATGCCTTTTTTTTTTTTTTAGATCATGTTACTTAGTTAATTAATTAATTAATTTAGTACTCATGACATTGAGTTTTGAGGATTTTTGATTATTTTGTGGAATGTCTCTCAATTTGGGCTTCTATGTTCTTCATGTGTTTCATTCTTGTTGCCCAGGTTGGAGTGCGGTGGCGCCATCTCTGCTCACCGCCTCCTGGGTTCAAGCAATTCTCCTGCGTCAGCCTCCCGAGTAGCTGGGATTACAGGCATGCACCACCATGCCCAGCTAATTTTCTGTTTTTAGTAGAGACAGGGTTTCTCCATGTTGGTCAGGCTGGTCTTGAACTCCCAACCTCAGGTGATCCGCCTGCCTCAGCCTCCCAAAGTGCTGGGATTACAGGCATGAGCCACCGTGCCCGGCCAAGTAATGCCTTTTTAATTGTATCCTCTATCTATTGGCATAGGACAGTTCTGTGTCATACCTGTGTGATTGTAAAATGTCTTGTACCTGCTTATTGATATGTAGTAGTGACCATGCTTTATCAGAGCTATTTTTAAGGATGTTATTCTAGAATGTTTTCTTTCCAGATGATGATTCAGAAGCTAATTTTAAAAAATGGTGCCAGTACCATAACAGTAACAGAACTTTGCAATTTTCTGGGGATTTGTTTTTTACCTTTCCCCAACCCCCTGACTTTTTTTAAATGGAGTGTGCTGGATGTCTCTATAATTTTGTTCAGATGACCGCAGAACCTAGAAAAGCTGTTGCTGTTATTGATGTATAACATACTGCTATTATTGGTCTTTTTATATAAAAATATATATACAAATATATATATATAATTTGAATTTTTGGAAACTTCAGCTGTGCTGTGACCTTTGGAAAAAGTATCCCAGTTTACTGTGTTAAGTTGGCGTTGTACAGAAATTAACAGCCATATTGGTCTAGAAACATTAAACTTAATATTTTTCCATTTGTACAGGGGTAACACACTATATTAAATATGTAAGGTCTTATCTACATGAGTTTGGTTACAGAAACTAATAAAGTATCCTCTAAATAATGAAAAAAGAAAGTGTGCTTCTTGAAAGGTTTGAGAATTCCTGAGTACTCTCACGCCGGTAATTGAATATAGCTACGGGGTGGACTGACTGTGCTAATACTGGCTCTGCAACTCTCTTTATCCCCCATCTTCTAGCTTCCCAGCACCTGATTAAAATCTGTGCAGGATGCTTTATACTCCTTATCTTGTTGACCACTGCTATGGTTTGGATATGGTTTGCTCGGCCTCACCAAGTCTTATGTTAAAATCTGACCCTAATGTTGGAGGTGGGGGCTAGTGGGAGGTGTTTGGATCATGGGGGTGGATCCCTCAAGAATGGCTTGGTGCAGTCCTCACATGGTAATGAATGAGTTCTTACTCTTAGTTCTCACAAGTACTGCTTGTTGAAAAGAGCCTGGCACCTCCTCTCTCTCGCCTCTTCTCTCATCATGTGATGACTGTTCCTGTTCACCTTCCACCATGAGTGGAAGCTTCCTGAGGCCTCACCAGAAACAAATGCTGACCCCAAGTTTCTTGCACACCTCTTTTCCTTATTACCTAACCTCAGGTATCCCTTTATAGCAACACAAACAAATGAAGACAACCACCATGTTACTTCCATTACAAAAAACTGCCTCCTTTAGACCTCCAGAAATCTTTTTTTGATCTGGAAATGTCCTGCCACTCAACTTTCCATCAATGCAATAGTGGCCAAAAAGAGCCTTTGGGAAGCAATAGACGTAGCTTCTCCCAGTCATGCAAATAGTGAGATGAAACAATCTGGAGAGGAAGGATATCAATTCCTCAAGTCACATCCAGTATGTGACCTGTAGGAGGGGATCTCCCACTTTTCTTGGCTCCTGTGTCAAAGGGCAGGCAGAGCAGTCATTTTGCGGATGCTGATGTAGAAAGCAAAGGCAAGGTCATAACCTTGGCCTGGGTTGACCTGCCAGATGTGGACACCAGTCTCCTTCTAAGAACCAGGTGTGAGGGTTAGTTTCCCAGTGTTGTGATGTTGTGAGCATGACTCTTTCTCTAGTTGTTTTCTAAAGTGATGGAAAAGAACCAGAAGGGGTAGATGTGAGATTCATGAAACAGGAGGATTCAGCAGGAAAATTGGGCAATTTGCTTGTAAATGTATCTGTAGCCTCAGGGATGTATCTACCCAGCAAAAAATGAAGTGGAAATTTGGCAAACATGGTCATTAATTATCTAATTTGGCTGTTTATTCCAATCAAGCTAATTGGTTAACTGCCAGGTTTCCACTCCACTTTGAATTGCTCAGGGACAGCAAAAGCGAAAGGGGATTAAACCAGCATCTGATTCTTCTATACAGAGCTGATGAGAATGTCTTTGTGGAACAGATACTTGGCCTTAAGGTAGTTTATGATGGGACTTTTCCTGTGTTTTCTTTGCGAAATGACAGAAGAGGCTCTGCTGGATTTCTGGCTCATTAACTTGCTTAGATACTGAGATTAAGCCAATTCTTCACTCTAAGGTCCTTGGTGTTACTCGTCCATGGATCCAACAAGATGCATTTAATAGCAAGATGGAAAACTCCTGGAGCGATTGGCCATGTGCCCCTGGCTTTGGAGGAGAAGGGAGTCTGGAGGCAGCATTCAGTTCACTTTCGGGAGCTGTACGTTCCTGCTTGGAAGATTGTTATATACTCTTCCATATTTACTCATTTATTTGTTCATTCATTCACTCATTATTGAACACTGGTGATATGCCAGGCACTCTACTAGGTTATGGTAGGTATAAAGATGAATAGGAAAGTATCCTTGCCCAGAGAAGTTCCATGTCTGATTAGAGAGTAAGAGCTATACTTGAACAATATCACTATGATACGATCAGTACAATAATAGTGGCATGCACTATGAACTAAGGTGCACAATGTTGGGAGGATGAAGTCCACTTGGATGGATCAGAGGTTTGTTTCATAGAGTTGGGAGTTGAAACTGATGGGTGAAATATAAATAAGATCCCCCGTCTCCCACAGAGGGGCAAGAGATGGGAGAGGAAAGGTGTTCTAAGCATGACAAGAGCACTTACAAAGATCCTCGACGCAGCGCGCCCATTAGGGGAGTGGCCAGGGGCTTCCCATGCCTGGAGTAGGAAGTGCAGTTGGGAAAGTGGGAAGTGAGGGTGCGTAGGGCAGGCAAAGTTTCACTGGCAGTGTCGGTGAGGCTTTGGAGAGTTTTGAGGCGGGAAGAATCACTTGGTCGTCTTTGAGAGCTCGCTGCGATGGTAATGGTGTGGGCAGAAACTCTAGAGGCAGCCACAGTTGGTTCAAAACCCAGGCCACTTTTTCACATGTGACCTTGGAGAAGATGCTCCAGATACCCCTGAGCTTCAGGAAAATAGGATAATAATGCATTCCTTGAAATGGTGTTGAGAGAATTAGAAACAATATATACTGTATTAACTAGGACAGTGTCTAGAAGCTGTTGCTATAATTATTTTGAGGTTAATATAATCTAGTGGAAAGTAGAGTTTCTGAGTCAGAGTCCTGGGTTCTATCCTAGTTTTGCCTCTGATGAGCAAGATATCTTTCAACACATTTCTTAAACTTTCTGAATGTATTTTCTTACTGGTAAATATTCATTTAGTCAAAAAACGTTTATTTAAAAACTTCCGGCCAGGTGCAGTGGCTCATGCCTGTAATCCCAGCACTTTGGGAGGCCAAGGTGGGCAGATCACCTGAGATCAGGCATTCGAGATCAGCCTGGGCAACATGGTGAAATCCCATCTCTACTAAAAATACTAAATTTAGCCGGGTGTGGTGGCAGGCACCGGCAATACCAGCTGCTTGGGAGGCTGAGGCAGGAGAATCTCTTGAAGCCGGGAGGCGGAGTTTGCAGTGAGCTGAGATCACGCCACTGCACTCCAGCCTGGGTTGACAGAGTGACACTCCGTCTCAAAAACAACAAACAAACAAACAAACAAACAAAAAACAAGCTTCCAAATGCAGCCCTGTGTTGCCTAAGTAAATGGTCACCCCCAAAACCCATAACACTAGTCTGATTTGAGAAAAACATCAGTCAAATCTCAAATGAGGGACATTTTATAAAATACCCAAACAGTGCTCTTCATAACTGTCAAGGTCACCAAAAACAAAGGACAGCCTGAGAATCTGAGAAGTGGTCACAGCCGAAAAGAGACAAAGGAGACACAACAATGAAATGTAATTTGTATCCTCGATGGGATTCTTGAAGAAGAGAGGATATTAGATAAAAACGAAGGAAATCAAGCTAAAGTATGAACTTTAATAATAATGTATCACTATCAATTCGTTAATTATGATGAATGTACTGTGAAATGAAAATAAATCTTGGGGTCCCAAAATCACTAAGCTAAAGGGAAAAGTCATGCAGGGAACTGCTTAGGGCAAACCTGCCTCCTCTTCTATTTAAAATTACCCCTCTGCTCACTGAGATAAATGTGTATCTGATTGCCTCTTTTGGAGAGGCTAGACAGACACTCAAAAGAATGCAACTGGCCGGGCGCAGGGGCTCACGCCTGTAATCCCAGCACTTTGGGAGGCTGAGGCAGGCGGATCACCTGAGGTTGGAAGTTCGAGACCAGTCTGACCAACGTGGAGAAACCCTGTCTCTACTAAAAATACAAAATTAGTTGGGCATGGTAGCACATACCTGTAATCCCAGCTACTCGGGAGGCTGAGGCAAGAGAATCTCTTGAACCCGGGAAGCGGAGGTTGCGGTGAGCTGAGATCACGCCATTGCACTCCAGCGAAACTCTGTCTTAAAAAAAAAAAAAAGAATGCAACCACTTGTCTCTCATCTACCTGGAATGGAAGCTCCCTCCCTGCTTAGAGTTGTCCCACCTTTCCGGACCAAACCAATGTTTATCTTATGTATGTTGATTGATGTCTCATGCCTCCCTAAAATGTATAAAACCAAACTGTGCTCTGACCACCGTGGACACATGTTGTCAGGAGCTCCTGAGTCTGTGTCACAAGCGCCCATCCTCAATCTTGGCAAACTAAACTTTCTATATTAACTGTGACCTGTCTCAGATATTTGGGGTTCACATACTGTACTAATGTAAGATATCAATAATAGAGGAAATGGTGTATGTGTGTGTGTGTGTGTGTGTGTGTGTGTGTGTGTGTGTGTGTGTGTTGCAGAGGTGTTTATTGAGGACTAAGCTCTGATTTTTTTATCTTACCCAAATTCCCTTCTGAGGGGTCTGGGGACTCATGGCCTACAAACCATAAATTCTCATCAGATGGGTTTTATTGAACCCTGTATATCATGACTTACTTTCCAATCTGACTCTGGCATAACAAGGAAGAAAATCAAAATGTTTTACCCCAAAATGTATTTCCTTGCCATACCTTGAAATTGCCCTGCAAAGTCTCTGGTGAGAAAAATCCACATTCTATAGAGAATCCCCTTTCCCCTTGGTTTTCCTTCCTTCCTTCTCAGATCCAGGAGATAATCAACTAACAGTCAGGCACCCTTTTAAGTCTGATATAAAACAATTTACCACCTGCTCTCTCTAAAGTCTGCTACCTAAGAGCTTCCTCTGCACAATAAAACTTGGTCTCCACAATCTTTTCTTTCACCTGAGCATTCCTTTCTGTTGACTAGGTCTTCAGATAACCTCAACCAATTGTCAACCAGATAATGTTTAAATTTCCCTATAGCCTGGAAGCCCCCACTTTGAGTTGTCCCACCTTTCCAAACCAAACCAATGTATTTCTTAAATGTATTTGATTGATGTCTCACACCTTCCTAAAATACATAAAACCAAGCTGTAGCCCAACCACATTGGGTACATGTTCTCAGGCCCCGCTGAGAGCTGTGTCACAGGTCATGGTCATTCATATTTGGCTCACAATAAATCTCTTCAAATATTTTATAGAGTTTGACTCTTGAATACTATAATTTTTGCCATAAGGGTTATAAACTATAAAACACAGACCAAGACAAAATGATTTTTGCCTGTATATGCTTATGAAATATTGTTGGCTTAAATGACAACAGCTAAATACTGAGTTATTGGTATAAATACTTTTAAAACTAACCATAAGTTTTATTACTAAAGTAAATACCTGAAATTCACAGCTATAAAAATGGTTAATAGAAAAATAACTTTAAATATTGGCTCTCACAGTTTTAGTAAACAATCTAGGCAAACTACAAAATTAATGAGGTAAATGTAATGGAATAAATGCTTGTAAACAAAGTTGTCATAATTTAGGACCTAAGGTTATTATTTGATATTAAGTATCTGGGTAATTTCCAATTTAAGAATTGTAGGAAAACATTTTTTTAACATTCTTATTAGAGGTACAATATCTTTGTCCAATTCAAACCTTATTTAAGGGTTATGTATAAAACAAGGTAAAGAAATCAGGAAATAAAAGATGAAAAAAGTTAAAGATATAAGGAGGTATTTTTGGTAAAGAAAGTAAAAAGGAAAGTGATTTTATATAAGAAAGAATCTTGTGTGGTGAATTTTTGCCCTAAAATAAAATAACTGGGTTGTTCAAGGAAGAGAGATATTTAGGATAAAACAGAAAGTCTAACCATTGTTAAAGGTCTAGGTAAGTCATAAGGTTAGTAAAATAAATTTTTAAGGGTGTTGTATAATTCAGCTGGTATTGGCTATAATTAAAAAGAAATCAGGCCGGGTGTGGTGGCTCATGCCTGTAATTCTAGCCCTTTGAGAGGCCAAGGCAGGCAGATCACCTGAGGTCAGGAGTTCGAGAACAGCCTGACCAACAAGGAGAAACCCCGTCTCTACTCAAAATACAAAAATTAGCTGGGCATGGTGGTGCATGCCTGTAATCCCAGCTACTCGGGAGGCTGAGGCAGGAGAATCACTTGAACTCAGGAGGCGGTGGTTGTGGGGAGCCGAGACTGTGTCATTGAACGCCAGCCTGGGCAACAGGAGCAAAACTCTGTCTCAAAAAGAAAAAAAAAAAAAATCATAATAATCTTTCTAGAGATGGGTCTTTAATACTAAAAAAGCGCACTAATACAAAACTAAACAATTGGTTAAAACAAGATTTTATTACAAATATTGACTTTTTTTCAATGCAAAAAGTTTAAAAATTTTTAAATTCTATAATGTGTTTCTTTAACATTCTTCAGATTGATATCTTTAAAGTGCCACCATTTCTCTTTTGAAAAGGCCTTGAATGATGGCTCTCTCCTTCACATTTTGTTGGCTCCTGTAACTTTTACTAATTATCTAAGTAAGGAAAAAAATTATTTTTGAAAACAGACAAGTAAAGACCTGCCTTTTAATTCTGCATGCCTGTTATATCTCTATTTCTATATGTGTCATGTGGAAGTGATATTTCGCTACCAAATCACATGAAAAAGCTCTAATCAAGTAACTTAAAAAATTGTAAATGCTTATCAAATTGGTAAACACTAGCTCAGATGCCTTTTAATTCACATGACCTTGGTAATCTTTGGTAAAAATTAATTTGGTAAATTTAATCTCAAAACTCTCCAGTAATTTAAAATTCTCAAAGTCATGTTCAACCCTCTGGTTTTTTCTTTTCCCCCACTGGAAATTTGGGTTACTAAACAGTTAAAATAGTAGAAATATAAAATATGCTTTTGTTAAAATTTTATAAACATAGTATCAATTCTCAAAAAAATCTAAGTTTCTTTTTGGTTAAGAAACTATTTAAGAGTTGCTTTATAATAAAGGAAGTTATACAAATAAAACTAAATGAAAAAAATAAACAATCTAGGGCAACAAAACTCTGAGCCCCATGGTTACCAAGAAAATAGTTGATATGGGGGAAGGGCAAAACCAAGTAACTATTTAAAACCAAAGGGTGTCATGTAAAGGAATTGTTCCACTTTGTAGATTGGTATCATTTAGCTTCTTTAAAAACAACAACAACAATAACAAAAAAAAACTTTACTATAATAAATTGAAAAATAACCACTTAACCACTTTAAGGACAAAATTCTTAATTTTAAATGCTACAAAATTTAAGAGCTTGCAGGACCCAGAGCTCACTACTGAACAATCACTAATGGACAAAGGTTTATTCCTGAAAAAGCAAACAGCCAGGCCCGGTGGTTCATGCCTGTAATCCCAGCACTTTGGGAAGCTGAGGAAGGTGGATCACTAAGTCAGGAGTTCAAGATCAGCCTGGGCCAAGATGATGAAACCCTGTCTCTACTAAAACTACCAAAAAAAAAAAAAAAAATTAGCCGGGTACGGTGGCGGGTGCCTGGTAATCCCAGCTACTCAGGAGGCTGAGGCAGGAAAATCATTTGAACCCGGGCGGCAGAGGTTGCAGTGAGCCAAGATCACGCCACTGCACTCCAGCCTGGGCGACAGAATATGACTACTCCATCTCAAAAAAAAAAAAAAAAGAAAGAAAGAAAGGAAAAGAAAGGAAATGCAATCAGCCTAGTGGGCCATATAAGTTCTGTTTGCCCTGAGAAGGGGACTGCCCAAATCTCCCTATAAAATACCAAGTGAAGTACCTAGATGAAGCAGTTAATATCTCTCATATGCAAGCCATGTTGGACTAGCTTTATAACTGGGATATCCTCCCACCTGATATGTCTATTACCTGGGTCATGGTCAATTTGGGGGTTAAGGGGGTCTCTTTTACATGGTGCCCCTCCCACAGAATCATAGGTCTGTTTAAGAAGCCTTATCAAATCTGATATCCCTCATAGATCTCACAGATGCAACCCCCCGCTGGAAACCCAAATCCTTTTCTCCAGAAAAGGTAAAATGGTCTGGGGGTAAAAACGCTTCCTGGGACCAGAACATAAAAATATATAGGTTAATAGAATTATAAAATGTGAAATATTTAAACAAGCTTTATGTAAGGTAGTTGTAACCCCTTTCACCTAAATGTCTTATAAAAGTGGGTACTATATCTAACTCACTGGGGGATGTTTTCCCCTTTCTAGTACCATAAAACTGAAGACATGTAAATCTGCTCATGTAAATCCTCCACTGCATAGCCTTTTGTGTGGAGCATTTATCCGGACTGATGGCAAAAACTGTGAGTACTTTTCAATAACAACAACTGAGGTATTTTGATGGGGCATTTACTGGCTTGCTATGGAATATTAACTAAAGCTACCTCTATATTAATGGAAATAATGTTTCCCAAAAAGTTCCATAATAAAATAAAAATGGTTTACATAAAATCTTGCTACCTAATAAGCAGAGAGGCTCTTTTCTAGAACTAATTGTAAGGAGCTGCTAAATTCCACAATGCCTAATAGCTCTCCTGAGCTGTTTGATTTGTAAATGACATTTCCAAGGTAAGCAAACATCTCGTTTTCAAAGCTGCTGCTCTGGTTAAAAAAGGGTCAAGGAAATCTTTTTCTTTTAAATTATTTGGGTAAAGTATGTTTTTGTAAGCAAATTTCCCTTTCTGAATCCTCCAAAATTCAGATTGTAATTTTATGGCAATATAGTTGTCTGCATAAGTTCAATAATAGTTTTTTTTTTCCTAACAATTGGTGACACTGGTTATTTTACCAAGACTGAAACTAGTATAGCCTATTTTTAGGTAAAGTTTCAGCAAAATCAACTTTAAAAGAAGTCTATATGGCCAGTCGATTTCTTGCTGCATTTTATGCAAATCATCAGGCAAGCATAATAAGCCTAAAACTAGCATTGCACACAAATTGGCCTGGCTATAAAATTCTCTTTAATAAAAAAGGCAGCAAAAAAATTGTTTGAAGGGCAAAGTGTAACACTTAATACTACATTTCAACCCTAACTTTTTACATACAGATGAAATCATTATTTCTTGGCTACAATAATCCTCTAAAAAGTACCTGATTATAATTTTTCTTCATGTTTTCAGTTGGTGCCCTAATGGAACAGGTTCCTTTTTCTGTTCTAACATACAAATTACTGTTATAACTGTCAAACTATAACTGTTATTTATCTCTTTTTGTTTTACTTCCAAGCAAACCAAAATCATGGTATTCTGAAGACCAGAGATAGGAATCTCCCTCATTTGACATCCACTGGGTCTGGATCTGTTTCACTGCTAATGCTTTGCTGCCAGAGCTATACAAGCTGCCTCCCTCTAGGTCCAGGGACTATCGCAGAAGAGGTGGGCATGTACAATTTGTAAGGGCCAGTTTCGAGGGATAAAATTAGGACAAGATCAAACCCTCCAAATCAAAAAGGAGGTCCAAAAAAAAAATGCCTAAACAGCTGGTAAAACAAGTTTGCTTGTCTTCTAAACTATTATTTGTCACTTTTGCATCCATCCCAACCATAAAATTTTGCTGTAAAATTAAAGAAAAACATTTACTAACAGGATAAAATACCTTACCACAAAGCTTCCTGGGTATAATACTCCCAATGATAAGTGGTAAAAATAAACCTATCTATCCATATATATTTTTAATTTTTCAGAGCAGTGCTTATGTTTTGTATAGCTAATTGCTGTAAGTCTGTAACAAAAACCAAACTCACAGCAGCTCAACACATAGAAGTTAAAAATAAGTCAGTCTTGCAACTTTGCCTTTTGGTTTTTCTGCTGGCCTTTTTACTTAAACTAATAATTTTTAAAAGTAACAAATGGCTGTCCACAACCCTTCCTATCTGGCCTAGAACAATTAATTGGCTATAAGTCTTTTAACTCTTATGGTCCTCAGCCATAGATAGTCCTGCCAAGGAAAAAAATAACACTGTAGAATTATATAACTTCTCCTGCGACAAAACCTTTTCCCTCCAAATACCAGTATATGGTGCAACACAAAAGTCGGTTGGTGGGGGTGGTGGGCGGGAAATAGATTTGTCTACTGTTAACAAGTCTATCACAATTTAAACACTGAGGACCAGGTGTTTCTGGTATTTAATTTATGTTATATGCATAGGATGCTATACCTATGGAAACACATTGGCTAGAAAAGAGATTACATTTATTAAATTCTAATTTAATGTTTGTCCCACAATTCTCAAGTAAGATTTATCACAAGGTCCAAATAACCCTTAATAAGGAAGGTAAACACATTGTGAGTTTGATCAAAAATATGATGATGCATACGGGGTTTTCTGGCTGATTGGGTTGGTTAGTGTCCTCTGATTCTAACTACAACCTTGGACGCCCAAACCTTCACTATCTTTATATTTGTTACTATATTAACATTAGACATTTTCTTGCAAATATTATGCCAGGTACAGCAAAAGGAAAGACACAATTAAAAACCTGGATCATAATAACTCAGAAAATAGATCTGATCCGGGATGGTTTTTTTTAGGCTAAACCCTAGGCCTGACTCCATCTCACTCGGTAAACAATTGGCTATTGCATCAGGTCAGACCATGTCCTCCCCCCATTATCCAAATCGCTAATATTTAAAACTACCATCAACCAGACTACACTAGGAATAAGCCTTCCTAGCACCGTGGGACCTCGCCAAATGAACAGATCAGACAACTCTAGGAATAAGTGCTCCTAGAGCCATGGAATCTGCCGCTGTTGGCCTGCATATGCTTTCTGTGAATGCTTTTTGGCCAAGAGGGAGGACTGAAGACTAAACTCTGATTTTTTACCTTACCCAAATTCCTTTCTAAGAGGTCCTAAAAACCAGAAATTTTTATCAAATGGATTTTATTTAATCCTGTATCTCGTGACTTTCCAATCTGACTCTGGCATAACAAGGAAGAAAATCAAAATGTTTTACCCCAAAATATATTTCCTTGCCATACCTTGAAATTGCCCTGCAAAGTCTCTTGTGGGAAAAAACCACATTCTGTAGAGAATCCCTTTTCCCCTTGGTTTTCCTTCCTTCCTTCCTTCCCAAATCCAGGAGATAATCAACTAAGAGCCTGGTGCCCTTTTAAGTCTGATATAAAACAATTTACCACCTGCTGTCTCTAAAGTCTGGTAAGAACTTCATCTGCACAATAAAACTTGGTCTCCACAATCCTTTATCTTTAACATGAACATTCTTTCTATCAATCCCAGGTGTTCAGATAACCTCAACCAATTGTCAACCAGAAAATGTTTAAATTTCCCTATAGCCTGGAAGCCCCTGCTTTGAGTTGTCCGCCTTTCTAAACCAAACCAATGTATTTCTTAAATGTATTTGATTGCTCCCTAAAATATGCCTCTCTAAAATACATAAAACCAGGCTGTACCCCAACCACCTCGGACACATGTTCTCAGGACCTCCTGAGGGCTGTGTCGCAGGCCATGGTCACTCATATTTGGCTCAGAATAAATCTCTTCAAATATTTTACAGAGTTTGACTCTTTTCATCAACATTATGTAAACTCTCCAGACTATCTTCTCAATGTTTTTCCTGTAAACATAAAACTGCTCTAAAAAATACAGCCCATTAAAAAAAGCATGGTTCCTGATTTCATGGAGTTTGTAAAATGAGAAGGAAATTTATTTTATAGGAGTTTTTGAGGTCTAACGAAAAGCTTGTAAGTGATTTTATACAAGGTTAGTGCATAGTGCATGAGACCTGACCAATAAAATTTGTTTTCCTCTTTGTTGATTTCTACTGACCTTTATAAATATTTAAAATCTCACATCTATACATTCATCCAAATATCCAAATATCTATTGGTCATTTACTTATTTCCTATGCATGGTGGTCACCTTCACATGTTCACAAATATTCTGGTTCAAGTTCCTTTTAGGCTCAATAGGATCGCATTTCCCTGCCATTTTTGAAGTTAGGTGTGGCCATCGGATCTGCTTTGGCTAATAAGGCTTAAGCAGAAATGATGTACCTCTTGATGGATGGAAACTTCCAGCACAAGTGTGCAATTCACTACTAGTCATGGTTAATTTTACTTGTCCAGTTGCCTGGCTAAGGGTGGCCAAGATAGCTGGTAAAACATTATTTCTGGGTGTGTCTACAAGGGTGTTTCTGAAGGAGATTTGCATTTGAATCAGTGGATGGAGTCAAGAAGACCCACCCTCCCCATTGTGGGTAGGCATCATCTAATCCATTGCAGGCCTGAAATAAAACAAAAAGGGGGAGGAAGGGCACATTCTCTTTTTCCTTGCACTGGGACCTCCATCTAGACTTCTGTGCTTCTGCTTCTCCAGCCAGTGGACCCTGGAACTTACCCTCCAGGCCTCCCCTGTCCCACTGCAGTCCTCAGGCCTTTGGCCTCGGACTAGGAGGCCATTGCCTCCCCTGTTTCACAGGCCTGTGGAATCTGAATTACATCACTGGCTTTCTTGGTTCCCCACCTTGCAACAGTACATCATGGGACTTCCTGGTCTCCATAATTGCATGAGCCAATTCCCATAAGAAATCATATATATGTATAATATTATATTATATATATAGTATTGGCCCTATTTCTCTAAGGAACTCTAGTATATCCCCACCTCCCCTCCCCCATGCCACCTAGTATGGAAGCCAAAATACATCCAGGGAAGTGGAACCACTATCAATGTTGTTAGATATTAAGTTGCTGCAAAAGTAATTGCGGTTTTTGCCATTCCTTTCAAAAGTAATGGCATTGAAAGTATGGCAAAAACAGCAATTACTTTTGCAGCAACCTAATAAGACATTTAGTTCAGGAATTAGACCTTACATAATGATGAGAGGAACTGGGGAGGTGAAGGTAGTTAAGGAGAGTTAGAGGGCTAGAGATGAAGTCATTAACCAGCTTTCCCTGAAGCACTGGTGTAGGTGGACAAGTTGGAGCTTTCAGGAGAAATGTGAGAGAACAGGTACATCCAGCCACCAAGTGGGACCATGAAGTGGGGGACATGTTGATGGGAGGCTGCTGCCTGAGCGCAACCACCACTCTGTGGGTCCACCACCAAGAGTCTGGTGGTGGCCCCAGGGCCACTATTGGTCAGGGGATCTACTGTCAGGAGGATGTGCTGGGCATGGAGCAGGCGGGGAGCAAGGCCAAGCTGGGATCCCTGGCACCTCTGTGCTGTTGTTTCTGCATGTAACTGTGATGCCCTGCAAAAATGATGCTGCTTCACTTCTGGCTCACAGATCTTTTGTTTGTTTGTTTGTTTGTTTTTGTTTTTGTTTTTTGAGATGGAGTCTCACTCTGTCACCCAGGCTGGAGTGCAGTGGCGCTATCTCGGCTCACTGCAAGCCCTGCCTCCCAGGTTCACACCTTTCTCCTGCCTCAGCCTCCCGAGTAGCTGGGACTACAGGTGCCCGTCACCACACCCGGCTAATTTTTTTTTTCTTTTTTTTTTTTTGTATTTTTAGTGGAGACGGGGTTTCACTGTGTTAGCCAGGATGGTCTCAGTCTCCTGACCTTGTGATCTGCCTGCCTTAGCCTCCCAAAGTGCTGGGATTACAGGCGTGAGCCACCGTGCCCGGCCTCTGCCTCCCAGATCTTTTTCAAGTTCCCCTTTTGGCCAAATTTAACGCAGAATCATATAGAGAAGAGGATTCTGGGAGTGAAATTTCCAACTCAACCAAGTTGTCAATAGGACAATCTAACACAGGCTACACCAAGCTTGCCCAACCTGTGGCCTGAGGTCTGCATGCGGCGCAGGACAGCTTTGAATATGGACCAACACAAATTTGTAAACTTTCTGAAAACATTATGAGATTATTTTTGCAATTTTTTTTAAAGCTCATCAGCTATCATTAGTGTTAATGTGTCATATGTGTGGCCCAAGACAATACTTCTTCCAATGTGGCCCAGAGAAGCTAAAAGATTGGACACCCCTGGACTCTATATCAACTTGGTATCCACACACACCTCTTTGAACCATTACCTCCAAATAAAGGCAGTAGAAAAATAATGCCTCCACCTAACAGGATGCACAACTTGAACACCCCAAACATGTCATCCTTTCCCCAAAAGAGGATACACAAATCTTCCTCTTATCCATCTTTGTGTGATACTCATTTCTCTTCTAGCTGGGTCCCTTTTTGAAATTACTAATCATGATGACAGTCTTTGTTTTCTTCAACTGGCCACATGGTCATGGCTGACATTCATCACTTACTTCTTCCCCACCCAGTCCATATTTTCTTTGTTTGTAGCAAGCACCTCAGCAGCCATGCTTTCATCATTCCTGAAAGTTCTGTGCCACTGGCAATCCTGTCTGAGCTGGCTTGTTGTCGTTTCCTGCTAACTTTTGTCACAGGACATGGGAGTGCTAAGAGGTGCCCAAGAGGATCTCCTATGGTTCAGACATCCGCTCATCTGCCCTCATGTGAGGTCACCACCCAGTTTCCACTTGAGAGTCAGGATGGAGCACCCCAGTCAGTGCAGTAAGCTCTTTCTCCACTTGTTGGTTCATGGCACGAGAAACACAAAGGAGCCAGGTGGCAGTCTCAGCTTCCAGTTTAATAGAACCACTGTTGTGTCTTCTGTCAGAATCAAACACCTCTAGACAAGCAGAACCCAAAATAATGGGGACAAAAAGCAAAAACTTTGCTTGTGAATTATTAAGGGACTAGTAAGAGAAATCACTCCCTTTTCCACCCCTTGATTCCCGGACATCTTAATTCGGGCTTTGAGAGAAACATCAGCCAATATGGAGTTAGAGCAAGTATCACATTCTGGAGGCCCATAAATGTTGCCACCCAGCTGACGCTACAACTGAGTCTTCAAAAGGCTATGCCATCATTCTACCAGGCCAGCTGCTTTAGGATGATTGTGAGACTTGGGCATTCTATAAGTATGAGTCCATTGTGGCACTTCATGTGCTATAAAATGAGCCCTCCCATCAGCAGTGATGCTACATGGAATATCATGGCACTAAATAAAGCACTCTGTGAGCCTAGAGACGATGGTTTTAGCAGAAGGTTCGCAGGCAAGAAAGACAAATCCATATACAGAGTAAATGTCTATTTTGGTGAGACCAAAGTGCTATCACTGCCATATGGAAGTGATAGAGAATGTAAAAAATATGCTACCATGTGCCTGGCTGATTCCTTTGGGAATGATAACTTATCAGGAGCTCATTGTTGATCTCTGCAGCTGGCTGGTTGGGCACCCAGCAGTGGCTGTAGGTGGATCAGCTTTGGTAAGCAAAAGCCCATGCATAGTCTCTAACCCTGCTACAATGTTCACTTTGTTCATGAGTCCATTGGGCGAAGCCAGGGAAAGGTGGCAACGAGACTGACATCTACAGAATGGGCTGTCTTGTCTATTAAGATCTTCCCGGGTAAGTTTGCTCTTTTGCAAGCATTCATGTGGCACACAAATATCTTTGTCCTCTGTGTCCATTCAGAGAGGCCTATCCACATATCCACATATCTGTTCCCCAGATCCTCTTGTCACTAATTTCCCAATTGTATTTCAAGTCCCTGACCATCTGGCCAAACCATTTGCCATTGCCCATAAGCCAGTATACATACATATCTCTAGCCGCTTCTTCTTCCAGACAAAATGAACAACAAGTACATTGCTTGAATTCCTGCCAACGGAGAGAATTTCTGTTTACCCCTGTCCTTCAGTGGCAATGTCGTGTTGCAGCTCTCCTTTGCGGTACCAGTATATTGTGTAGAACCATCTGTAAACCAAGCCCAAGTTGTTTCTTCTTCAGTCGCTGCATCTGACTCTAAGCCTTCAGGGAGTAATGGTTACTGCTTCCTTTCCATGTCAGAGATATCATGGAATTCCTTTTGTGTTCAACTTTAAACAGAACTCATATAGGGAAGGAGGGATATAGTTCCCAGTTATAGGGTTGATATTTAGACAGACATTTGTCATTGCTGACAGTCTTTATTCCTTCTTAAGGACTTGATTTTCCAGCTTTTCTTATTTCTCCTCAACTTAAAATTTTTCTTTTATTTCTGGTAGTGTCATTCTGTTAGCACATTCTCTTTTCTTTTTATCTAAAAATATCTTTATTTCACCTTCGTTTTTGAAGAATATTTTCACTGAATGTTTGCCAAGTGAATTTTCTTTCAGCACTTTAAAGATGTTCTTCCACTGTCTTCTGGCCTCCAGAGTTTTTAATGAGAAGTCAAAAATCATTCAAATCTTTGTCTCCTCTATGTATTATATTATTTTTCTTTGCTTGTTTTTAAGATTTTTCCCCTTTATTTTTATTTTCAGCATTTAGCTATGATGTCCCCTAGGCATGGTTTTCTTCATATTTACTCATATTTAACTTGCTTGGGGTTTGCTGAGTTTCTTCAATCTGTAAATTTATGTCTTTCACAAAATTTGGGGAAATTTCATCCATTATTTATTACAATTGTTTTTTTGAACCATTACCTCCAAATAAGGGCAGTAGAAAAATAATTAAGAAAGATAAATAGTCTTTCTTATCTCCTTTTGAGGTTCCAAATGCATATATGTTAAACTTTTTTTAACTGGTTCCTGAGACTATTTAGTTTTTAAACCTTTTTTTTCTCTCCCTTTTTTTTTCAAGATTAAATAATTTCCATGGATCTATCTTAAAGTTTACTGACTCTTTCCTGTATCATTCTCATTCTGCTCTCAAGCACATCCAGTACATTTTAAATTTCAGATGTGTTTTTCAGTTCTAGAATTTCTTTTCTTTTTTTTTTTTTTTTTTTTTTTGAGACAGAGTCTTGCTCTGTCACCCAGGCTGGAGTGCAGTGGCATGATCTCGGCTCACTGCAACCTCTGCCTCCTGAGTTCAAGCAATTCTCCTGCCTCAGCCTCCTGAGTAGCTGCGACTACAGGTGCACACCACCATGCCTGGCTAATTTGTTTTTGAATTTTTTAGTAGAGACCGGGTTCCACCATGCTGCCCAGGCTGGTGCGAACTCCTGAGCTCAGGCAATCCACCTGCCTTGGCCTCCCAAAGTGCTGGGATTATATGTGTGAGCCACCTCGCCCGGCCCAGTTCTAGAATTTCTATTTGGGTCTTTTTATAGATTATATTTCTCCACTGAGATTTCCTATTTTTTCATTCATTGCAAGCATATTTTCCTTTAAGTCAATGAATGTGGCTCAAAGGTGCTTTAAAACCCAAGTCTGCAAATTTCACCATCTGGTTTTGATCTCCATTGATTGTCTTTTCTCTCAAGAATGGGTAACATTTCCTTGGCTTTTCATATGTTGAATAGTTTTTTTTATTGTACCCTGCATATTACAAAGTTTATGTTGTAGAATTCTGGATTCTGTTATATTCTTTCACAGGAGTTTATTTGTTTTTGCTTTCTTTGGTGCAGCATTAATTAACTTGATTGAACTCAAACTGCAAACTCAGCTTGAATGCTTCCAAGCCCAGGAACTGTCATTCCTGGCATAGCTCTTTGATTATGTGGCAGTAATAGGTTTAAGTGTGGATCTTGCTATCAAAGCTTCTCAAAGGCAGTGACTGGGTCTTATTTTTGTGTCCTCCACATCTTGCTTATTCTCAGCGACAATGGACCTGCCATAGTGCTGAATGCATGAACGAGCTAATGAACCATGTAATTCAAGAAACATCCCCCAAACCAGAACACTTTTACTAAGATTCAGGCACCAAGAGGGAAAAGATGGAAATCTAGTGTATATATCAGCTTCCACCTTCCTATACTTTGGTATAATTTTCACTTGTTAATTCACTAACAACAATCTGAGCCTCAGCCACGTTTAATCTTTAATATTTGTGCCCTCATATATTATTTCCACAGAGTACACATTATAGCAAAATCTCACTAAAATGAACTAACTAAAATATCAGATGATGATTGTTCAACTGTTACTTTAGCTGCATTTCCATAATGTGAAAGTAATTCAAAAGGTGTAAAGTTGAAGCAAATAGAAGTCTACAAGACAATCCTACTTTATTTATTCATTCAATAAACATTTGAGCACCTATGCCATCATAGACGTCAGATTCCAGAAATATGAAAATTAATACAGTAATAAGCAGATGGACAAATCTCTGCCCTTAAGGAACTCAGAATTTATCCAGAAAACATTAACTGTAATTTTCCTATATTGCAGTCATCTCAAGTACTCCTTCCTTTTTTTTTTTTTGCCTTGGCCTATACAGTATGTACCACTAATTCATATTTTACATCTCACTCTTTAAAAGCTTAAATGGATTTAATTTAAAAGGAAAGATTATATCACAGGTTGGATATGCTGCTTATGCTCTTCACTCACATTAAAATAAATGCATAATTATTAAAGTGCAAAATGACTAAATGCAAACTATCAAGTATTACTTGTCCCACGCTCTGACAAACACTGCTTTAAGCATGTTAAATGTTATAAAAGAGGTGTTTTTAAAGTGCAGACAGTGTAATGGGAATATAGAAGGAGTTTCTTAATCCTGCTTGTGTTTTTAAGGAAGGCTTTGCAAAAATGTCTCTTTAAGGGGAATGACAGTATTCCCTTTATCATTCGGTCCTCTGTGGTAGACAGAATAATGCATCCCCACAAGACGTCCAGTCCATGTCCTAATCACGGGAATGTTTTACATTACATGGCAAAGGGAAATTAAGATTGCAGATGGAATGAGAGTTGCTACTCATCTGCCTTTAAAGAGATTATACTGGATTATCTATGTGGACCAAATGTTTTTAGACAAGGGTTTGGACAAGGGTTTTTAGAAATAGAAGAGGGAGACAGTGAGAGAGTGATGTGGTATGCAAAGGCCCCTATTGCTCTTACTGGCTTTGAAGATGGAGGATGTGGCCAGGAGCCAAGGAAAGTATGGTCTCTAGAAGCTGGAAAAGGCAAGGAAACCAGTTCTCTCCTAAAGCCTCCAGGAAGTTATGCACTCCTGCTGACACCTTAATTTTAGCCTAGACTCGTGCTGGACAACAGAATAGTAAACTAATAAATTTGTGGTTGTTTTGAGCTATTAAGTTTGTTATAGCATCCATAGGAAACCAAAACACCCCTACAGTGCCAGATACCTCGTAGTCACGGGCTAAAAATAAACCAAACTGAATGTGCACTCCCCTTTAGGTTCTCTGAGGCCAAGGACCCTGTCTTTTTCTCTCCTGTAGCTCTAGTGTCTACTGCAGCCGAGAAAAGCTAATATCGGCCAGGCACAGTGGCTCACACCTGTAATCCCAGAACTATGGAAGGCCGAGGCGGGTGGATTACCTGAGGTCAGGAGTTCGAGGCCATGACCAACATGGAGAAACCTCATCTTTACTAATAATACAAAAATTAGCTGGGCTAGGTGTCACATGCCCGTAATCCCAGCTACTCGGGAGGCTGAGGCATGAGAATCGCTTGAGCCCGGGAGGTGGAGGTTGCGAGAGCTGAGATCATGCCATTGCACTCCAGCCTGGGCAACAAAAGCGAAACTCCGTCTAAAAAAAAAAAAAGAAACAGTAATATCTTTTCCTCACCCATCAAGGGGTCCTTGGCTGACAGCCTCATAACAAAAGACAAATTAACAAGATAAAAGCATAGCAAATTTATTTAACCAAGCTTTCCCATGACATGAGAGTCTTCAGAAATGAACAGTTAGGCCAGATGTGGTGGCTCAAGCCTATAATCCCAACACTCTGGGAAGATCATTTGAGGCCAGGAGTTTGAGACCAGCCAGAGCAACACATCAAGATCCCGTCTCTAAAAAAAAAAAAATCATTTAAAATTAGCTGGGTGAGACAGCACACACCTGTAGTCTCAACTACTTGGGAGGTTGAGGCAGGAAGATCACTTGAGTCCAAGAGTTGAGGCTACAGTGAGCTATGATCACACCACTGCACTCCAGCCTGGGTGACAGAGTAAAACCCAGTCTCCTAAAGGCTTTTTTTTTTTTTTTTAAAGAAATGAACAAGTAAAGACCCAGGGAAAACTGTATTTTTATGCTTATGTTTCATGAAGAATGGGCAGTTAGGTAGAAATATGATCAGATAAGAGGGGTATGACCTAATAATAATAAATTAAAGGGAATTAGCATGGCCTGTTTTTTCAGATCCTTCTTGGCCTGTCTGTGTAGCATTCCTTTCCTCTGGGTATAGGGCAGGACACCTGTCACATAGGGTCTTGTGACCTACTTTCAGAAGAGGTAGATGAGAGAATTCCTTTATGGCCAGCTCTTACACAGGAAGGTGGAAAAAAGCCAGAGAATGACCTTTCTGCTTCTGCTGTTTTCTTAATTTCCAAGATGCCATGTTTGGGGGTATTGTATTTCTGAGCCCCAACCCCACCACTACACTGAGCATGGAGTTAGAGGTCAGTAACTATTTAGAGTGCCTTTCGAACGAAGGCACTATTTATGAACTATGTTATCAGGCATGGGCAAAGGCATAGAAATGGGTCGAGGAAGGGCTTTGAAGACTGGGGAGCTGTTTGGGCAAGGACAAGGCTGTTCACGGTTTGTTTAGAGAAAGAAATTATCATCTGGGAGAGGACAGTGTGCTCAGGGAGCACAATGATAACAATTCCAGGGCAGCAACAAGGAGCAGACCAGGAAGGCCCTTGTGTGGCATGCCAAGGAGTTCAGGTTTGGGTCCCAAGACCCCCAGGAGTCATGTGTCAATCTTCTTCTGTGTGGCATGAAAGCAGATACCACCTTGCCTTTTTTGCAAGTTGAGTTCTTCCTATCATCCACTGGAGTCTTGGATTCCTGGAACCAGGATCCTTGCCATCCACGCAGACGTTTCGGGAGAAGGCCTGACCTTTTTGGGCTTGAGTTCTTGGGCTGGGGTCAAGTGTTGCACATTAGGAACGGCCAGACAGAGGGAGCCAGTGTCCTGAGCAGCCGGGTGACTTGCAGACTCCCTTGAGCTTCCTCCTTGCAAGAGCCGGAGACCTGTGAGCCGGCGAGCTGTCAAGATTTCCGTCATAAACCCCACGCTCCATGTGTTTGCAATATGGGCACAGAGATGCACAGGGGAGTGGGGTCTGGGGTGTGAGGGCTTAGTTCTGGAGTCATTGCTTCCTCTCTTTTCCTGTGCATTTGTGAGAGTGCTTATTTTGCTTTCTTAAAGTTATGGCGTGGAATAAAGGGACAGTAATGAGTTCCAGATGCTTTTATTTTTCTCCTTCTATAATTGGAAACAAAAATATAGCATGGTTTTTCAATTGAAAGTGCCAGAAAGGGGTGATGCTTTTAGCTCTGGGGTTTTAGCCATGATTTAGAGCCCAGCAAGAGGCTGTGGCCGTCACCACCACATGCTAACTGGCTCACACTGCTCCCTGCAGACCCAGCTCAAGGCTTTATCTTGGAGCCTGAAGGAGGTTCAAAAGTGAGTCCTACACTAAGCAACTCTTAATACATGAAACCCAAACGTACAAAGCAGACAGATTGGGGCAGGGTGAGCAGCCACGTATTCAAAGGATGATTGTTTTGCGGAAGGTCTCGGAGCAGGCCTCTTTTAATTAGCATTCCCCTGGTGCATCTAAAAGTTTCCCCACACATCGTTAATTTCTCAGGGAGGGGACAAAGAACCTTCCAGCTGATGTGTTCCAAGTATGAAGTGCCAAGTGAAGATCAATTAAAAAGTCAAGAGACCAGAATCTTGAAGTATAAAGCATCTAAGGGAGAAAGACTGCTTGAGTTACCGTGGACTTTTCAGGGGACCTTAAAAGCGGTGATGTGACGACCTTAGACCTGGAATTGGATTAGCCTCCTTGTGAGTTACACAAAGAGATCATCCTAAACCTGCAGGAGGAAACACCTATTCATTTTAGACTGAAAGCTTTAAGCCTGTCTTGGAATCCTTCATTCTCTTCCCCTTGGCCAATGGCTGTTACTAAATAGAATGGTGGGTAAACAGGATTCAGATTTAGACTGTGGGAAAGCAGTTGGCCTCCACCTACAAGACATACTAATAGCAGATTACATTCCCTCCAGGGAGATAATCTTTAACACAAGGCAGACCCCAGCCCTCCAATCTAACAGCAGGCCAGGAAGGCAAGATAAAGCTAAATGGCCACTCCATCCGTAAACCATTTGCACAGCACATTGGTACAAATAGGAATTCTGGATCCCAGGGCCAACATTTAAGACTAGCCCTTTACCTTTCGTTTGCTGCAAAAAAATAGTTCCAGTTCTCTTTTGATGCCAAGACTCTTAGGTCAGATTTGACAAGCAAGAGTGACTGTGCTGTATTCTCCCACCACCTGTTCTTCCATTCCCTTTTATATTTCCTCGTGCAGCCATGCAAATAATTAATGCTCATCATGTTTAGTTGCCATTCGAGTACCTACTGTGTGGAAGCCACTTTATAGAGGTACATACTATTGTTTATTTTTATTCCCATTATCCAGGCCCTCAGATCAATCAGTCAATTCCAAAGCCCACTGAGTTACCTTTACACCATTCCCTGCCATCTAAAGCAATTACTCAGTGGCTTCGAAGCCTTTTAAAGTCTTACCAACATTGAGGCTTCTCCCTGGGCCTATTAAGTCAGAACCTCTGGGGTCTAAGCACCTGTGCCTTAAATTTGCTCACTGTGACCCGGATGCATGGTGGGGCTGAGAACCTCTGTGGGAGCATCTTAGGTGATGCAGAGTTTTGGAGTTGATGTGGAGATCCAGCCCCTTTTTAGGGAGCCCTTCCCTCTGAGGTGGCTGCTGCAGCCCACCTGCCACATCTCCTTGAATCTGAAAGAATAATAAGGAAGATGGAAGCCAAAGACATGTTCCTTACTCCTGGTAGGACTTCTGCCCTGAGTCTAGCTCTTTCCTGACCTGCTGACTTGGGCTGGATGGTCCAGAAGGAAGTCCTAGGGTTCACTTCCTTCCTCCATGAAGCCCGGAGCCAGGTGCTTGCCCCTCTCCTAGACCCCTGCTTCAGTGAGTTCTGAATAACTGAGGGGCCTCCCAATGAGCCATTTCTGGCCCCTAAGGGAACCTTACCAAGCTCTGATGACATAGTTTAAAATATGGCAAAAAGAGGGAGAAAACTTCAGACTCCCCACTTCTCGCAGTGCAGAGAGAGGGAATATTTGGGGTATTCTCACCTCATCTTCTTCTAAATGGCTGGGACTCACCTAGTCTCTTGATCTTTGCATTTTTCTGGTCTCTCCATTGCAACTGACAAGGCCCATCTTCCCCGGAGAGATGAAAGCAGAGATTCCACACTATTATACTCTCCTAGCAGGTCAGGGATTCCTCTAGAGTGAGGCTCTAAGTCCATAACCCACCACGGCAGTTGTCAAGAGATTGCTGGAAACAACATGTAAGCACAGCCAAGCCTGCTCTTCCTCTATAGGAAACTTAAACCTACTTCAAGTCACGGCTCCCTTAGAAGGATGAGGTCTTCTACAATCATGCTTGTGTTCTTGGAATTCAGTTTAAGAAAATAATTCAAAAAGTGCTCCCAGAACTAGCTATAAGAATGCACACTGTAGCATTGTTTTTACTGGGAAAACTTGGAAACAAGCTAAATGGCCAATCACAGAGGACTGGGTAAATGAATCGTGTCATAAAAATCACGGTGTATGTTCTTCTCTGCAACAGGGAAGGATATTTATTATATTTTAAATGCCAAAAGCAGACCACAAAACAACATGGATAATATGATCTCATTTTTGCATCTGGAAAAATACATGCCAAACCGTTATTAATAAGTATCTCTGGGTGGAGATTAAAGGTGGTTTTTATTTTCTCCTTTGCTTGTCTGTATTTCGTAATAATAATAATAAAGGATGTGTAGTCCTTGGGTAATTGCTGCAAACCTAATGATGTTTTTGAGTGAGGGTGGGCATCTGAAAGCGAGACAGAAGCGAGAGGGAACTTAGCCCCCACCCCCACCTGGGAGACTCTCCAGAGCCTTCAAGGTCATGTCCCCATTTGTGTCTCACCCCAACTCCACCTCTCGACCACCGTTTACATCAACATGCATTACTTGTATTACTTAGCAACCAGGCCGTCATGTGTTTTCATTTAGCAGAAGAGAGAATAGATGCTACCAGACTCTACAGTGACTACACTATTTCTGAAGTTGCCTGAAAGAGTGGCAAGTCATCAACAAAAAGATCCAACCCAAAATACAGTGGAACTGAGAAATAGACACTTCCTTTACTGTTGGGGTTGGCCAGGGCGGTGGTCAATGTACCTAGTCCTCCCCGTCCCAGTTTGGAGCAAAAATATCATGCAGATGGAGTCACAATTTCACTTCCATTTCTGACAAAACTAGGATTGCAGACCATAGTTAGTGCTCTTAGCCAAGTGGGACTACTAATGCCTCACCCTAGAATCAGGCTGGATCATAGATCTGTTTCTGTCAGCACTGAACAGCTTTAGGGCCCTCCTAGAAGTCCCGCCCCCTACGACTTCCAGTGTGGAGCTCTCTGCACTCAGACAGAGCTCCCCAAAGAGGGGGTGGCCTAAGCTCTCCAGTAAAACCCGTCAGTGCCAATGCCCTGCTCCCCTTCCCACCTCCACTGGAGAGGAATAAAGAAGGGAGAGGCCCAGAGTGTTATTCTAAAGTGAGGTCTGCCAGCTACTCCCTGTGGGCAAAATGTAGCTCATACCTGTTTTTGTAAATGAAGTTTTTTTGGAACAGAGCCACACTGGTTGATTTATGCAGTGCCTAAAGCTGCTCCAATGGCATAGTTGGGTATTAGAAACTGTATTAGTCCATTTTCACACTGCTGATAAAGACAGACCCAAGATGGGGCAATTTACAAAAGAAAGAGGTTTAATTGGACTTACAGTTCCATGTGGCTGGGGAAGCCTCACAATCATGGTGGAAGGCAAGGAGAAGCAAGTCCTGTCTTACATATGTGGCAGCAGGCAAAGAGATAAGGAGGAAAACGCAAAAGCAGAAACCCCTGATAAAACCATCAGATCTCATGAGACTTATTTACTATCACGAGAACTGTATGGGGGAAACCGCCTCCATTATTAATTATCTCCCACCTGGTCCCTCCCACAACACTTGGGAATTATGGGAGTATAATTCAAAATGAGATTCGGGTGGGGATGCAGAGCTAATAGAAACCCCTGATAAAACCATCAGATCTCGTGAGACTTATTCACTATCTCAAGAACAGTATGGGAGAAACAGCCCCCATGATTCAATTATCTCTCATTGGGTCCCTCCTACAACATGTGGGAATTACAGGAATACAATTCGAGATGAGATTTGGGTGGGGAAACAGAGCCAAATCATATCAGCGACCAACACCATTTGACCTGGGAAGCCAAATAATGTTCATTTGGCCTTTTATAGAAAAAGTTTGAAGGCTCTCTAGGAAAACTAGAACACAGGGCATGCACCTCCCGTAACATTTCTGGCCTCCTTACTCTCAGACCCTGCCTGCTTGGCGACCTTTGCCTGTCCTCAGATACTAAAGTTCAGGAAGCTTCACTCCTGGGCTCCTTCTCTTCTCATTCTAGATTCTCAAAATCTTCTCTCAGATGTCTCCAAGGCCTTTCAAATCACACAAATCTTAGCCTAGAGTGACTGTTAAATGTATTGGTCCAAACCAGGGCATTTTTGAGAATAACAAATTCTAAACTAAACCAGACAAGACTTTGGGATGATAGGCTTAACTTGGATTGTCCCTGGAAAACTAAGATGCATGGTCATTCCAAATGAAAATACTTGTTGTTTTCTCTGCCCAAATCTGAGTCCTTCTTGAATATTCCCAATGGCTCTGGCACTTCTATCCTGGCTGTGGTACAACTGAGAAACCCGGTTTGTATCCTTTCCACCACCCACCTCCAACCCATCACCAACTCCTTTGGAATCCACCCACTTCTCCCCATCTCAGCAGTTCCCATCCTAGTACAAACTGAAATGGGAGGAGTTCCCTTATCCCCCTCACAGGGTGTGTGACAGGGGTGTGGCTCACTTTGTCAGTGACCTGCTGCTCAAACTCCTAGGGGAAGCATGCAGACAGGCAGGTTGTGGAGAGTGTTTTTGGGCTCTGACCCCACGGCAGTGTCTAGGGGTGAATGTTTACAGCTCCTGAAACTCCAGTGGGCATGTTACAGTGAATTCTTTCAGTTTAGCCATCCATAGGCAGCTTGTGTTAATCAGCTCAGTTAGACCCTCTGCCTTATCGCAAGGACAGAGGCCTTTCTGTATTCCGGGTCCTTGCCCTCGTGTACTGGAAAAATCAGATCACACGTGGGCTTGGAGGATTAGTGCAAGGTTTTATTGAGTGGAGGAAGTAGCTCTCAGCAGATGGATGGGGATCCAGAAGGGGGTTGGGGTGGAAAGGTGGTCTTTCCCTGGAGTGGGCCGCTCAGCAGCCGGACTCTCCTCTGACTGCCCCTGACTGAATTCCATGTTGTCCTGCTGTCAGTGGCCTGCCAGTGTCTGCTGGTGTCCGTTGCGTGATCTTCTGCTTCTCTCAACGTCCAGCTGCTTGTGTCTGTGCCCGCTAGGGTCTCAGGGTTTTTATGGGCACAGGATCGGGGGTGAAGTGGTTAGGAGTAGTCTTGGACAATGCAACATTTGGGCGTGGAAACAGGAGTGCTGGTTATCACTTAGGTCCATGGGCACAAGACCGAGGGTGGAGCCCTCACCAGGAGCCCTGCCCTTCTCTACCCAGCACTTCCCTGCCCCCCTCCCGTATCAAAACCACCACCATCTCTTGCTTGGGCTTCTCAAGAGTCTCCTCACTGGTCTTGGCCCACTCCCATCTCCTTCACAGCCGGACTGAGCTGCTGGAAACTTTCATCTCATTGGGCCACCCCTCTGCATAAAACACTTGGCTTCCCCATGTCCTAAGGACAGAGATTAAAATTCCCTTCCTTGCTTTCTGCCTGTAGTCGATCCTTGAAAGCTTCCACATCCTTCCTGCTTTGGGGGTCTCCCTACGGGCTGTTTTCTCTAACTGGAAAGCCCCTTTTCCTATTAGACCTCAGGGCTCAGTCTCAAGCTCACTCTCTTCCTCTTCACATGAGGCCATTACCTGCCATCACCTGTCACACCACCTGCACTCTGCCTTCTCAGCCTTTATTACAGATTATAATGCAGTTGGTGTTGGTATTTGCTTCCTGACTATTTCCCCTGCTGTAAGCTGCATGAAATCAGGGTTTGTGTCTATTTGCCCATCATTATCCCAGCACCTAGCTCACTGTTAGTGCCTAGTAAGCACTCCTAAGTAACTGTTGAGAGAATGACAAAACAGGAAAGCAAGCCTCCATTGTATCAGATTTTGGGAGTTGCAATTTAGCCCTTAGGCAAATCTAACAGAATTCTAGACAGGATGTAGTCTATGTTAGTTTCCTGTGGCTCCCGTGACAAATTACCTCATGCTGTGTGGCTTAAACAAGAGATATTTATTCTCTGACGGTTTTGGAGGCCAGAAATCTGAAGTCAAGGTGTTGTCAGGGCCACACTCCCTACAGGGTCTTTAGGGGATAATCTGTTCCCTGCCTCTCCCAGCTCCTTAGGGGCTGCTGGCTTCCCTTGGGTTGTGGCCGCATCACTCCAATCTCTACCTCCATCTTCAAATCACCTTTTCCTCTTATTTTGTGTCAAATCTCCCTCCCTGTATAAGTGCCTTGTAAGGACATTGTGTTGCATTCAGGACCCACCCAGATAACCCAGGATGATTTCCTCATTAAAATCTTTAACTTAATTACATCTGCAAAGACCTTTTATCCAAATAAGGCCATATCCACAAGTTCTAGGGATTAGGATGTGGGCATATCTCTGGGGGGCCATTTCTCCCCACCACGGGATTGTAAGACTAGACTTGGTCCAATAGGAGCTGTTTGGGGAAACTCAGGATGAGAACCTCTGCAAAACAGGAGAGAATGGATTGCAGTTAGGCTGTGAGTAATCACGGAGGAGAAACAACCCAGTGATGCTTCCCACCGGGGTCAAGGCAGACACCATCATTGTCCCCTTCCTACTCTTGCCTTCTTTGCCCGCAAACAAAGATCATTTCTGCTGGCACAGGGTTTGGATGAGAGCCAGATCTCACCCAACTGTTGAAATTCATGGCTGACGAATCAGTGGAAAACAGCCAGAACCTAGGGCTCGCATCTACTGCACAACGTTGGGAACAATGCTTCATCTCAGTTAGCCTCAGTTTCCCCAATTATAAATCAAAAGAGGGTGATGCGTCATAGTTACTTCTTCCCAAAGGAGCCATTGGAATGGTTTTGTTGTCATTTTTCCTGTGTCTTGGGACAATCGTGCTGATATAAAGCATCATTATATTTACCAAGTATGTTCCTTGCAAGAACTTGTTCTTCTTGCTCTTCTTACAGCTGTGGAGTCTCCATCTGCTTTTCAAAGTAACAAAAATCCTCCCCCAGACCTCTGGATCACCACACACCTGTGTCTCTGCACTTCTCAGGTGCTGCCCTCCTCCGATTTTCCCTTTTACTGCACCAGAGGCCACCAGCTATTTTAAACCACACTTAGAAACTGGTCCTTTGTGGCAAGTGCTGTAGAGAGTGTCTTTAAAAAGGTATAGGTTTCTAAAAAAAAAAATAAAAAGTACACAAACACGGAGGGTGGGCCAGAAATAAATGCTACTGTATATTTAGAAGCTGAATGCTTTCATTCTTAGATAATGAGTCTAATTCAGTTTCTATAAACCACAGTCGTGCTTCCGTGGTCTCAGTTCCACTGAGCATCTTGTACTTCGAAGCAGCCTTCTGAAATGGCAAGGCTATTTATGAGGGAGCATTGGTGTGAGTTTCTGTTTTTGGCAAAGGGTAAAAATAAGGAATGTTCTTCTGAGTGGGCTGCTCTGAGAATCCAGCTTGGCCGCTTGGTCGGCGCTGGGCACATGTGCACGACATATGTCATTCTTGCCTCTGAATAGAGGGTATGAATCACTCTGCCTGGCTCTACCCAGTGGGGATTTTTAGATCGTGCTTCTTCTCCAACATGCAAAGCAGCGTTTGATTTTCTGAGAGGGAAGTGATGAATATTTTTCTCTGTAAAATATGAACGGTGAATGTAGTCAGTACCCACTGTGAAGGCTTAGAGAAAACAAACTAAAAGATGACCATCAGACAACTTCCCCTCTGCAGGGAGCTTCCAGATTCCTTTCCTGCGGGCTGCGGGAGGCTGGCAGCCTCTTGAGAGGGTGAGGTCATTTCTTCAATCAACAAACGTTTTGGGAAGCCCCCTATGTGCCAGGTACTCCTGCAGGCACTGGGGAAATGCTGGGGTCATGTAGAAACCGGAGCAAGCTGGGGTACATAGTGTGTGCTTGCTTTTAATGAAGTGAGTCACTCCTAGCTCCTTGAAAATCAGAATCCTAGCAGTAAACTGTTTGATGATGATCAAGTTCAAGTCCAGCAGCAGTGTTTGGGCCATTACAAGCACCTCACTCCCTCACGCCCTCTCCAGAGGGCCAGGTTACACTTTGGGAACCCCAAGTCTTTTCTAGAGGGATGAAATGATTCCGGGGAAGTTAGACTGAACTGAATCCAGTACCTGCTGGAACCCCATTTCTCCAGAAATCCTCCAAGTTTGAGCTCGAAGCTACTTAATCCTCTGGGGGTGACTGTGGGGTGTTTGAGATTTCAGTGGACACCTGAGGTGCCAAAGCTTCAACTTGCCGTGGAAATCTGAGTGTGATTTTAAGTGGTGAGACCCTTGGGCACTGGGGAAAAGAAAAAAGTGGGTTGGTCTGAACAGTCCCAAAACGAAAGGCAGGGGGAGGTCTCGGACAGATGTGCCATGGCCTGCTCCCTCCCTCTGAGGCCTGAAATGTGTGAGGCTTTTGGGTTTGTGCCTGCAGGGAGCGGGGAGTGAGATGTGGCCAACAGCCCACACAGACAATGCCAGAGGGAGATGGATGCTGGAGAGGAGGTGGGGAGAGGAGAAGAGGCCCAGAGACTCTTCCTGTGTTTATGTGATAATTTCACTCCATTACATTGAGATCACAAAAGAGGAATAATGTGTAGACAGGGACTGGGCAGATGGAAGAAATGCCGGCTCAGAGAGGGGATGGGGAGGGAAGGAAGAGGCTCGGAGGGCAGGAGGGAGCTAAGCGAGGAGGAGCCCTGGGAGGATTTGTGGCTGCTGCCCACTGTCCCCAGGGATCCCGCATGTCCTGGGGGCCATGGTGGCAGGTGGAAAGGGAGACTCCAGGGAAATGCTAATAGAGACACTGGCCCACAAACCAGCATCTCCTGTTGCGTGGCAAGGTCCCCTGCACTCACAGAATGTTTTGTTTGTTTGTTTGTTTTTGCTTGTTTTGAGATGGAGTCTCGCTCTGTCGCCCAGGCTGGAGTGCAGTGGCGCAATCTCAGCTCACTGCAACCTCCGCCTCCCGGGTTCACGCTACTGTCCTGCCTCAGCCTCCTGAGTAGCTGGGATTACAGGTGCACACCACCATGCCTGGCTAATTTTTGTATTTTTAGTAGAGGCGGGGTTTTACCTTGTTGGTCAGACTGGTCTTGAACTCCTGATCTCAGGTGATCCACCTGCCTCGACCTCCCAAAGTGCTGGGATTACAGATCGTGAACCACTGCGCCCGGCCATTCAGATATTTTTAACACAGCCCTGCCACCTTCTCCCTAGTGCTCGTTCTCCATCCTTGTCTCAACTGCAAGCTTCACTACAACCCAGGCTCACTAAGACAATGAAAAATCAAAGATGTTTCATGAAAATGGTAATCAGTTAAGTTTTTCCATCTTTGGAATGGGTCATGAGCTGAGGCCCAGTCTGAAGGTGGGAAGCCCGAGCTCTCTTCCCAGGGAGGGTGGCTCTGCACCCCTCTGTCTGCAGGAGATCCCTGCCAGGATCCCTTATCTCTGCTGTCACATCCTGCTTTTCAGCTCCCTCCCAGAATGGCCTCATCCCTCAGGGTCCTGTGGAATTTTCTAGAACATAATAGGCAGATGGCCAAAACCCAAGTGGGCGTTTCTCCAAGCACAGACTGGAAAGACCCCATGCCAACGTCTCTTCTTTTTCTACTCAGGAATTTGTTAGGTCTGATTAGGGTCCGAGCTGCCTTCCCAAGGGCACCTTCCAGAGCGGTGGTTTTCCCACTAAATTCCTCGTTCCCTCTTCTCCGTCTAGAACCCACCAACGCTGCCTCAAGGAAGGCACAGATAGGCTCAGGATCCAGGGGAAATCCTCTCGCTGCCTGCAGGCTGGACCGACTCTGAGTAGGGATTTCTAGACTGGCCCCTTCCTTCTGTCTTGGGCATTAGGGAAGTCGGAGATGTTTGTCTGTTTGTTTGTTTGTTTGTTTGTTTGTTTTTGACAGAGTCTTACTCTGTTGTCCACGCTGGAGTGCAGTGGCGTGATCTTGGCTCACTGCAACCTCCACCTCCTGGGTTCAAGCGATTCTCATGCCTCAGCCTCCCAAGTAGCTGGGATTACAGGCACCCACCACCACGTCCCACTAATTTTTGTATTTTTAGTAGAGACAGGGTTTCGCCAAGTTGGCCAGGCTGGTCTTGAACTCCTGGCATCAACTGATCTGCCCACCATGGCCTCCCAAAGTGCTGGGATTACAGGCGTGAGCAGTGCCGTTTTTAGACTAGACTGTCCAGCTGGGAGCTTAGGGGTGACAGGAGAATCAAACTGCAAAGGCTTTCCCAGTGAAACCCTACCTGTGTTTACACACAGCTTCCCATAAATATGTCCCCATTTGTTTAAGACAGGAAGTAGTTAATTCTCCTTACTGCCAAGAAATTAAACATCAAAATAGAAAGAAAAGAAAAGAAATGTAAGCACCAGGCACACACTGCCTTTTCTGACTTCACTTGTATTATTAGGGGTGCAGCATACAGTGTATTCATAGCTTAAGTGTATTCTTAAATGCCCACTTTTAATTTCATGTTAAATTTGCTTCATGAAGAAGGTCTGGGTGACTGGGTCTGCCTCTTCCATGGCAGCCAGTCTTCTCTTTCTGGAAGGGTCTGGAATAATCTTTCTCATGATGCAAATACTTCAGAGGCAACACAGTGCACTTAAGGAAAGAGCCCCGTTTTTGGGAGTCAGAAAGATTTAGGCATGACTCTTAGTTCAATTCTGTGTTCTTTGGCAAGTTATTTAATCTCTCTGAGCCTCATTTTTCTCCTCTGTACAATGGCCCAACCTAACTCCATTGGCTACTAGCTGTGTGACTTCGGGATAGTTACTTAACCTCTCTGGGACTTAGTTTTCTTTTATTTGTGAGATGGGAGACACAGTGACACCTATCTCAGAATTGTTGCTGATATTAACTAAGTCATTTGCATAAAGTGATTAGCACAACAGCCCTGGCACTAGCATAGTGTGAGGATTTGCAACGAGGATGATGATGGGTTGTGTGAGGCCTTCGTGACATGCACCTGGTACATGGTAGGTACTTGCCCAACCCTCATCCCTCCCCACTCCTCCCAGCCGCCTCAATTTCTCTTTGTGGTTCTCACCCGTGAAAGGTTCTCAGGTGCCTCTTCAGGGCAGTCCTTACACCTCCAGTCTTTCTCTTTGTTGACCTGTCTTGTGATTTTTGCTCTGCTCTAAAACCGTGTGTCTGCACTGACCTCAATATCGCCTGTCAGCTTGGAGTGTTGTCTTTGGGCTGAGGCTGACTGGATGACTCAGCATTACTCTTAAAGAGGTCAGTCCCATTCTTCAGCCTAAGTAATAGTCAATAACAACAATTCACCTTGAATACAGGCATAGAAGATTCAATATGGCCCTAGGTGCTTGGCAGCTCAAGAAGTAGAGTCTGTTTTCTCACTCTTGGAAACATGCGACTTTCTTTAATGAAATGAATGTGGTAAAAGTGACACTGTCTGACTTACAAAGCTGGAACATTTTCTTGTGGATGTCACATAAGGAAGCTGGCCGGACCTACTGGAAGATGAGAGGCCACACAGGGATGAACTGAGGTGCCACAGGGGAAGCTAGTACCAACAGCCAGACTGTGAAACCTACACCAAATCCTCAACACACATAGGGTCCATGTCCCTAACTAAACCACGCTAGTACCATAGAAAATGCAAGTTAAATAGATGTCTTCAGAGAGGTTCTTTTTGGAAAAGGTATTCAATTCAGCATACATGCCTTGAGGTCATCTCAAGGGAGTGTTGGGTGACAGGGATTGGCAGATACGGGCCTTGGTATCGGGAGGGTTCACCCAGGGTTGCAAAGCCCTTTGAGGCTTCAGTCATGACAAGAACACCCTGAATGCAAAATGTTCCTACTTTAATTGCAGAAGGGATTGGCAGTGGAGAGGTACACACACATTTTATTATTAGGTGAATGAAATGCCCTCTGGGAATAGTTCCACCTCTCTGACATCATTGACTCAGTTCTGCACACATGTTGAAGGCGTTGGAGCCGGGAGAATGGAGATCAGAGCAAGATTGTGTCTGGAGGTTCAGTCGGCATCAGATGCTCTTTGTTTTCCGACAGGAACTCTGTCAACTTAGAGTCCAGAGCTCAGAGTAGAAAGGAAAAGCCACCAACGTGGGAAAGTGATTTTACAGAATCTGAACGGGAAATGCAAGTCTTTCCTCAGGCCTGGGGGAAGCGTGTAGACTAAACAAGTAAAACAGGAGTATGGTGGTGGGGAATAGGAGAGTGGTTACAAACGTGGCCCTTGGTGTCAAACAGATCTAAATTCAAGTTCTGCTATTGCCATTTATTAGCTAGGCGTAGCAGTTATATACTTTTGTGTAACAAACCACCCCAATGTTTCGTGGTTTGAATTAACAACCATGTATTTGTTCAAAAATTCTGCAGTTTGGATGGGACTCAGTTGGGAGGCTCCTCTGCCGGTCTTTGCAGGGGTTACTTGTGTGGCTGCAGCGAGGGCTGGCAGGTCCCAGGGGGAATGTCTAGAATCACTGGGACAGGTGGGCCTCTTTCTCCATGTGGTCTTTTCTCATCCTGGTCTCTCATGTGAGAAACATGTGAAGACAAGGTTTCTTCCCATGGTGGAGGGAGGGACCATTCCAAAAAGGGAAGCCCCTTTATAAGTGCACGTGCATTTATAAAGCCTTTGTTTGCATTACATTTACTGATGTCCCATTGGCCAAAGCAAGTCACATGGTCAAGTTCTGAGTTAATATGGGAGGGAGGGTGAATTATAGAAGGATATAGATACTGGGAGGTGGAATTCACTGGAGATCATTAATATAATAATATACTGGCAGCCCGGGGCAAGCTTTTAATTTCTCCAAGTGTTGGTTTTCTGATCTGTAAAATGAAAATAATCTTCGATGTATTACTTGGAAATAGGCTGGATCCATGTCATGAAAAACTCCAACAAAGTATGGTGTGAAAAACTGAGGATTTTTTCCCCCTCATGCGACATGATATCTGGGTTTGGCATTTGGTAGTGTTTAGTTCAGAGGCTAAATAATATCATGGTGTAAGTCTCTGTAATTCTCTTGGCTTTTCCCTCATGGTAATAAGATGGCTGTAATAGTTCCAGCCTTCTCTCTCTCTTTCTTTTTCTCTCTCTTTTTCTCTCTCTTTCTTTTTCTTTTTCTTTCTTCCTTTCTTTCTTTCTTTCTTTCTTTCTTTATTTCTTTCTCTCTTTCTCTTTCTCTCTCTCTCTTTCTCACTCTCTCGCTCTTTCTCTCTTTCCTTCCTTCCTTCCTTCCTTTCCTTCTTTCTTTCTTTTTCTCTTTTTTTTTTTTTTTTGACAGAGTCTTGCTCTGTCACCTAGGCTAGAGTGCAGTGACACAATCTGAGCTCACTGCAGCCTTCACCTCCTGGGTTCCAGCAATTCTCCTGCCTCAGCCACCCGGTTGGCTGGGATTACAGGCATGCGCCACCATGCCTGGCTAATTTTTTGTATTTTTAGTAGAGATGGGGTTTCACCATGTTGGCCAGGCTGGTCTGGAACTCCTGACCTCAGGTGATCCACCCGCCTTGGCTTCCCAAAGTGCTGGGATTACAGGTGTGAGGCACCATGGCTGGCCTCAATGTCTTTCTAAGAGCCAGAAATGGGTAGAGCAAACAGCACAAGGTATGCTTCAGTGGGGACAGCCTTCCTCTGACAGAGCTTTCCCAGAAGCCCTATCCACTCACATCTCATTGGCCAAAACTGTGTCACATGGCCACCTCTAACTGCAAGGGAGTTTACGAAATATTATTTTTTAATATGGGTACATTGTTTCCTCTCCCAAATAAGATTCTGTTAGTAAAAAAGGAAGAGTGAAGTGGAGAATATGTATTGGGTAGGCATCTAGCGGTGACTGCTGCCCCCATGCCCACCTCACAAAGTTGCCATGTGCATAGTAGGTGCTCATTAAAGAGTAGCTGTTTTTTTTTTCTTTTTTTTAAATTCATTTGATAGCCTCTACTAGCTAGCTGGTCCATCTGTTTCCCTACCATATCTCTTCCCCAAGGAGCAGGAAGAGGGGGAGCTCTGAGTTGTCCTGCAACTCTTGTCTTCCTGGTATTCTACATGGTTCCTGTATCAGTTCATGATACCTACATAACAACCACCCAGAAACTCAGTGGGATAAAATAACAAGCATTGTTATTGCTTGCAAGTCTACAGGTAAGCTGGATGGTCCCTCTAGTTTCACCTGGGCTCATCCATCCATCTGAGGTTGGCTGAGGGTCAGGGAGGTGGCTCTGCTGATCTTGGCTGGGCTCTCTCACATGTTTGGGGATCAGAACTGCAAAGAAACATTGAAAGCAGTAGATACAAGGAAGGGTGAAGAATAGCAGACATTTTCATAATCAATCTCTCTCAGCTTCTATCTCATGTTTCGGGAGACCACAGTGCCCTGGCATCATGGAAGGACCCAAGAGATTCTGTTCTGTCAACCTTGGCCCACAGCAACCATGTGGAAAATCTGTTTCCTTATGAATTGTACCTCCTTGGTTGTCTTAGACAGCTTGGGCTGCTGTAACAGGTTACCATAAACTGGGTGGCTTATACATAACAGAAATTTATTTCTGATAGCTCTAGAGGCTGGGAAGTCCAAGATCAAGGCCCAGCAAATTCAGGGTCTGGCAAGTGCCCACCTCCTTGTTTACAGACGGCTGTCTCACTGTGTCCTCACATGGCAGAAGGGGCACAAAATCTCTAGAGTCTTTTTTAAAGGGAACAAATGAAGGATTTGCTCTCATAACCTAGTCACCTCCCAAATGTCCCATCTCCTAACCCCATCACATTGGGCATTAGGTTTCAATAAATAAATTTTGGGAAGGCACAAACATTCAGCCCACAGCATTGATTCTGTTATTTCTCCAATCAGGGCTTCCTTGGGTCCTCTCACTCTCAGTTTTCTGCAGAAATTCTCAGGAACCAGCTTTTATTTTCACTTGATTGGTCTTCTTGCTCTTCTCTCCTGGGTCCAGAGAGAACAAGAACCTTGGACAATCAGCCTTTGCCTAAGAGCACCAGACATAGCCATTTGTCCTTTGGTTCACACCCAGTTGTGCCTGGGCACTCTCTCCCATCAACTGGCTCTGCCCTTACCCAGCTCAACAACTTGGAGGAAAAGGGTAGCCCTCCTCCTACACAGCTGAGGAACCTGAGGTAAGGCCTTGCTCCCAATCTAAAGGTTCCAGGTAGCTCTCACCCTACAAGCTCTTATTCTCTACTGAAGACCTCTTCTCCTTTAGAACTTTCTTAACGAGTCCAAACTGGCTGAATGTACCCAGCCAAGTCAGCTCCCTGGGCCATATCCCTTAGGCCTTTGCTTCTGAGGACTTCAGTCCTTCATGTGAAGTGCTTATGAGCACAGACTCTGGAGCCAGGTGGCCTGGGTCCTAAGCATGGCCCCTCTGTTGCTTGAGGACTGTGTGATTTGGGGCCAATTATTTACTTCTCTATAAAATGGGAATAGTGATAGCCTGCATCATGGTTATTATGAGAATTAATTGAGCTCTTACCCATGCCTCTCCCAGAACCATGCTGGCACATAGCAAACACTGTGTAAGAGTCAGCCATTCTTGTTATTCCCCAGATTTTGCAGTGTTTGTCACTCTTAACAGCCCCTTCGTTTTGGTCCTCTTCACTCTAAACTTTCAGTATGCATTGATTATCTTGGATGCTGCTTTATTTATTTGTTTTAAATTCATTTAGTCTTTTCTTTCTTTATATATCGAACATTTCCTTCATGCCTTCTATATATTAGTTACTGTGTTGGACACAGGGGATTAAACAAAATTAACTAGTTATGGTCTTTGTCCTCATGAAGACAGACGATTTAACAAACACTTTGAAAATCCCAACAATAAAGTACAATAAAAATGTGATAAATTACCCATTGGTAAGGGCAGTAGGATGCTATAGGAGCCCAGAGTGAAAGCAACTACTATACATTTTTTAGTATTTGAAGATGCTGTTACAACACATTATACTGGGATAACTAGGCCATTACCTGGGGCTTACAAATATTTTGGTTACACATCACTTGGATTTTGATGGTAACCAGATTTGACTTGTATTTAGTGGCTGCATTTTCTCAGGGTTGAAAAAGAGGTCACTTCTTTCAGAAATGGGACTTGACAGCGAGTAGCGTTTCTCCTCTGTGAACCACTTGCTATAGCAGGGAGGACCATCACATGCCACTGGGTATAACTTCATTTGTTGTAGCTTGGTTGATGGGCCAAGTTGTTACAGTAACGGAGTTTAAAAAATTAATCTACATTTCTATCAAAGATATTTATGGACCTAGTTTAAAAAGCCAAACAGTATTAAAAGGTTGATACTGAAATAGCAGTCTTCTGACCCACTCCTCCCCCAGCTAATTCCTCCTCCATTGAGGCAAACACTGCCAAGTCTTTTTTTTTTTTTTTTTTTTTGAGATAGAGTCTTGTCTGTCACCCCAGGCTGGAATGCAGTGGTGCGATCACAGCTCACTGCAGCCTCAACCTCCTTGGCTCAGGTGATCCTCCAACCTCAGCCTTCTAAGTAGCTGGTACTTCAGGCATGTGCCACCTGGCTAATTCTTTTGTATTTTTTGCAGAGACAGGGTTTCACCATGTTGCCCGGGCTGGTCTTGAACTCCTGGGCCCAAACAGTCCTCCTGCTTTGGCCTCCCAAAGTACTGGGATTACAGGCACAAGCCACCGTGCCTGGCTCCAAGTCTTTTTAAACGCTTCTTATGGTCTTTACCTCTGGGTTTCTCAATAACATGTGTATATTACCATTTCTTGATTTCTTCACTCTGGATACTTTTATACCAGACTCACTCCCCCAGTGCTCACCCACACTTCCTCTGCCTTCGGAGCCTTCTGATATAGTTATACAACAATGTTTGATCAAATCAGTAATCAGGCTATAAGAAATAGAAAGAATGAATAAGACCCGCTATTTGATAGCACAGCAGGGTGACTGTAGTCAATAATAACTTACTTGTACGTTTTAAAATAACTAAAAGAGTATAATTGGATGTTTGTAATGCAAAGATAATGCTTGAGGGGATGGATACCCCATTCTCCATGATGGGATCATTATGCATTCCAGGCCTGTATCAAAACATTTCATGTACCCCATCAACCTATACACCTACCATGTACCCACAAAAATTAAAAATTAAAAAAAATCAATATCCAGATGTTGTACTATTTTGACCACGTAAATACTTCTGAACCATGTAGTTGACCATGCTTCCTTTTCTTTCTCATGCAGAGCTTTTGTTTTCCTAGAATTAATAATGGCCTCATTTTTCTATTTGCTTAATTTTCTTTGTATTTACGTTAATTCATGGCGTCTACCAGATCTTAAAATTCCTTTGAATACCAGCATGTCAACTTCCATTTTTGTCTTAGCTACGTCTCTCCTGGACCATTTTTGGACTTGCCTCTGGAAAGATTCCAGATTGCAATTCTGTCACTTCCCTTTACTCATCTTAGGATTCCCTTTCATTACCCTAGAAACTCTAGGGATTCCTTTTACCTCTTTCCCATGTTAAATCCTTTTTTTTTTTTTTTTTTAAATATGGCATCTCATTCTGTTGCCCAGGCTGGAATGCAGTGGTGTGATCTCAGCTCACTGCAACCTCCACCTCCTGGGTTCAAGCAATTCTCATGCCTCAGCCTCCTGAGTAGCTGGGACTACAGGCGTGTGCCACAATGCCTGGCTAATTTTTGTATTTTTAGTAGAGATGGCGTTTCACCACATTAGCCAGGCTGGTCTCAAACTCCTGACCTCAAGTGATCCATCTGCCTCGGCCTCCTAAAGTGCTGGGATTACAGATGTGAGTCACCGCGCCCAGCCCCATGTTGAATCCTTTATTTCCTTGACTTCATATCATCTTGTTTTAAAAATTTGCTTCCAGGGCCAGGCGCGGTGGCTCATGCCTGTAATCCCAGCACTTTGGGAGGCCGAGGGGGGCAGATCACGAGGTCAGGAGATCGAGACCATCCTGGTTAACACGATGAAACCCCGTCTCTACTAAAAATATAAAAAAATTAGCTGGGCGTGATGGTGGGCGCCTGTAGTCCCAGCTACTCGGGAGGCTGAGGCAGGAGAATGGCGTGAACCCAGGAGGTGGAGCTTGCAGTGAGCCGAGATCGCGCCACGGCACTCCAGTCTGGGTGACAGAGCGAGACTCCATTTCAAAAAAAAAAAAAAAAAAAAAATTTGCTTCCTTGTTTTGGTGGAGCATATTAATAAATGGAGTTCATAAATGTCTGAAAATAACTTTATTCTACCACCACGACTGATTGCTAGATTGGCTGGTAAAAATTTTAGTTTAGACATCATTTTCACTCAAAGTTTCAAAAGCATTGCTCCATTGTTTTCCAGATTCCATTATTACTATTGAGAAGTTTGATGTCATTCTGATTTCAAATCCTCAATATGTGGCCTATGTTTTTTTCCTCCAGGAAATTTTAAGATATTTTCCTGTGCCAGCTCTTCTAAAATCTTACAGTGAGCCTTGGTGTTAGTCTCTTTTTTCATTCTTTGTGCTGGAAACTCAGGCAGCCCTTTTAATGTGGAGACTAATGTGTTCAGTTTAGGAAGTTTTTCCTGTATTTGTTCTTTAATAACATCTTTCTATGTTCTCTGTTCTTTCTTTCTTTCTACAACTCCTGTTATTCAATGTTGACATTTTTAGACTGACTCATAGATTCTAATTGTCTTGTCTTGTCTTTCCTATTTACATTACTTGCCTACTTTCTGGGTGATCTTTTCAACTTCTAAGTCTTCCATTTTTAAAAAAAATCTTTTCTGTAAGATTATTTTAATTTCCATGCTCATACTTTGAATTTCTAAGAGCTCTTTCTCATTCTATACATTTTACAGATATATCCCCCCAACACTGTTGAAGCACCAGTTTTCTGTTTCAAATATTCAATGACTTCTCATCTTTCTGAGAAGTTTCAGAAGTTTTGCTTTTTAATTTTCATTCTGCTCTTCTCGCTCTCTGTTTCCTTTGCATTCCTCCTGTCTGTTGTCTTTTTCGTTTGTCATTCATGTCAGAAGCTTTTCCTCTAATGTTTGGTGACTCCCGGTTGCCCACAGTGGAAGGTGAAGCACAGGGGTTTCCTTCCAGAGTGATGAATGTCTTGGACCTAGATAGAGGTGGTGGTTGCACAGCATTGAGAATGTGCTAAATACCACTGATTGTTCACTTTAAAATGATTGCTTTTATGTTACTTGAATTTCACCTCAATACAAATAATTTTTTTAAAGCAAAGCACAGAACTGCATTGAGAGTAAAATCTCTGTCATGTATGGAATGTCCACCATTGACTGGTAGACCTGGTCCTGGGAGATTGGCCAGGAACCCTGTCATTTCGCTACGGATAGCTAAGTGTCAGTACCTGTAGGCCTTTCCCACTAGACAAGACAGTTTAGTCTTGCTGGCAAAGGGTGTTTTTCTGACTGGGTTGGGGTATAAGTCTGGATCTAGTGTTTGGGAGCTCAAGAATGGACAAAGAGCATGCCAGCCTTCACCTAATTCCCTTGTTCTTAGTACAGAATCTCATGCCTCTCTGAGGTACTCCTGATGTCTCTGAGGTCAAAGGCACTTGGGTTCAACCTCTCCAGGGAGTAAACTCTGCTGCAGTTTTCTACCAGGTTAGGGAGGAACAATCTCCTGGCTACATAGATCTGGGGAGGTCTAGGTTAGGGAGGGATACAGTCCCTTCACTGCATAGATCTGGGACGATGTAGCTATTCCTTGCACTGATCTTATTTTTAATCTCACCCACATCCCTGCTGTCCTGGGTTCTTGGACCTCCAAATCCTGAGACTGCAAATTTCCACTTTCTTCCTGATACTCAGTTCCTTTTCTTACCCCCAGACACTTAGGTTTCATCACTCCACTGACCAGATTGTGCATTGCTTCTTTCAAGCACTAAGATACCATCTTTTTGACTTAAGATGTTCCTCTGGGAGGTTGCTTCCGAAGCACCATCCCCTGTTGGAGGGCAGTGTGGTAGGACACATAAACACAGGACTGCTGACTTCCCTCCCCAAAGAATCTCAGCATCTAGTCTTCACCATGGCATGGACTGGCTGTTTGGGTATGAATATGTTACAGAATCTCTCTCTGCTCCTGATTTGTAAATATTTCCTGATCTGTAAAATGATAGGTTGAAGGCGGATACCCTTTCCAGTCCTCAAATCCAATGCTTGGGCAGAAGTCTTTCAAAGATCAGGTGTCAGCCTCTTTGGGAGTGGAGAATTACTGGGAGCCCTTTGAAACCTCATGTGGTCATTTAATCCTGCCCACATCTTTGCAGCAACATTTTCAGCCAAAAGTATAAAGCCCATGAAAAGTAAGCAAATACTTGAAACACAAGATAATCTCTAAGGGACAGGACTATTGAATAGAGCAGGTGACTAGAGCTTAGAGTGTTGGCTGAACTTGATATACTTTAAATTTTCATGCATAAAGGATAGCTAAGAGTTCGCCCTTATACTCCTCTACTCAGTGACCCCTTCCCTTCCTCGGATCATCTTCCGATCCCTAACATTCCAAATTGTGGTTGAAACTAGAGTATCGGCAGAACTCATACAACGGCGGCTCATCAGCACTTTAGAAAAGCCAAAACAAACCAATGGAGCAAAACAAATATTAACATTGTAAAAGAATATAAAAGGCAGCCTCTTTTGCAAACGGAAGCTGCTTCTGGGGTACAGAGGGAGAGAGAGGTGGTTTTGCAGATCCCCTTTGGACCTGAAGGGAATGCAGATACCTTTAAAGCTGCACTCCTCAGAAACTACGGTATTTCTGAAGCTCTGCTGTTAATTTTAGAAAATAAGAATTCAAGGCAAGTTTGTGTGGTTTTGGTTTCAGAGCTCTTGAGAGAAACTTCTCTTTTAACTTGTGATTCTCAAGTGATTCCTTTCTCCTCCCTCTTCCATCTTTCATTTCCCCTTTGTCTTTGTGTACCTGTTTGTTTCATCTCTCTCCCCTCTCTTCCTTCTCTCCACAACCCTCATCCCATCTTTCTCTCTCCCTTTCCCCAATGCCTCTGAGCCCATCCTCCACCCTGCTGGTAGACCTGGGGGTAGCAGAAGGTGGGAGACCTCCACATCTGACTGCCCTTTCTGTAACTGCCCAAGGGGTTTACCTTGCCTGCTGCCTAGACAGAGCCAATTTATCAAGACAGGGGAATTGCAACAGAGAAAAAGTACTTGATGCAGAGCCAGCTGTGCAGGAGACCGGAGTTTTATTATTACTCAAATCAGTCTTCCTGAGCATTCCGAAAGCAGACTTTTTAAGGACAACTTGGAGAGTGGGGGGAAGCTAGTGAGCTGGGAGTGCTGATTGGTCAGAGATGAAATCATAGGGAGTGGAAGCTGTCTTCTTGCACTGAGTTCCTGGGTGGAGGCCACAAGATCAGACGACTCAGTTTATCAATCTGGATGGTGCCAGCTGATCCATCAAGTGTAGCGTCTGCAAAATGTCTCAAGCACTGATCTTAGGAGCGGTTTAGGGAGGGTCAGACTCTTGTAACCTCCAGCTGCATGACTCCTAAACCATAATTTCTAATCTTCTGGCTAATGTTAGTCCTACAAAGGCAATTCTTGCTTAGTCCCCAGGCAAGAAGGAGGTCTGCTTTGGGAAAGGCCTGTTTTAAAGGGCAGTTTTAAACATCTTTGTTTTTATAAACTATAATCTAAGTTTCTCCCAAAGTTAGTTCAGCCTATGCCCAGGAATGAACAAGGACAGCTTGGAGGTTAGAAGCAAGATGGATTTGGTTAAGTTAGATCTCATTCACTGTCTCAGTCTCAATTTTGCAAAAGTGGTTTCATTTCCCTCCAGCCCCTGACCTTGTCTGCTTGCTCCAGGCCCCCCAGATCAATCCCTTTGGGTCCTAGTGTTTATCTTCCAGGTTGAAAGTTTTAAATGCAGCCCAGAGTGAGGCTGCAGAAGCTGCTCAGGGGAAGTCCCAGGTGATGACTTCCCGCTAGGCCTGCAGGACACCATCCAGTGCCCATGGAGGGGGCACCAACTAGGGGCTCAGCACTCAGAGGTTGTGCCTCGAGTGATTAACAAGCCCGTGACAGCAGAGAGCTTGTTCTGCATGGGCCACCCTGGTTTTCTCACTTCTCTGAAAAATCTAATTTCCCTTCAGTCCGTTTTTGCTTGATTCTGTCTTTTTTCTCTTTGGGGCAAAGTCTTAAATCCCACATGTCTGTTTTAACTGAGAAAGGCTTGGGGAGGACAGATGACGAGAAAGAAGCTCATAAGGTGAAATTGCATTGTTCTGCAGCATTCTAGAAAAACCTTTGTGGTTTTGGTCCAATAGATTTTTTTTTTTTTTTTTTTGAGATGGCGTCTCGCTCTGTCACCAGGCTGAAGTGCAGTAGCATGATCTCATCTCACTGCAACCTCTGCCTCCAGGGTTCAAGTGATTCCCCTACCTCAGCCTCCCGAGTAGCTGGGCTTACAGGCACGTACCACCACACCCAGCTAATTTTTTGTATTTTAGTAGAGACGGGGTTTCACCATGTTGGCCAGGATGGTCTCAGTCTCCTGACCTTGTGATCCACCCGCCTTGGCCTCCCAAAGTGCTGGGATTACAGGTGTGAGCCACCGTGCCCAGCCAGTCTGATAGATTTTAAGTTGCCTAAAAGGTGGGAGGGGAAACTCTGTTTCTTTTGATATGTTAAATTGAGTCAGCTTTTTTTTTTTTTTTTTGCCACCCTTGATAAATGATTGGATTCATGAGCTTGCTTTTTAAAAGGAGTATATTTAAAAACATACCTGCGCTCAAAAGGACCCTGGAGTGCCTGTCAAAAATGATACAAAATCCTGAGCCCAGAGACAAATGGAAATCCAGCTGGTCTACCAAGAAAGATCACATGACATCCTGAGGCCTTGAGATTCAGATGGGAAAGCACTCGGGAGGTGGGTGGATCCACATATGTTTCCCAGCTGATTTGCTGTGCAATTTTGAGCCATTAGTCCCTGCTCCACTGTTTCCTTATGTGCAAAATCTGAAAGCACAAAATCAATCCTGAAGTGAATTTTCATGGCATCTGAGGTCTAAGGAAGAAGTGTTTTGCAGTAGACATAGATTACACGCAGACAAGGCAGAATTGGCTGGGGCTGGTTCCTCAAGATCTGGGTGCCTGGTTTTCTCCATTTGCTCATCTTTTTTGATCAACCTTTCCCAACAAGCAAGTTGGAAGACATTTAATGTTTTTATTTTTGATTTAAATTATTCCTTTGCTACATGTAATATCAGCCTGTGACATAGCTATTATTATTACAATTGCTGTTTCCCAGCTGAAGAATCTGAAACTCAATTAGGTTGGGTGACTCACTCAACATCATACAGTTGGGGACTGGGAAAGTTTTCCCATCATCTGGGTTTTCTGATTCCCAAATCCATGTGCTTGCTTTTCTCCAGACACAAAAATGAGGTGCGTCTCTAGCTTTAAGAATTATTGGAGCAAAAAGTGTTAGTGTCAGGGCTAAGAAAATAATTTTGATAAATTCTTATTTTTACCCTTAATGAACAGGGAAGATTTTGTCTGTCAAAGCACAAAGGTACCAACTCTTATTAAGTAATAATGGCTGCATTTCCCAAGATCACTATCTTAGCAGAATCTCAGCCTTGAAAAGTACACTGGGAATGGTCTGTTGGATATTTTGGGCCAGATCTATACCAGGGGAAATAATCTGAGTGACTTGGAAGAGCTTTTTTAAGTCCACCAAGCACTGTGATGAGGTCATGCGTCATCAGAGACGTCATTTGCTTCTCTCAGAGGCTCTCCAATACTCCCATTCTCATCAGCAGATCTCGAACTCATTAGCCACGGGGCCAAAACAGGAGCTAAAGAACCATCTGGAAGAACTGAATTTACAAGGAGCCAAGAGCCCCTGTCATTAAGCCAATTCACTGAAAAAAAAAAAAAAAAAGACACAAAAGAGAATTTGGAGTGCTCAGGGGTGCTCCTCTTGGATTGCCAGGAAGTTGTCATTAGAGGTTAATGACAGTGTGTTTGGGATGATTGCTGTTCTTTAAGAAATTATTCAGGGCTGGATGTGGTGGTTCACGCCTATAATCCCAGCACTTTGGGAGGCCAAGGCAGGCAGATACTTGAGGTCAGGAGTTTGAGACCAGCCTGGTCAACATGGTGAAACCCCATCTCTACTAAAAATATAAAAATTAGCTGGTGGTGGTGGCGTGTGCCTGTAGTCCCAGCTACTCAGGAGGCTGAGGCAGGAGAATCGCTTGAACCCCGGAGGCAGAAGTTGCAGTGAGCCGAGCCGAGATTGCATCATTGCACTCCACACTGGGCAACGGAGTAAGACTCTGTCTCAAAAAAAAAAAAAAAAAAAAAGAAAGAAAGAAAGAAAGAAATGATTCAGTAAGGATGCGAAAGAAGAAGAAAGTAGGAATTGTAAGACCTGGATCCTAATTCTCGATCTGTTACCATCTACTCCTGTGACCTGGAAGAATTCACCTCTCCTTTCTTGTCCTCATTTTGGTAATTCTCACAATATTTCAAATTTTTCATTGTTATTATATCTGTTATGGTGGTATGTAATCAGTGATCTTTGATGTTATCATTGTAATTGTTTTAGGGCACCATGAACCATTCTTATATGAGATGACAAACTTAATTGATGAATGTTGTGTCTGTTCTTACTGCTCCACCGAAAAACCATTCCCTTATCTCTCTCCCTCTCTGTGGGCCTCCCTATTCACTGACACACAAAAATATTGAAATTAGGCCAATTAATAACCCAACAGTGGGCTCTAAGTGTTAAAGTGAAAGGAAGAATTGTATATCTCTTACTTTGCATCAAAAGCTAGAAATGATTAAACTTAGGAAAGCATGTCAAAAGCCAAGATGGGCTAAAAGCTAGATCTCTTGTGCTAGTTTGACAAATTGTGTATACAAAAGAAAAGTTCATTAAGGAAATTAAAAGTGCTACTCCAGTGAACACACAAATGATTAAAAAAGAGAGAGAGAGACAGCCTTATTGCTGATATGAAGAAAGTTTTAATGGTCTGGATAGAAGATCAAACTAACCACAACATTCCCTTAAGCCAAAGCCTAATTCAGAGCAAGGCCCTAACTCTCTTAAATTCTATGAAGTCTATGAGAGGTGAGGAAGCTGCAGAAGAAAAGTGTGAAGCCAACAGAAGTTGATTCATGAAGTTTAAGGAAAGAAGCCATCTCTATAACATAAAAGTAGGAGGTAAAGCAGCAAGTGCTGATGGAGAAGCTGCAGCAAGTTACCCAGAAGATCTAGCAAAAATGACTAAGGTGGCATTGTCTTACAGGACATGCTGCAACACAGATGAACCTTGAAAATGTTATACTAAGCAAAAGAAGCCAATCACAAAAATCCACATGTAGCATGATTCCATTTATGTGAAATATCCAGGATAGGCAAATCCATAGAGACAGAAAAGTAGATTAGTGGTTGCCTAGGGCTCAGGTGTGGAGGGAAATGGGGAGTGACTGTTAACGGGTATGGGGTTTCTTTTCGGTGTAATGAGGACATTCTAAAATTGGGGCAATGGTTGCACAACTCTGTGACTGTATTAAAAAAACTATTGAATTGAACACTTTACATGAATGAATTGTATAGTATGTAAATTTCTCAATAAAGCCATTATAAAGGCCGGGTGTGGTGACTTACACCTGTAATCCCAGCACTTTGGGAGGCCGAGACGGGTAAATCACGAGGTCAGAGTTTGAGACCAGCCTGGCCAACAGTGAAACCCCGTCTCTTCTAAAAATACAAAAATTAGCTGCACATGGTGGTGCGCACCTGTAGTCCCAGCTACTCGGGAAGCTGAGGCAAGAGAATCACTTGAACTCAGGAGGCAGAGGTTATAATGAGCTGAAATTGCACGACTGCACTCCAGCCTGAGCCAAAGAGTGAGACTCTGTCTCAAAACAAAACAAAAAAAAGCTGTTATAAAAAATAATGTCTGTTTTTAACTTAAAAAAATAAACTACTTAACTACTTCTTAAAACCACTGGATTGAACACTTACCATGGGTAAGTTGCATAGTACATAAATATCTCGATAAAGCTCTTATAAAAAAAAATTGGCCTGTTTTAAAAAGAGAAACTACTTCTCGACAATGAAAGTGAAAAAATAAACTAGAGCAGTGCTTAACCCGTGGAAGGCCCTGGTTACCTCCAGGCTCCCTTTTCCTGTCCCCCTCTTTTGTCCAGCAATGGTAAGACTTAATTGAGGTATACAAACTCCTGTCATCCCTGGAGATTCTAGCAAATACTGGTGACCATCTGAAGGGGGGTTGTAGAAAGTTCCCTCAGTGACAGGGATGCTGGGTCTTGGTTCAGATTTTCTTGAAAGTGAAGCCTGGGGCATAGACTTGGGGCAGCTCATTGATCGAGAGGTGATCCCAGGAACCAGCAGGGAGGAAGCAGGTGCATTACCAAGGTCACTGCCATGAGCATGGAGCTCAGCTCTCCAAGTCCTCCTGAGGAGTGTACAGAACACCTCCCCAGATGGGCTGCTAGAAGGGTGGGAGGCTGGGCCACTCTACACCAACTGCTCTCCCCACTGGATGAGGACTGCCCCGTAGAACATTAACTCTCCCACACTCTCAGGCTATACTTGTGTGGGAGCCATAGGAGCTACCACAAGACCCTGGAGCTCAAAGCAGAACGATGTGTACAGCATGCCTCAGGGGAGACGCTATGAATAAAGTGAATCTGAACTCACATGGGAGTCTACCACCACTGTGACTGAAATCAGAGGTGGCTCACAGATGGGTTATGAGCACCAGAGGCACCCGCCACAGTGGGCAATTTAGGCTCACATAAGTAATTTAATGGCTATGACTAGCATTTTCAAAAAATGAAGGAAAAGAGAGTAACATAGAAGTTATCAAATGCATTACATCTGAAAAGTCTTATTTCAGGAATTTTTTGTTTTGTTAACATGCTAAATGTGCCTCTGTATATATGTGTATTTCAGGTTGCAAACTACAGCGTTTTCATTCCTATGGGTCAGGGTGAAAAATGCTGCTCAGCTGGAATTATCTCTTAATTCTTTCAGAAAATGAGGTTCCTTTTAAGTTGTATTTTTAGGTTATAGCAGGGTAGTTGAAAAGCTGTGCATCCTGGTGAAAGAACATGGAATGAGTCCAAGGAGATTTGGACCCTGGTCTTGCCTCTGTTTCTTAGGAATAATATGATCTCAGACTATTTGCCTTGAAGAGTCCTGGTATATCAGTCAAGGTTCTCCAGAGAAACAGAAGCAATAGGATTGTAGATAGATAGATAGATAGATAGATAGATAGATAGATAGATAGATAGACAGACAATAGGTAGATAGATGATAGATGGCTAGATAGATGATAGGTAGATAGATAGATAGATAATAGATGTATAGGTAGATAGAATTATAGATGGTAGGTAGGTAGATGATAGATGATAGATAACATACACACACATATATTATTATATATAATAATATAATGTATATTATATATATGATATATATATAGAGAGAGAGAGAGAGAAAGAGAGGGAGAGAGACAGAGCGGGAGAGAGATTTTATTTTAGGAAATTGGCTCCTGCATGCCACTGTGGTGATGGCAAGTCTGAAGTCTCTAGGGCAGGCCAGCAGGCTGGAAACTCAGGTAAAGTTTCTATGTCACAGTCTCGAGGCAGACTTTCTTCTCTGGAAAACCTGTTTTTCTCTTAAAGTCTTCAACAGATTAGATGAAGCCCACTCATATTATCAAGGATAGTCTCCATTATTTTAGGTCATCTGATTGTAGATGTTAATCACATCCACAAAACACCTTCGCAGCAACACCTAGGGCAGTGTTGGATTAAACCGTTGGATACTACAGCCTGCCAAGGTGACACATAGGAAAGACCATCAACCTGATGTAGGGATTTTGAATACAGGAACATCCATGGTTCTTTTCAGTTCTGTAGTTTTTTGAATGTGAGCTCATTCTCTGAACGTCTTAAAGCTAAGTGCTTTAAAGCATCTGCAGACTGAGCCTTGGTTTCTGTTATTGGAAATTCTGAAATGTTTGAGCCCAACCCTGTGCTTAGTTTGACAGGGGAGAGGACTCAGGTCCGGAAAGGTTAACTGACTCTGTAGGGCCCCCCCCCATAAGCCTGTACTCAAATCTTTGCTGGGAGTGAGACATCTTGTCTTTCTTAGAGAGTGTGATGGGTTCCAAAATGATAGTTTGCTCTGGCCAAGTGGGGAAGGAAGTACTTTGTTTGAACAGAATCTCAACTTCACTGTGAGTTGTTCTCATTCTCCTGAACACAGGGATTGTCGTGTTTTCATTTGATGGGCAAACATTATTGAGAGCACATTTTCTATAGAGCCTGCTTCCCTTCCTCACAGGAGGCAGAGAAGGATTTCTCGACTGAAAAGGAGGGCAGCAGCTGTTCTGGGAAACTCAGCTCATTCGGCTTGGATGGGTTTTCAGTCATTGGAACCACATGTGCAAATGTGTCCGGGCCCCTCCTCTTCTCCACAGGATGACCAAAACCCAGAAGCGGGCATGTAGCTTCACGAAGGATCTTCCACGTGTTGGGTAGGGGTGGGGGGTGGGGTCTTCGGCCGGGAATGCATTGGCCACGCTCCCAGCCCACCTTCCTCCTTGCTCTCTGGCCTTCTAATCATTTAAACATGGTAGCAACTAGGCTCAACTAAAGCTTCCCATCTTGCCACATGTTTAGTTCTTCCTTTAGCGGAGATTAAGCAATGTCTGAATCAGCCAAGGTTCCAATCTCTCCTCTGTGACTTCTGAAGAGTTTAGTTTAAGCTCCAATTCTATCTGTTTTATACATTTGAGATCCGTGTAAAGTTTCACTTGAGGAAAACAAGTTCCATTGCTTAGAAAAGATCTTCCCATTGCTGAGGGTAATGGGAAGCCATCTGATTTTATAGTTTTAGATGTGATAGAATGTAATATAATGTTAAAACATAAGGGGAAAATTATGAAATCACATGCAATCCTCCAAAATACTTGTTTACAATACCTTTATTTATGTAGTCTCCTCTGTAAGAGTCAGAGTCAAAAGTTCCTGTGTCCAGTCTAAAATTATTGTTATTATTATTATTATTATTATTTTTGAGACAGACTTTGGCTCTTGTTGCCCAGGCTGGAGTGCAATGGCGCAATCTCGGCTCACTGCAACCTCTGTCTCCCCGGTTCAAGTGATTCTCCTGCCTCAGCCTCCGGAGTAGCTGGGATTACAGGCACCCGCCACCACACCTGGCTAATTTTTTGTATTTAGTAGGGATAGGGTTTCACCATGTTGTTCAGGCTGGTCTGGAACTCCTGACCTCAGGTGATCCACCTGCCTTGGCCTCCCAAAGTGCTAGGATTACAAGTGTGAGCCACCACGCCCGGCCCAGTCTAAAATAATCAACCAGGGAAAGGTGTATTGACACGAAGAAAAACATATCTTCCTTGTAACAAGTTGGGCTAGGACCTAGGAGTCTGGTCTAACATGTATGCATCAGAAGAAAGACTGAGTTAGAGCAGACGGTGATTTCGGCTGCCCCAAAAACAGCACAGTAGGTCAACCCCAGTTTTATCTCTGTTTCCCAGACCATGAGCAGCAAGTATGCCCATTCCAGTGAATCAGCAGCTACTCCCAAAGCTTGGAAGCCTGGCTCTTCATCAAATGGACAATAATTTCCCAAGGTTCTTGTTTCAAACTCAGAGAGCATAAATGTCAAGCCAGGAATGCAACCTACATTTTAGATGGGAGAAAGCCCTGTTTCTCACAGAAACCTCAAGTGATCTCTAGTTTCTTTTTTTCCTCCTGTGTATGTAATTAAACAAAATAAAAAGCTACTGCTTGTCCTCGGAGGAAAAATAAACACCTTTGGAAATTAAAAAGTCCTGGTGTGATGTTGACTTTTACTTGTGATTTTGCTCATGGGAAATAGTAGTTACATTAGAGCCAAATGTATTCAGAGAAGTCATTTTGATGTTTCAGTCTAACCAAAAGGGCAATGACCATTTAACACTCTGCTCTCTAGTTGGCTTTGCCCATGCTGGTTGGCAAAATGGCAAACAAGTGTGTGCTGTGTGTGGCAGAGGGGTTCACACCATGCTGGGTATCAGGATCCAGTGAGGTAGAGGGCTGAGAGGGGGTGTCCCCGTGAAAGCTGGTGGCAGCATAGTGTGGCTAAGGAACTCAGCCCGGCCTCTGGGGTTTCCATGAGGATCAGCATGAGATGGACCTGGGCTTAATGTTTCACACAATGCTGCCAGTGGATTTATGGATTCCCTGTCTCCTGCATTCTCCCTCTAGGCCACTGCTCTTCCTTCAACCACATCCATTTCAGATCCAAGGCTAGAAGAACGGTCTGACTTAGTCTTGTTCCAGGTCTTCTCTCTTAGGCATTTGACTTCCAGCAGAGCTGGAGGATAACTATGACCAAATATGTGGCTCAGATTTCTTAGTTTCCCAACCCTTTTTCAGTTTTCACCTGAAAAACGCAGGCATTCTTATTGAGGGTCTCTGAGCCTGGTTTTGCTCCCTTTTGCAGGAAGGCAGCAGTTTGCTCTCCCAGTTGCCTGACAGGCTACTGAAGAAGTGGGTCTGGGTGAGGTCCAAGAAGCTGGAACGTGGGTCAATTGTCAGAGATAGGGCCTGAGAGAAGATATGGTTGTCAATAACTTAGCTCAGATTTTTCTAGTGACTTTTGCTGTCTTACCTGGGGTCAACTGAAGAAGAATAAAATCTTTCTTAGCTCTCAAGAGTATTAAGCAGCTAGGTATAGTTCCCTCCAGGGTGCTCCAGATCATTCTCAGCTCAGATCCACTTCTGGTTGTAGAAGAGATTGCTAGCAGCCATTCAATAAAGAACCTACTATTATTGCTACTATATCTTCCACCTGTTGAGTGCTGGCTCACTGCCAGGGACCTTGCATACATCATCACCTATCTCAACCCTGCTATGCAGGTATTATCATTATCTCCACTTTGCAGAAGAGGAGATGGAAACTTCAAGAGGCTAATCAATTTGTCCAAGGACACACAGCTGGGCAGTGGTAGAGATAGGATCCAAACCCAGGCAGTTTGACTCCAAAGCAGTCTTTCCCCTTCCGTTATTGATGCACACTGTCTTCAATATCATTTTTATATCATCACATTTCCAAGTTCCATTCAAGCAAAAGCCCTCCTGGTAGATCCTCCTGGCTCTTTTCCCTTTTAGTTTCTTTCTTTTTCTTTTTGCTTGGCTGAGGCAGAGGACATTTATTTATTCAGCAACAAATATTTATTGATTGCTTACTGTGTCCATGCATGGTTCTGGACACTTAGGCTAGAACAATGAGCAAAAGAGAGGAGACCTCCGCCCTCATGGAGCTTATATTCCTATGGAGAGAGGCCGATATGTAAATGTTCTGAAGGAAAATAAAGGAACAAGAGAGAAAACCTCCTAGCATTACTCTGATACCAAATCCAGACAAAAATGTTACAAAAAAACCCTAAAATCCAGTATCTTTCATGAACATAAATACAAAAATTATCTTGAGATATTAACAAATTGAATACAATAATACAGAAAAAGAATAATATACTACAACCAAGTGGGTTTATCCTAGGAAGTCAAGCTCATTACCTGGGTGTGAAAATAATCTGTACAGCAAACGCCCATGACATGTAATTTACCCATGTGACAAACCTGCACATGTATCCCCTGAACATAAAATAAAAGATGGAAAGGAAAAAAACAAAATTAAAAAAAAACTTACTTATACCCAAAGACAGAGCATTATTACAGTAGGAATAGAACTTTAGAATAAATATGTTTTATATCCCCAGAGAATACAAAGATATTGTATTCACAGCAATAATAAACTAAAGATCATGACATTGAAATATTTTTAAAAAATCAGCCAAAATACTCCATCATATGAATAATCTAAAGAAGAAAAACCACATGATAATATCAATTTATGTAGGAGAACCATTTGATAATATTTGAAATGCATCAATGACTTTTTTAAAAGCTTGTCAAACTAGGTAAAGAAGAGTACTTCTTTTTTTATTTTATTTTATTTTTTTTGAGATGGAGTCTCACTCTGTCTCCCAGGCTGGAGTGCAGTGGCATGATCTTGGCTCAATGCAACCTCCACCTCCCGGGTTCAAGCAATTCTCCTGCCTCAGCCTCCCAAGCAGCTGGGATTACAGGTGCGTGCCCCCACACCTGGCTAATTTTGTATTTTTAGTAGAGATGGGATTTCACCATGTTGGCCAGGCTGGTCTGGAGCTCCTGAAGTCATGATCCGCCTGCCTGGGCCTCCAAAAGTGTTGGGATTACAGGCGTGAGCCACTGCACCCAGCCAGAAGAGTCCTTCTTTTACCTGGTAAGTGGTATTTACAAAAACCTACAGCTAACATTACACTTAATGATGAAAGGGGATGCTTTTCCCCTAAGGTTGAGAACAAGGTTGTCCTCTCTTACTACTCCTATTCAACATTATTTTGGGGGCTCTAGGCAGTGCAGTGAGGCAAGAAACGAAATAATACACACCCAGATTGGAAAGTAAGAGAGAAAACCATCCCTACTAGCAGACACCATGATTGTCTACATAGAAGACCCCAAGGAATCTATTAATAACCTAGAAAAATTAACCGAGCTTAGTAAGGTTGTGGGATACAAGGTCAACACACACAAAAATCAATCATATTTCTATATCCTAGCAATGTACAATTGGAAACTGAAATTTAAAAGTCAAGAAAATTTACAATAGCTCCTCCTCCACAAAATAAAATACTACAACAGAAACTTAACAAAAGTTGCACAGAGTCTTTATGTTGAGAGTTACAAAAAAAAAAAAAAAAATCCTGGTAGCAAAAATCAAAGAAGAAGCAAATAAATAAAGATAAACTATGTTCATGGATTGAAAGCCTTCACATAGCAAAGATGTCAATTCTCTTTAAATTCACCTATAGAATTAACACACTTTCCATCCAAATCACAGGAGGATTTTTTGTAACTTGGACTCTAAAATTTATATGGCAAGCAAAAGGAACTTGAATAGCAAAAACAATTTTTAAAAAGAAATACAAATTTAGAGAAATAATGCTGTGGTATTGGTGAAGAGATGAGCATATAGATCAATGGAACAGAACACAGAGTCCAGAAATAGGCCCATGTAAATATGACCAAGTGATTTTCTTTTCATAGACTTTATTTTTTAGAGCAGATTTAGGTTCACAGCAATATTGAGCAAAAGGTACAGAGATTTCCCACATGCCCCCAACATTCTAACATACATAGCCTTCCCCATTATCAACATCCCCCATCAGAGTAGTACATTTGTTAAATTGACAAACCCACATTGACGCATCATAACCACCCAAAGTCCGTAGTTTACATTAGGGTTCGTTATGAGTATTGTAGGTTTACAGTAACATTCTGTGGGTTTGGACAAATGTAAGGTGACATGTATCTGCCATTACAGAATCATACAGGGTAGTTTCACTGCCCCCCGAGCCCCCTGTGCTTCACCTATTGATTTCTTCCTCCCCCACAACTCCTGGCAACCACTCATCTTTTCATTATCTCCATAGTTTTGCCTTTTCCAGACGTCATGTAGTTGGAATCATAGAATATGCAGCCTTTTCAGATCGGCTTCTTTACTTAGTGATACGCATCTATGGCTCCTCCGTGTCTTTTCATGACTTGATAGATGTGTCTTTTTAGTGCTAAATAATATCCCATTGTCCAGATGTACCACAGTTTGCTTATCCATTCACTTACTGAAGGACATCTTGGTTGCTTCCAAGTTTTGGCAATTATGAATAAAACTGCTATAAACATTTGCGTGCAGGTTTTTACATGGACATAATTTTCAACATGTCTTTTCAAAAGGCAATGTCTTTTGAAGCAACCCTCGTACACTTGCTGTACAATTGCTAGATCATAGGGTAAAAGTACGTTTAGTTTTATAAGACACTGCCAAACTGTCTTCCAAAGTGGATGTGCCATTTTGCATTCTCACCGGCAATGAATGAGAGGTCGTTTTGTTCCACATCCTCAGCAGCATTTGGTATTGTCAGTGTTCTGGACTGTGTAGTAGTAGCTCATTGTTGTTTTAATTTGCATTTTCCTGACGACTATGAAGTGGAGCATCTTTTTATGTGCTTATTTGTCATCTGTATATCTCATTAAATCAGGTTTTTTTTTTGTTTTTGTTGAATTTTAGGAGTTCTTTGTATATTTCAGTTAACAATCCTTTGTCAGATAGGTCTTTTGCAAATATTTTCCCCATCCTGTGGCTTATCGTTTCATTTTCTTGACAGTGTCTTTTGCAGAGCAGGAATGATTAGTTTTATTAAAGTCCAGCTTAACAGTTAGTTTTTTCGTAGATCATGTGTTCCATTTTGCATCTAAAAAGTCATCATCAAACCCACGATCATCTAGATTTTCTCCTCTGTTACCTTCTAGGAGTTTTATAGTTTTGCATTTAACATTTAGATCTGTGATATATTTTGAGTTAACTTTTGGGAAGACTGTAAGATCTGGGCCTAGATTCAGTTTTTTTTTTTGCATGTGGATGTCCAGCTGTTCCAGCACCAGCTGTTGAAAAGGCTGACTTTGCTTCATTGTCTTGCCTTTGCTCCTTTGTCAAAGATCAGTTGATGATATGGGCATGTATCTATTTCTAGGCTCTCTGTTATGTCCCATTGATTTATTTGTTTATTCTTTCACCAGTACCACACTGTCTTGATTACTGTAGCTTTATAGGAAGTCTTGAAGGTGAGTAGTATCCGTCACCCAACTTTGTTTTTGTTCTTCACTATTCAGTTGGATATTCTGGATCTTTTGCTTCTTTATTAAAACTTTGGAATCAGTTTGTCTATATCCACAAAATAACTTGCTAGGATGGCCACTTGATTTTTTTTTTTTTTTTTTTTTGAGACAGAATCTCACTCTGTCACCCAGGCTGGAGTGCAGTGGCGCGATCTCAGCTCACTTCAACCTCTGCCTCCTGGGTTCAATCAGTTCTTCCACCTCAGCCTCCCAAGTAGCTGGGACTAAAGGTGCATGCCAGCCAAATGATTTTTGATAAAGATGCATAGGCAATTCAATGGAGAAAAGAGAATGAATGGTTTTTAAACAACTGGACATTTATAAGAAAAAAAAAAGAACATCAACCTAAACATCACATACAAAAAATTAACTCAAAATGAATCATAGATCTAAGTGTAAAGTGTAATATTTTAAAACCGTTTTAATTTAATTGTATTTGTTTTTGAGATGGAATCTTGCTGTGTCACCCCGGGTGGAATGCAGTCGCGTGATCTCGGCTCACTGGGCTCACTGCAACCTCCACCTTCCGGGTTCAAGCGATTCTCCTGCCTTAGCCTCCTGAGTAACTGGGATTACAGGCGTGTGCCACCACATCGGACTAATTTTTTGTATTTTTAGTAGAGACAGGTTTCACCATGTTGGCCAGGCTTGTCTCGAACTCCTGACCTCAGGTGATCCGCCTGCTTCCCCCTCTCAACGTGCTGGGATTACAGGCATGAGCCACCAAGCCCAGCCTAAAACTTTTAGAAGAGTACGTGGGAGAAGATATCTGTGACCTAGGCTTAGGTAGAGCTCTTGGACATGACATCAAAAGCTTGATCCATAAAATAAATTATCAATAAATTGGTCTTTATTAAAATTAACATAAAGTAGTCAGCCACTTTGGAATATAGTTTGGCAATTTTTGGAAAAAAAACAAACATTTACCCTATGACTTGGCAGTTGCACTCTTGGGCATTTCTCCCAAATAAATAAAAATGTATGAGCACAAAAACCTGTACATGATTCTTCATAGCAGCTTGGAAACAATCATTATTAGGAAACAAAACCAAAACTGGAAGCAATTAAAATGCTTTTCAATACATGAACAGTTAAACACGCTATGGTATCACCATGTAAAAGAATACTACCCAGCACTAAATGGAATGAACCGTGGATACACACGGCACAGATGAATCTCAAAAGCACTGTGCTAAGTGAAAGAAGCAATTCACAAAGGCTACATACCATGTGATTCCTTTTATGTGACATTCAGGAAAAGGCAATAGCAGAGGGACAGAGATCAGATCGGTGGTTTTTAAGGACTTAGAATGGAGGAAGGGATTCTCTACCAAGGGGTGCAAGGGAACATTTTGGTGTACAGGAAGTTCTCCAGATGGATTGCAGTGGGGTCTGCATAGCTGCCCAACACTAAGAGAGAACTGTACACCTAAAGGGTGAATGTTACTGTATATAAATTATACTTTGGTAAATGTGACTTCAGAAAAGGGTCAGGTAAGGAACCAGAGAATGATCAGAGTTCTTTTGTAATTATGTGGTCAAGGGAAGGGTTCTCTGAAAAGTTGGCATTTGTGCCGTAGCATCCTTTAGTTTAAACCCTCTTAATATTCGATGTGGCTGTTAAGGGTTAACTGTTACTCTAGTAGAACATATTCCTTGTGTTTTCCTAGGAGGCAGGGAGAGTGACCCCTTAGTGATTGCATTAGGCAGAGTAGACAGAATTTATGCACCAAAGAGCAAGAGGATTCTCCTCTTTAAATTAGTGACTATTAGTCACCCCGCAGCCTGGATCTTGAGCTCTTTCAGGGAGGCCTGCCTGTTGCTGAGAGGAGGAAGGAAGAACCTGGCCGCTGTTCAAGAGAACTAATGTAGGGGAGAGTGAAAACAAATGAAACAAAGCTCACTGTCAGAGCTGAACAGGATTCAGGGTCCAGACACCCAAGCCCCTGTATCTCACATGGTACATAGTTTTCAAAGTTGTTTACCTGCTCACTCTGTCCCCAGATGGAGCAAATGTTGTGCTTGAATTTTAATGTGAAAAACATTTCCAATGCTGACATTGATCACCCATGTGTTGAGATTTGTGGGGCAAATAAATTTGGTTAAAAAGGGTGTTTTTCCCCAGGTGATGTGAAAATGTTGCAACAGAAGGCAGAACCCTGAGGATGAAACTTTATTTGGTTTTACACTGAGGAGAGAATCATAAATGGTAATAGGTGTCATGAAACCACTTTAAGGTGTTGCTCACTGATATGGTTTGGCTGCATCCCCACCCAAATCTCATCTTGAACTGTAGCTCCTATAATTTCCACGTGTTGTGGGAGGGACCCAGTGGGAGATAATTGAATCATTAGGATGGTTTCCCCGACACTGTTCTCATGGTGGGGAATAAGTCTCACGAGATCTGATGGTTTTATAAAGGGAAACCCTTTTTGCTTGGCTCTCATTCTGTCTTGCCTGCTGTCATGTAAGATGTGCCTTTCACCTTCCACCATGATTGTGAGGCCTCCCAGCCTCATGCAACTGTGAGTCCATTAAACCTCTTTTTCTTTATAAAGTATCCAGTCTCGAGTATGTCTTTATTAGCAGCGTGAGAACAGACTAATACACTCGCTTAGCCTAAAAACACTGCATCACTAACAAAAACAACTGTACAACACACAAAGTCCTTGAGGAACATTTCAGGAGGCTATCAGCTGCAAAAGTGGCATAGACATTCGGAGTTTATGACCTCACACATTAAGAGTTCTGGAGGCCTAGATTTGCAGAATCGGTGAATTTAGCAGCTTATTGATATCAAGGCTCTATGACTGCTCACTGAAATTTTCTGGGCTTTTGCCTCATGGCCACAGGATGGCTGCCAGCACTCTATGCACTGTATCTTCACATCACAGCGTCCAAAACACAAAGTCTGAGTGGGTGTCTCTTTGTGTGTCTAATTTTTTAAAATCATTTTTCCCCAGAAAAGCCCAGCAAAAATTTCCCCTCTCATCTCATTGGCCCAAACGAGATCCTATGCCCAATCCTAAACCATCCTTTGCAAATCATGACTCACCCCAATGAAGCTTCGTACACCTTTCCTGAACATATTGCTGCTCAATATCTGAAAAAAGCCCAAAGCCAGGTTTTAAAAATATCTAGCAACATACCCTAGCTTGCATTTGCTGAGAAGATGGACCATGGACTGCTCTGTGCTTTGTGTGGATTACCTAACATTTATAATACCCTGTGAGCTAGAGATTCCTAATTTGCAAGCTGAGAAAGTTGGGACCTGGAAATGTAAACCAATTTGTCTCCACTGTCTCACAGGAATTAGCAGATGTAGAATTCTAATTTTGGCCTCACTGACTCTAATGCTTGAGATATTAACATTACCCTATGGCAAAGTGTGTGTGTGTGACAGGTGATGGACTCATCAGGAGTCCATTTGTAAGGGGATTGTGATATCTCCCAGGAGATAACTCATTCTGAGTGAAGAACGTGGTAGGCATGCCCACACCAAGCCAGCTAGGAAACTGGTTGTCAGAGCGGATAGGGAATCTGGAATATAGCGTGGTATGTCCCGTATCCGTCTTTATTATCTGAAGCCTTAGAACAGCAGTCCCCAACCTTTTTGGCACCAGGGACTGGTTTCATGGAAGACAATTTTTCCATGGACCAGGGGTTGGGGGCGAATGGTTTCAGGATGATTCAAGTGCCTTATATTTATTGCGCACTTTATTTCTAATATTAGTACATTGTAATATATAATGAAACAATTACACAACTCGTCATAATGTAGAATCAATGGGAGCTTGAGCTTGTTTTCCTGAAACTAGACGGTTTCATCTGGGGGTGATGGGAGACAGTGACAGATCATCAGGCATTAGATTCTCATAAGGAGCGTGCAACCTAAATCCCTCGCATGCACAGTTCACAATAGGGTTCGTGCTCCCGTGAGAATCTAATGCTGCTAATCTGACAGGAAGCAGAGCTCAGGCAGTGATGTGAGTGATGAAGAGTGGCTGTAAATACAGATGAAGCTTCACTTGCTCACCCACTGCTCACTTCCTGCTGTGCAGCCCTGGTTCATAACAGGCCACGGACAGGTACCAGTCTGCCTCAGAAGACATCAGGGCCAAATAACCCTCCCCTCAGCTGATACAAAAGTGGAACAACGTGTTAGTTTCCTGAGGCTGCTGACAAATTCCCACAGACTTGGGGGCTTCAAACAATAGAAATTTGTTCTCTCATAGTTCTGGAGGCCAGGAGTCAAGGTGTCGGCAGAGCTGCACTCCCTCAGGAGGCTCTAAGGGAGATATTGTTCTTTGCCCCTTCCAACTTGACAGATGCCAGTGTTCCTAGGCTTGTGGCTGCATAACTCCAGTCTCTGCCTCCATCTTCACCCGGCCGTCTTCCCCTGTCTCTCCTGTGTGTCTCTTATAAGGATACTTGCCATTGGACTTAGGGTCAACTCAGGTAATTCAGGATGATCTCATCTCCAGATGCTTAACTTAATTCCATCTGCAAATACCCTTTTTCCAAATAAGGACGCATTCAGAGGTTCTGGGGATTAGAACATAGACATACATTTTGGGGGGCCACCATTCAACCCTTTACAAGCAATATAGGGCTCTTTTGGATTTATGTGACAGACCACTGCCCAAGTTAAAACAAGCCAAAGGGAAACTTGCAAGTTCATGAAAGTGGAAAGCATAGGAGAGGTTCAAGTTTCCAGTGGATGGAAGGCTCTAACAATGTTAGCAGGTTTCTTTTCTATCTTACCTTTTGTTTCTCAGCTTTGCTTGTCTCAATTTGACTTTATTTCTTCTGCAGACCTTTCTGATGGGCTGTGACGGTGGCCCCTAGAAACCCTCCACACATAACCTTGCAGTTGAAAAAGACAGTCTTCTTTGATAGCTGGGCAGAAAATTCCTAAGGAAAACTCTGATTGGCCATTTTGAGTCACATGCCCATTTCTGCATGTGTGGTGGGGAGGGGCTTTACAGTGATTGACAAACCCACTAGAACTATATGGAAGAGAGGAAGCATAGTTCCTCCAAGGAAGAGCTGCTGGATGGACAAACTAAATATGTCTACTAAGGACATTCTTCTCCCTCCACTATTAAATGAGGTGCAGCTTTACATTTAGAGGGCTCCAGAGGCCTTGCTTCCAAGGGAGATAGCAAATACCACACTATACTGAAAATCTGAGAAGGATGTGGTGGGACCAAGGTGGCACTGAGGAGATGAACTCTGTCATGATCACATGAGGAACCATAAGGAAGATACCCATGTGGAGTCCGCAGAATCCTCACTGAGGAAGACCTCAAGGGAAATGAGATCCTGTGCATATATTTACAGACCGGTGAGCCCTGGAAATAATAACAAAAGATATCTAGAAAAGCCCTAGATGCTTGGAAATTAAGCAGCACCCTTCTAAATAATCCATGGGTCTAATAAGAAATCCCCATGGACATTAGAAAATATACTGAACTAAAAATTAATGAAGTTGTGACATATTGGAGCTTGTGGAAGCTGAAGCCGTGCTTAGAGGGACAGCTATGGATATATTTGGGGCAGGGGTTGAAAAAATGGCCTAGATGCAAATTTCAAAAAGATTGAGGCTTGGCAAAAATGGGGGAATTATTGGCTCCTGTAACTGAAAAATCCAAATGGGGGTTCTATTTTCAGGCACATTTAGATCAGGTGTCAGATATCACCATGAGGACTTAGTAGCATCCCAGCCAGTTTCTCTGCTAGCTTCTCTATTGACTCCCTTCTCAGCCATCTCATGTGATGGCTCTTGACATCCCCAGGCTTATATCCTCCAACCTTAGCAATTTCAGTGGAAAGAAGATTCTTTCCAAATAGTTCCAGTACAAGTTTCTGGATTGACTCTGATTCTTCTGGCTTGAGTCATGCCCATCTCTGACTCAATCAATGGGGCAAGGGGATAAAATACTCCCATTGGACTTGAGTAGGAAACAGATGGTTTGTGGATAAATGATCACTAGGAATCAGCATGTGTTTTTTAAAAACAAACCAACATCATTTGTTGTTGTTGTTTTTTAAGGGTATTAGTTTTGTTTTTGATTTTTCTTTGAGGGGGGGACGGAGACTCACTCTGTCACCCAGGCTGGAGTGCAATGGCACGATCTTGGCTCACTGCAACCTCCGCCTCCCGGGTTCAAGCAATTCTCCTGCCTCAGCCTCCCGAGTAGCTGGGACTACAGGTGCGCCACCACCATGCCTGTCTAATTTTTGTATTTTTAGTAGAAATGGGGTTTCACCATGTTGGCCAAGCTGGTCTCGAACTCCTGACCTGAAGCAATCTGCCCACCTCAGCCTCCCAAAGTGTGGGGGTTATAGGCGTGAGCCACCACGCCCAGTCAAGGGTATTAGTTTTTAAAGTCAGGAGACTGATCCTTGACATGATTTGATTTCCATGAGGCATTTGACAAAGTCTACCATGATACGTTTGTGGGTGAGATGGAATGTTATTCAGAGTATTAATAGCTGGTTGAATTAACCAGCTGATTGACTGATGGTGATCACATCATCCATTTTCTAACGAATTTCCAAGCCATCTGCTTAGAATTTGTTTATGATTAGCATGGCAGGCCATCTCTTCAGTTGACCTTCTTCTGGAGAATTCTCTTCAGTGGGTAACCCAGGTGCTCTGGCAGAATTTTTCAATATTTTTCTTGGGCAAATGTGTGAAGGGAAATTTTTTTTTAGATTTGAAGATAATATGAAGTGGAAAAGATAGAATAATGCCGTTGATATGGGAACATGTTGAATTTGACTAGAATTTCCTTTAAAAGGGATTAAGAGGATTTTAAATAGTCATCAATATAAAAGCCTGCATTTAGATCTAAAAACTCTCTTGTCCAAGTTTAGAATGTGGGAGAAACATAACCAGCAGCAGCTTATGTGAGAAGAGCAGATTGGAGTGAGCCAACCGGGCAACCTGGCTCTTAAGGAAAATAAATGCAGCTCACGCCCAGGGAACTCAGATGACAGTCAGCTCTGACAGTGGGTTCAGTTCCTGGGGCCTCATTTTAAAGGGGATATTGGCAATCTTGAGAGTTCTCCTATCAGGACAGCCCGAATGGTGAGGAATTCTGAACCATCCTGTTGGAATAACAGATGGAAGAACTGGATATATTTAGCCTAGGGAATTAGAGACTGAAGAAAAAGAACAGCTGCTTTTAAATATTAAAGGGCTGTCATGTAGAGGAGAAAGCAGTCTTGATCTTGTTACTCCAGAACATGCACGAAGAGAATGGGAGAAAATTTTAATACAGTAGATTTGACTCAGGATGTGAGAACGCTTCCTAATAAGTCAATTTGTTAAAAGATGGAGTAAGCCCCCATTCCTCTTTGCTAGCCTGCTTTAGCAGATGCTAGGGAAATTTCTTCAGGCAGAGATGGTGTTTTTAGGAGTCCCCAGATATCCGTGTGGGCTGGGGAGATGGAACCAGTTGATTAAAATCTTTTGCTAGTCTAAGTCAGTCCAGGGTGCAGACTCTGAATGGTATGAGCCAGGGTGCAGAAGTGGGGCTGTTGGCTGGCCATGGAAGAGGACCCCTCCACAAATGCTCATGAGCACTGGTGAAGGATAGAGCATCCACTGGGGAAGGCAGCGGGCAGTCTCTTACAGCAATTACCACATTATTTTGCCAAGGGACACACTGAATGCATCTACTGGAATACAGGCCAATAGGAGTTGGATTTTACTGTGTTGGGCAAGCAGGCCCTCCTTGGAAAAATGGTTTGGTTGTGTGGCTTTTGTTTTGCATGCTCTCAGGTGATGCCCTAGGGAGACCTCCCAGGAGGAGGTGCAGCAGGCCTCCCTGCGGTGGGTTTGGCACGGGGGCAGGTCTGGCTCTGGTCCAGTAGCTGGCACTGACCCTCACCACCAGCAGCCTAAACAATGCCTGGCCTCCTCTGACTAGCAATTTGCAGAACAAACCCACTGGCTTCTGAGGAGGAAGCAGAAGAGGCCACGGTCATGGAGGATGAATGCAGAACAGCGGCTCCCCTTTTAAGAGGCTCGAAGGGGACCAGGGAAGGGGGTCTATGTCTGTGCCAGGAAGGCAGGCTTATGTACCCACTGAAAAAGCGGGACCCCTGTGAGAGACAGTGACGTGTATGGGAAAGAACAGCCTTGAGGGGCAGCTGGGGCCAGGCTGCCGAAGTGAATTTGTCACTGCCATGCAAACCTGTGTGACTTTGGGCAAGTGGCTTAACCTCTTTGTGCCTTAGTTTCCTCATCTACACAAGGGGGCAGTCACGGCACCTACCTCATAGGGTTGTTAAGAGGATGACATCAATTAATTCTTATTTAAAAAGTACTTGAAACAGTGCTAGGAGCATAGAAAGTGCTAGAAAAGTGTTTGCAAAATGAATCAGACACAGGTTCCTACTCCAATCCTGCTCCTTTCTGGATGTGTGAATTTGAGCAAGTGTTTCAACCTCCCTGGGCCTCTTCTTCATTCATGAAATGGAAATAATAATGCTGACCTTGCAGGGCCACTGTGAGGATCACACAAGCTCAGCAGGATGGACAGACCCTCCGTAAACAACCCTTGTTAATAGCCACATGCCCCGAGGACAAACAAGATTAAATCCTGGACCTCACAAATGCTTTTTTCCCCTAAGATTCCAAATAAAAACAGGCTCAGAGTGTCAGAGATCATTTTATAAGAGTTACAAAGAGGCCCTGGAGGGCCAGGTGACCTGAAACAATAATAATAGTAACAATAACAACAGCAGAAGCAGGAAAAACAGGTCCCAGGCCCTGGGCCGAACATTTTACATAGCTTATCCTGTTGAACCCTAGTAAGACTGTGAGGCAGGGGGCAGGGCAATTGATGATTATGATGGTGACGGTGATAATAATAATGATCATTTTATAGATGAAAAAATTGAGCCTCAGAATAACTCGTTCCACCTCACACTGCTTTTTAGGGTGAAACCTGGAGTGGAATGGACATCTCTCAACTCCACACCCATGCTCTGAACCACACGGCCTCCTAAGACACTAAAGGCAATTTCATCAGAATGCAGGGGACTCATGAGGAAGACCTCAGGGTGTTCATTGAACACCAAGATTAAAATGAGCCGAAATTCTGACACAGCTAGTAAAGAATTAACTGTGATGATTTCACTCAGTGCTAGGTTCCCCCAAATGACATGCTCCTTGTCACCTGCCCTGCCCAAGGCCTGGCTCTGAATATGTGGATACAGCCACATTTGCTTGGTCTCAGTTGGCTGGAATTTTTCATTGGCCTGGAAGGCCTTGAACCAGAGTTTCATTCGAGTAGAACTAAGCCTTCAAATGCAAACACTCCAGGTCTGGATTGTGCCCGCACTTAAGCCCACTGATGCTGAGGAGCAAAGGGCCAACATCTTTCCCTCTGCTCAGCCTCTGAGCCACACTTGGCTGCTTGCCAGGACAGAAGAGGTGAGAAGGTCCCAGCATGGGAGACTGGGGGCTGTGGGATATAAGTTCTCAAGATGACCTCTTTCTCCCTGGGAGGGAACTTCACAGCATTGCAGGCTATTCTCTGCAAGTAATGTCTCCAAGGTAGGATGGTTGAGAGCTAGAGATATGTGGGCTTGTGGTTGGGGTGGTGGAGGGGGAGTGTAGGAGGGAAGAGAGAGAGGAGGGCATGAACGCCAGATCCCAGATACACAAGGGACTCAATTGTGGTGGGGAAGCTTCAGTTCAGAAGGGGAGGGACAGGAGACCATGAGGCTGGACACGACACAGGAGAAGATCAAATGAAAGGCAAGGCACAGGCCGGGTACAGTGGCTCACACCTGTAATCCCAGCACTTTGGGAGGCCGACCAAAACCTCATGGTCAGGAGTTCGAGACCAGCCTGGCCAATATGGTGAAACCCCATCTCTACTAACAATAGAAAAATTAGCCTGGAGTGGTGGCGTGTGCTTGTAGTCCCAGCTACTTGGGAGGCTGAGGCAGGAGAATTGCTTGAACCCTGGAGGCAGAGGTTGCAGTCAGCCGAGATCACACCGCTGCACTCCAGCCTGGGTGACACAGTGAGACTCTGTCTCAAAAAAAAAAAAAAAAGAAAAGAAAAGAAAAGAAAAAAAAAGTCACAGCCACCAATAGCATAATGGGGAGGAAGGGACTTAGAAAAGCAAGCATATCTGGTGAAGATTGTTAATAGCTGAAATAACAGTGATGATAATGATTATGATGATGACTAACATTTACTATGTATTTGCTGTGTGGCAGGCTTGATATTCCTGCTCAACCTCATTTTACAGAGGTATCTCTGGTCATGCGGAGAAGACAGGTAAAGAATAAAGTTACCAAGAAGAGGTTAGTTCGAGTCGAACTTTCATGCTTGTCAGAGACCGAGAATAACAACCCTAGTAGACAGGAAGCATCATTGTCTCCAATTTGCAGAAGAGAAAACTCAGACATAGAATTTAATTCACTTGCTCAGGATCACACACTAAGTGGTAAAGCTGAGATTCGAACCTAAGTATTTTGGCTCCAGAGCTCATTGTATCATGGAGAACTGCTACAGACATGCATGGGCAGTTGGCATTGAGGATATGATATAAACATTCTATCTTCCCTGTGAGATCTTCAGTAAAATCAATATTTATCATCAGTTCTTCTAATGCAATGGCCTCTTTCTGGTGCCTGGGAAGAGAGACTGCATCCTGCCTTAAGGTGGACCAGGGATAAAAATAGGCTGATATGGTTTGGCTGTGTCTTCAACCAAATCTCATCTTGAATTGTAGCTCCCATAATTCTCACATGTGGGAGCAACTAGGTGGAGATAATTGAATCATGGGAGTGGTTTCCCTCATCCTGTTCTCATGGTAGTGAATAAATCACACAAGATCTGATGGTTTTATAAGGAGTTTCCACTTTTGCTTGGCTCTCGTTCTCTGTAGTCTGCTGCCATGGAAGACGTGCCTTTCTCCTTCTGCCATGATTGTGAGGCCTCCCCAGCCACGTGGAACTGTGAGTCCATTAAACCTCTTTTTCCTTATAAATTACCCAGTCTCAGGTATGTCTTTATCAGCAGCGTGAAAACAGACTAACACACAGGTACATATGGAAACAGATAACATTAAGGTCATTCCAGGGCCAGAAAAGAGAGTGGAGTAGGGGGCGGGGAGTGGTGGGGTTCTTTCTAAAGCCTAGAGCAGAGGTAGACTAATCTATCCACACTATATTCTCATGATGCAGCAGTCTCCTTGCATGTCCAACCCAAGCCCAACTCACCATAGCTTCATAGAAAAAGAGTGTGAGATCATTTCTATGTATGTTCTAAAATAGTCAGGACAGATTAGATTATGCTACAATAACAACATGCCCAACCTGCAATGACTTACAGTCAGAGAGGTTTATTTCTTGCTCAAGCTGCCCATCTGTCATGGGTCAACTATATCCCTGCTTCATGTTATCTTCTTTGGGATCCAGGCTGATGAAGCAGCCCCTTTCTGGACCATTGTCCATCTTGTGGAAGAGAGAAAAGACACACAGCAAACCACACACTAGCTCTTAAAGCTTTTTCCTGGAAGTGACATGTGTCACATCACTTCTGCTTGCATTTCTTGGCAAGAGCAAGTCACAATGTCAAATCTGATGTCAGTGGGGGGCAGGGGGTAGGGAACTATCCTCTCCTTCAGGAAGGGCCGGAAAATATTTTTGAATGATGATACCATCTATGACAGTCTCAACGCATTAAGCCCTTGAGGACAGACAAAAATTCCACCCCTAGCCCCATGACCCCAAAAAATGTCCTTGCCCTTGTTTAGAATGCATCCTAGGGGGAGGAGGGAAGGAGAGGGAAGCGGGAGCAGAGGGGAGCCCCCTGGAGGCCAGTAGCATAAATTAGAGACAAAGGAAAAGGCGACAGCTTAAGCTGGTGACAAGGGCAAGTGCCCTTGGCCCAGGGAGGAGGGCAGGTGCAAAGGAGGTCTGTCCACTCCCAGCAGGAGGGACTTGCTCAGCGGCTTCCTGGGGCTCCAGAAAGGGGGCAGAGAGGAGGGGAACTCTGGCACTGCCTGAAGCTATTGTCTGGTTAGAAAATGGAACAACTATGTCTCTATGACCCAGTTTTAACACTGTGAGTTTGTAAGGAAGCTAGAGGAAACCAACTTTAATCTCTAAAGAAGCTTAACTTCTCCAAAAGGAAAAAAAAAAAAAAAAAAAAAAGCTTCCCTACGAATGAGTGCGGTACAGTTCCTAGAATAGAAAAAGTCCGTCAGAGAGGGGGCCAGAGGGAGCAGCTCGGAGGGAGCAGCTCAGAGGAAGCAGCTCGGGGGGAGCAGCTCAGAGGGAGCAGTCCTCTGTCCCCTGAGTTTAGACCTTCCTGAGTTGGCAGGAGGAAGACCAGAGGGCAAGATGACACGAAGGGATGACAATCAGCTGAGGGGCCCGTAGGGACTGCGACCACATTTCTCAACAAAAACCATGGCAAGTACACTTACAAATACATTTGTGGGAACTGAGCCAGAATAGTTTAAATTAGAATTGTCCTAAAAATCTGAGATATAAGGTCATAGAGCCTACAGGGCTTCTTACAACTCCCCAAAACAAGGTTCTCTCTGAGGGTCCCTCTCTGAAGGTAAATCACTCTGAATTGACCTTTCTATTAGCTGTTTGAGAATATGATGTGTTTTTTTTTTTGTTTGTTTTTTTTTTGTTTGTTTGTTTTTTTTTTTGAGACGGAGTCTCGCTCTGTCGCCCAGGCCGGACTGCGGACTGCAGTGGCGCAATCTCGGCTCACTGCAAGCTCTGCTTCCCGGGTTCACGCCATTCTCCTGCCTCAGCCTCCCGAGTAGCTGGGACTACAGGCGCCCACCACCGCGCCCGGCTAATTTTTTGCATTTTTAGTAGATACGGGGTTTCACCTTGTTAGCCAGGATGGTCTCGATCTCCTGACCTCGTGATCCACCCGCCTCGGCCTCCCAAAGTGCTGGGACTACAGGCGTGAGCCACCGCGCCCGGCCAGAGAATATGATCATTTTTAAAGGGTTCTGGGTTAGCTTCCTGGATCTAAGAAGACCTTTATGAGAAAGTGGTGTGTGGTGTTGGTTGGCAGGAAAAAACAGGTAACATGTGAGCAAACTTTTGACAAGATTTCACACTCATGTTTTTTGGACACCAATATATGTGCATGATAGTAAGCAAAATCACAGCGCAAATTACTTATTGATCCAGTTTGTATATGTTGGTTCAGTTGCTTTAGCAGAGATGAAAATAAGAGTGACTTAAACAAGATGGAATGTTCATTTTTCTCTCCTTTAAAGTTTGAGCTGAACAGGGCAGTTTCGGGAGAGAGGATGGAGGGCAGCTGCTCTGATCTGGCAGGTCATACAGGGATCCAACTTCCTTTCATTTCACTGTTCTACCGTTCCCTTTGGTTACATCCTCATTAGGACTGGTTCATTACCCCAAGTTCACCTTCTAGCCTTGATAAAAGATGTGGAGGGCAAGCAGCTTCCCTGGCAGCTATA